>NC_000007.14:92203748-92506779 GCF_000001405.40 Homo sapiens
ACCATCCAGTTCTATGAAGAATGATTTGCAGATGTTGGTATAAAATGCTCTGAAACAGCAGAGGAAAAATTTCTTGAAATGGTGGGGGGCATTTCTCCTTCATTTCCTTTAATGAACTTAGTACAAGAGAAATAGAAAAGTGGTTACAAGCTAATAAACAGCAGCCTATTTTGTGTGGGCAAAATAGTTTTAACAGAAAATGAGGATGGTGTGGTGGCTCACACCTGCAATCCCAGCACTTTGTGAGGCTAAGGTGGGAGAATCACCTTGTAGAGATAAGGTCTCACTTTGTTGCCCAGACCAGGAGTTTGAGACCAGCCTGGGCAACAAAGTGAGATCCTATCTCTACAAATAATAAAAAAATTAGCTGGGTGTGGTGGCATATGCCTGTAGTCCCAACTACTTGGGAGGCTGAGGCAGGAGGACTGCCTGAGCCTAGGAGTTTGCAGCTGCACTGAGCTATGATGGTGCCGCTGCACTCCAGCCTGGGCAAAAGAGTGAGACTGTGTCCCAAGGAAAAAAAAAAAAGGAAAGAAAAAGAAAATGATAAGCAAATGACCCAAAAGCAAGGTGACCGCAAGAGAGCAGTGCCCAACCTTTTTGGTGCCAGGGATCGGTTTCGTGGCAGACAATTCTTCCACAGACAGGGGTGTCAGGGATGGTTTTGGGATGATTCAAGCCCATTTTATTTATAGTGCACTTTATTTCTATTACTATTATATTGTAATATGTAACGAAATAATTATACAACTCACCACAATGTAAAATCACTGGGAGCCCTGAGCTTGTTTTCCTGCAACTAGATGGTCCCATCTGGGGGTGATGGGAGGCAGTGACAGATCATCAGGCATTACATTCTCATAAGGGGCATGAAACCTAGATCCCTTGCATGTGCAATTCAAAAGAGGGTTCATGTTCCTATAAGAATCTAATGCCACCGTTGATCTGACAGGAGGCAGAGCTCAGATGGTAATGCAAGTGATAGGGAGTGCTGTAAATACAGATGAAGCTTTGCTTGCTGCTCATCTGCTGTGCGGCCCGGTTCCTTACAGGCCATGGACCGGTACCAGTCCATGGCCTGGGTGTTGGGGACCCCTGCTAGAAGAGACTTCAAGAAATTAAGCTCCAGGTCATTACTAAAATCAGACTCTATTCCACCCTATGTTCCTAGATATTTTATCTCCATTCACGTGTGTATCTATCAAAGTAACTGTTGCCCTTAAAGATAACCCTGAAAATTAATATAAAATGACTAAACTATGACTGGGATATTTCAGGAGTTATGTGATTATAAAGACCTATCAAGACACATAAAGGGGCGAGCACGGTGGCTCATACCTGTAATCCCAGCACTTTGGGAGGGCGAGGCAGTCGGATCACCTGAGGTCAGGTGTTCGAGACTGGCCTGACCAACATGGAGAAACCCCCTCTCTACTAAAAATGCAAAATCAGCCAGGTGTGGTGGCACATGCCTATAATCCCATCTAGTTGGGAGGCTGAGGCAGGAGAATCGCTTGAACCCCGGAGGCAGAGGTTGCAGTGAGCCAAGATCACGCCATTGCACTGCAGCCTGGGCAACAAAAGCGAAACTCATCTCAACAACAACAACAACAAAAAAGACACATAAAAATGAGGAAAATAAAAACTGGGTTTACAGTGAAATTTCCTAATCTAAATGCCTTTTAAAAATGCATAAGCTTCATTATTACTTTAACTGATTTGGTCTATTCTTAACAAATCTTAATTAACAAATTACGAGGCAGGTGGATCACTTGAGGTCAGAAGTTCGAGACCAGCCTGGCAAACATGGTGAAACCCCCCTATGAAAAACACAAAAATTAGGTGGGCTTGGTGGTTCATGCTTGTAATCCCAGCTACTTGAGAGGCTAAAGCGGGAGGACTGCTTGAACCTAGGAGGCAGAGGTTGTAGTGAGCCAAGATCACACCACTGCGTCCAGCCTGGGTGACAGAGCAAGACTCTGTCTCAAAAAACAAAACAAAATGAAACAAATTAGATTTGATTTTTATTAGCTTCCTATTATAAACTAAAAAGCTGTTCATCCCATTTAAATGTGTTAAATATGCCAAAAAATAACTGATAAACCTGTATTTTATAATGACTTACGGTTAGAAAAAGGAGCACCATAAACTAACTTCTAACTGAAGAGCTCTAAAGTGGGATTGAAAAGGGTCTAACCCACCTACTGCTGCTGTCACCTGTGCACATAGTGCCAGGAGGTCAACCCACCTGCCTGCCACCAGCACCTGCAAACTCCAGAGGTGGGCTTGGAGAGAAGCCTGCCCTGCCCACCACTGCCACCAGCACACATTATCTAGGGTCCTAAGGACAAGCCTGCTCTGCCCACTGCCACTGTCAACTGTGCCTAAGCATGCCATCTAAGGGCCTGAGGACTGACTCAACTAGCACGCTGCTGCCATTGCCTGCATACACCATCAGAGGGCCTGACGACAGGCCTGTTCTGCCTGCTGTTGGTGCCTGTGCATTTCATCTGGGGCCTTAAGTACTGTTATGCTCTGCCTATGCCTGCTGGCGCCCACATGTACTATCTAGGGGCCTGAGGAAAGGCATGCCCTGCCTACTGGCACAACTACTAGTGCCTGAGCACTGGTCTACCTGGAGTCACAGTCCCCAGAAAAGCCTACTACAGCCTTCATTAACAACCACAGTCTAAGCCACTGAGGGACTCTCAGACACCGCTAATGCTCATTAAAGCTGAAGAAATCACAGGGAGACTATACTACTGCACTCACCCAGAATCAAAGCCAAAGCACCCTATCCAACCAACACTATAGCTACATCTACAGGAAAAAGTCTTTCCCTACAAAAGCCAATGCATAAAATAGGAAGAAGTGACATCAGATGTACAGATATAAATATAACGATACAAAAAACATTGAAAAGCAAGAAAACATGACACCTTCAAAGGAAAACAATAATTCTTCAGTAACAGATGCTCCCCCCAAATTTTGAAATGCCTAACAAAAAAATCAAAATGACATTAAAGAAACTCAGTGTGACTTAAGACATATAAGATAACAAAAGTACATAATCCTGGAATGGAAGAACTCAATAAATGAAATAAAAAGCACAACTGAGAGCTTCAACAATAGACTAGATCAAGCAGAATAAAGAATTTGTAAACCCGAAGGTATCTTAACCCAGGCAGACAAAAAAAAAAAAAAAAAGAAAGAAATCAAGAAATAAAAAAGAATGAAGAAAGCCAATGTGACATGTGGGGACACCATAAAGTGACCAAACATTTGAATTCTGAGATTTTAGAGGGAGAAGAAATGGAGAAAGTCAAAGAAAACCTACTTGAAGAAATAATAGCTGAAAACTCCCTAAGTCTTGTAAGAGATGCAGACATCAAGATACAGGAAGCTCAAAGATACCCAAGCAGATCTAACCTAAAAAGGTCTTTCCCAAGGCATGTTATAGTCAAACTGTCAAAACTCAAAGACAACAAGAGGATTCTAAAAACCATAAGATAAATGCATCAGGTCACATATAAGGACATTGCCATCAAACAAACAACAGATTTCTCAGAAGAAACTACAGGCCAGAAGAGCCTGGGATGATGTGTTTAAAATGCTAAAAGTTAAAGAAAAAAAAAAAGCTTTATATTAGGTTGGTGCAAAAATAACTGCGATTTTTGCCATTGTTATTAGATCTAAAGGGAATGACAGACTCCAATACAATAATAGTTGGGGAATTCAACACCCCACTCTCAACACTGAATGGATCAAAATAAATTAACAAAAAAACACTGGATTTAAACTGCACTTTAGACTAAATGGATTTAACAGCCAGGTGCAGTGGCTCACGCCTGTAATCCCAGCACTTTGGGAGGCCGAGGTGGTTGGATCACCTGAGGCCAGGAGTTTGAGACCAGCGTGGGCAACATGGCTACACCTCGTCTCTACTAAAAATACAAAAATTAGCCAGGTGTGGTGGCACATGCCTGTAATCCCAGCTACTCAGGAGGCTAAGGCAGGATAATCGCTTGAACCCAGGAGGCAGAGGTTTTACAGTGAGCTGAAATTGCTCACTGCACTTCAGCCTAGGCGACAGAGCAGGACTCTGTCTCTAAAAAAATATAAACAAACAAATAAATAAATAAATGGATCTAACAGACATTTACAAAACATTTCATCCATCAGCTGCAGAACACACATTCTCCAGGATACACCATCTGTTAGGCCAAAAAACAAGTCCCAACAAATTTTGTAAAAGTATCTTCTCAGATCACAATGAAATAAAACTATAAATCAGTAACAAAAGAAATTTTGGGAACTGTACAAATAAAAGGAAATTAAACAACATGCTCCTGAATGACCACTGGGTCAATTAAAAAATTAAGAAGGAAATAAAAAAATTTCTCAAATGCAATGAAAATGAAAACACCATATACCAAAACCTAAGGGATGTAGCAAAAGCAGTGTAAGAGGAAAGTTTACTGCAATAACATCTATGGCAAAAAAGTAGGAAGATCTCAAACACTTAACGATGCACCTCAAGGAACTAGAAAAGCAAGAAAAAACCAACCCTGAAATTAGCAGAAGGAAAGAAATAAGAAAGATCAGACCAGAACTAAAAGAAAGAAAGACTTAAAAAAAAAGAAAAAAGAAAAAAATTACAAAGGATCAACAAAACGAAAAGTTGGTTCTTCAAAAAGATAAAATGAGTAAACTGTTAGGTAGACTAACCAAGAGAGAAAGAAAATCCAAATAAACAAAATCATAAATGATAAAAGAGACATTATAACTGAGACCACAGAAATAACAAAGACTCCTTAGAGACTATTAGGACCAATGATAGGCTAACAAATTGGAAAACCTAGAGGAAAAAGATAAATTCCTGGACACAGACAACCTACCAATATTGAACCAGGAAGGAAAAGAAAACCTCAACAGATAAATTCTCGGTAATGAGGTTGAATCAGGAACAAAAAGTCTCTCAATAAACAAAAACCAGATGACTTCACTGCTAAATTCTACCAAACCTATAATGAAGAATACCAACTTTCTTAAAATGGACCAAAAAACTGAAGAGGATTCTTCCTAACTCATTCAACGAGGCCAGCATCATTCCAATAACAAAACCAGACAAGGACACAACAAAAAAGAAAACAAGAGTCCAACAGTCCTGAAAAACATAGATGCAAAAATCACCCACAAAATACTACCAAACTGCGTCCAACAACACATCAAAAAGATAACACACCATGATCAAATGGGATTTATGCCCGGGAGGTGAGGATGATTCAACATATGCAAATTAATAAATGTGATACAATCAATAGAATGAAGGACAAAAACCATATAATAGTTTCAATAAGTGCAGAAAAAGAATTTCATGAAGTTCAATATCGTTTCGTGATGAAAAAAAAAACCTCTCAGCGAATTCACATAGAAGGAACATACTTCAATCAATAAAGGCCATACATATATGACAAACCCACAGCTAACATCATACTGAAAGGGGAAAAGCTGAAAGCCTTTCTTATAAGAACTAGAATAAGACAAGGATACCCCACTTTCAACCACTCTTAATCAACATAGTACTGGAAGTACTGGAAGTCCTAGAGAGAGCATCAGGTAAGAGAAAGAAATAAAAGCCATACAAATTGGTAAACAGGAAGTCAAACTGTCCCTCTCTGCAGATGACATGATCTTATATACAGAAAGACCTAGACTCTACCAAAAAACTAACAGAACTGATAAAACAAATTCAATAAAGTTGCAGGACACAAAATTCACATACAAAAATAAGTGGCATTTCTATACACCGATAATGAACCAGCTGAAAAAGAAATCAAGAAAGCAATCTCATTTACTATAGCTAGTAAAAAAAATCAAATAATTGAGAATAAATCTAACTAAAAAACTGAAAGACCTCTGTAATGAAAACTACAAAACACTGATGCAAGAAATTCAAGAGCACACAAAAAATTGGAAAGATATCCATGCTCATGGATTGGAAGAGTTAATATTGTTAAAATAGCAATATAGGCCAGGCATGGTGGCTCATGCCTGTAATCCCAGCACTCTGGGAGGCCGAGGTGGGTGGATCACCTGAGGTCAGAAGTTCAAGACCAGCCTGGCCAACATAGTGAAACCCTGTCTCTACTAAAAATACAAAAGAAAAAAAAAATTAGCTGGGCATGGTGGTGCAAGCCTGTAATCCCAGCTACTTGGGAGGCCGAGGCAGGAAAACTGCTTGAACCCAAGAGGTAGAGGTTGCAGTGAGCCGAGATCACGCCACCGCACTCCAGCCTGGGTGATGAAGCAAGACTCTATCTCAAAATCAATCAATCAATCAATAAAAATAAAACAGCAATATTACCCAAAGCAATCAAGTAATTCAATGCAATCTTTATTGAAATACCAATGACATGCTTTACAGAAATAAAAAAAAATTCTAAAATTCATTTGGAATAACAAAAGATTCCAAATAGCCAAACCAATAGTGAGAAAAAAAGAACAAAGCTGGAGGCATCACACTATCTAATTTCAAAAAATAAACTACACAAACCTACAGTAACCAAACAGCATGATGTTATTGTAAATACAGATCTCAATGGAACAGAGAACCCAGAAATAAATCCATGTATTTACAGCCAACTCATTTTCAACAAAGGTGCCAAGAACAAACATTGGGGAAAAAAACACCCTGTTCAATAAATGGTGTTGGAAAAATTGGATACCCACATGCACAAGAATAAAACTAGACTCCATCTCTCACCATATACAGAAATCAAGTCAATATGGATAAAAAACCTAAATGTAAGACCTGAGCCTATAAAACTAGTAGAAGAAAACATAAGGGAAATGCTTTTGGACATTGGTCTAGGCAAAGATTTTATGGTTAAGACTTCAAAAGCATAGGCAACAAAAACAAAAACAGACAAATGGGACTATTTAAACTATTAAGCTTCTGCACAGCTAACGTAACAATCGACAGAGTGAAGAGACAATGTGGTGAATGGGAGACAGTATTTTCAAACTGTTCATTAGACTAGGGACTAATATCCAAAATTTACAAGGAAATCAAACAATTCAACAGCAAACAAACATATCCCATTATAAAGTAGGCAATGATTAGAACAGACATTTCTCAAAAGAAGACATACAAATGGCCAAGAAGTATATTAAAAAATGCTTACCACGAGTAATCATCAGGGAAGTTCAAGTCAAAACCACAGTGACATTTCATCCCACCCCAGTTAGAATGGCTATTATCAAAATGACAAAAACATAACAAATGCTGGTGAGGATGCAGACAGAAGGGAACTTTTATACAGAGTTAGTGGGAATATAAACTAGTAGAGCCATTATGGAAAACAGTATAGAGGTTTCTCAAAAACTAAAAATAAAACTACCATATGAACCAGCAATCTCACTACTGAGTATTCTTCCAAAGGAAAGGAAATCAGTGGGATCCTGCAACCCCATGTTGACTGCAGCACTATTCACAATAGCAAAGATATGGAATCAACCTAAGTGTCTCCCAACAGATGAATGAATAAAGAAAACGTGGTATATATGCACAATGAAATATTATTCAGCCATAAAAAAGAATGAAATCTTGCATTCGCAACAACATGAATGGAATTGGAGGTCATTTTGTTAAGTGAAATTAGCCAGGCACAGAAAGTCAAATACCCTATGTTCTCATATACGTGAGACGTTGATGTCAAGGAGGTAGAGAGTTGAATGATGATTACCAGAGCTGGGAAGGGTAGGGTAGGGTAGGAATAAGGAGAGGGTCAGTTAACGGGTACAAACATACAGTTAGATAGAATGAATAAGTTGCCGTGTTTCATAGTACACTAGGGTGACTATAGTTAATAATTTATTGTATATTTCAAAATAGCTAAGAGATAAGTTGAAATGTTCCCAATACAAAGAAATGATAAATATTTAAGGTGATGAATTTCCTAATTACCCTGATTTGATCATTACATATTATATGCATGTATCAAAATATGACATGTACCTCATAAATATGTACAACTACTATGTATCAATTAAAAAAATGAGTGGGACCCAGTGGTTCATGCTTGTAATCCCAGCACTTTGGGAAGCTGAGGCAGGAGGATCATTTGAGGCCAGGAGTTTGAGACCAAACTGTGCAACATAACAAGATCCTGTCTCTGAAAGAAAACAAAAAACAACAAAAAAAAAAAGCCAGGCATGGTGTTACGTGCCTATAGTCCCAGCTACTCAGGAGGCTGAGGTAGGAGGATTGCTTGAGTCCATGAGTTCAAAGCTGCAGTGAGCTATGATTGCACCACTGAACTCCAGCCTGGGGAACAGAGTGAGACCCTGTCTCAAAAAATAAATACATAAATAAAAAAATGTTTAAATGTGAAAAACAAAAAACAAGAAAGAAGCTCTGAAGTATTCTAGTGGATATTCAATCCCTTCCATACTTCATCCTGCTCCCCAAAAGGTTCTTGTACTAATTCTAATTTTTCAAAGTGAAGCCCTTGTGTCACATATAATATTTTTCTTTTTTTCATCTTTTTCAATTAACCTAACAAATGTTTTAAACAGGCAACATAATCACACAGTTAAAACTTTCAAGTTGCAAAATGGCATTGTTATGGACTGAATGTTTGTGTCCTGCCTCCCAAAATTGGTATGTTGAAATCCTAACTCCTAAAGTGATGGTATTGGGAGGTAGAGCCTTTGAGAAGTAATTATGCCATAATTTATGAGAGCAGGGCCCACATGAATGGGATTCATGCCTTTATAAAAGGGACCCCAAGATAACTCCCTCATTCTTTCTGCCATATGAGGCTACAAGGAGATGTCAGCAGTCTCCAACCCAGAAAAACGCTCTCACTAGAATCCAACCCCGCTAGCACGCTGATCTCAGACTTCCAGTTTCTAGAACTGTGAGAAATAAAACTTCTGTTGTTCATTAGCCAATCAGTCTATAGGGCTTTGTTATAGTGGCCTGAACTAGATAGGTATGTAATGAAAAGTTTCCCTCCTTACTTTTATTCCTAGTTACCTGGTTCCCTTCTCTAAAGGCTTCAAGAAATATTTTATGCATATACAAGCAATATGTATTTATGTAAAAATCATCCTCATTTCCTCCCATTTTAATAGCAAGAGTAGGCAGCATATTACATATTGTTCAGCACCTTGCTTTTTCATTAAATGTATCTTGCAGATCATTCTACACAAAAATACTCTTTATTCTTTTTTATGGCTGAAGGGTATTCTAATGCAGAAATGTAATATAATATTAACGCCTTACTGACAGTGATTTAGTGTCCCCCTTCCTCTTATGTAATGAATGAGTTGCAATGAACAGTCTTGTATATATGCCATTTCTAAATTCTTCATGTAGGTTGGTACTGTTGTTTTAACTATTATATGACATGATTGGTAAAAAAGAGCTGAAAATCTACCTTAGTTTCCATGTTGAGGAGATGAAGTCCTTTTATATTCACTCCTACATACACAGGGATGACTTTATGATTGCTGGGGCTTGCCTTTGTAAATATCTGTCCTGTGAAAAATGCTGCTCCATAAGTAGGAATTTCCCAGCAATTCTGTAAGAACATGCGCTGAAGGTGATGCATTTCTTTACTGACACCTTCACTTGTACTGAGATTCTAAAAACAAACAAGGTAAATTAAAAATAAAAGAGATATGAAAGGAAAATGTACCATTGATAATCCAAATAGATCAACTAAGCAGTTTCTAAAATCAAGATTGCCCCTAAAGAATAAAATTATGGCACATTGTATCAGGAGTACTTTTTCTCTTGTGATGTTAATATTAAAAAAAAAAATTGAGGTCTAAAAATACTGTCTATGTTATTGGGTTTTAATTGCTTCACGGGCATGGATAGTATATTATTTCAAATTTTTATCTTTAGTCCTTACCACAGTATTTGGCATGTTGAAGGTATTCAGTAAAAGATTATATATTACTAAAAATAAAAATATCTTGCTACTTTCAATTTCAAGCATTGTGAACTAGAAGATACATTTTTAATTTCAGGACTATAAATTTAATCTACCTCTGTTTAAAATATTTATAACACTAACAAAGTTTCAACTAGCCTATAAAATGTCTTTTCATTTCTATTAAACAGCTTACCTTGTATTCATGAAGTATGCGATTTGTCCAGTGAGGTGCCTTACTTTTCAGTTTGGTAACAGGTACGATGGATTTTAGATTTTCTTCACTGTAAGCACACATGCCAACATCCTTTAAATAAATCATCTTTAGTAGCTAAAGTATAGTAATCATTCTGTTACAAATGGCTTTCAGTAACGTAATTTTTAACCTGAAAAATATTTTGCTGTAAAATATCAGAGAACTCTAAAAATGTTAAGCAAAAAGCCACAAATCTCATATTATCAATTTAGATAAATGTTTCTTCTTTCAATAACCAGAAAATATTTTTGAAAATTGAAAACCACAATAACCAAATTCAGATATGCTTAAAACCTCAGTGTTTTCTCTCAAAGACTGAACATAAAACTAGTTTTTATGGTGGGATTCTTAAGTACATCTGCCTTATAAAATGTTTTACTACTTATTCGAGTCAGGTTTTAGTGAACTTATTTAAGCATAAAGAAAGATAAAGAAAAATATAAAGTATATCAAACTATAGTCAAATATAAGAAAAGTAAAATTGGAGAGTATAACTTTAAGAATGCTTTAGTATAATATTTTTTCTCATTCTATGTCTTATATTATTTAATTCCAAACCAATGTAATGTATAAATATTTTCTAATAACATTTTTAAACTTTCTTGGTTAAACAGAATCTTAAGCATAGCACAAGACCATGCATAATATTAAATACTTACTTTAGGAAACCTTGCTTGTGTTTTTTACTCTCATAATTTCCATAGACTATTTGCAAAAGCAGACTTGCCAATGTTATCAGCTTAGCATCAGGAGCTGTATAAAAGCCCTTCAATAAATTATATCTGGCTTCATCAAAGAGAATAAGAATAGCTAGTGGGTCTTCAATCTTAAAGGAAAAAGTATAATTTGGTTATTAGGCTACAATTTCTTTTTACAAATGAACAACTTAATATGGGAAAAGCAAAAGCTACATATTTGTATATAAATGAGCTGTTACTGTTTTGAGCAGAGGTTGGCAAACATTTTTTTATTAAGGCCCAGAGAGTAGTATTTTAAGTTTTGTAAGCTATATAATCGCTGTTGCAACTAATCAACTCTGGCACTGTAGCACAAAGAAAGCCACAGGTGATACATCAACAAATGGGTATGGCAGTGTTCTAATAACACTTTATGTAGGAATACTGAAATATGAATTTCAAAATATTTCGCTGATAGGAAATAGTTATTTTTTTTAACAATCAAAAAACGTAAAAAAAATCATCTTGTGAGGTATACAAAAATTGGCAAAATATGGCTATAAGCTATAGTTTGCTGACCTGGTTGTCTAACAAATATTATCATCAGTTTATAAATATGGATAATTTTTAGCAAAATTTTACCTAAATTTTTGTATGACTGAAACATTTTTCTATTAACTATGCTTCATACAATACAGTAGTGGACTTCAAAGAAGATAAAAGGAAGTATCTTAATTTCCAAAGGACAAATGCATTTTTAAAAAGCCTGTTGTAAGACATTTTAAATTTTGACTAAAAAGACTTTGCACTTTCAAATATTAATAATATTCAAGAAGAGTAAATTTTTGTTTTGTTTTTTGAGACAGGGTCTTGCTCTGCCAGCCAGGCTGGAGTGCAGTGGCATGAACATGGCCCACTGCAGCCTCGACCTCGTGGGCTCAAGCTATCTACCTGCCTCAGTCTCCCAAGTAGCTGGGAAAAGAGGTGTGCAACACCATGCCTGGCTAATTTTTAAATTTTTTGAAGACAGAAGGTCTTGCCATGTTGCCTAGGCTGGGCTCAAGCAGTCCTCTCACCTTGGCCTCCCAAAGTGTTGGGACTACAGGTGTTAGCCACTGCACCTGGCCTAGATCTTTTTTTTTTTTTTTAAAACTATAAAGTTTATCCAATAAGATTAATAAAGATTTGAGAAATCCTAGCCTACAGAATATATTCCTACTTGTACAAAGTCACCGGTTATAAAGTTTCTGAATAAATACTTAAAGTATTTCCAAATACAATTCACAACGATCCCAAGCTTGAATAAAAATGATTTTTGCGGCCAGGCACGGTGGCTCACGCCTGTAATCCTAGCACTTTGGGAGGCCGAGGTGGGCGGATCACGAGGCCAGGAGATCGAGACCATGCTGGCTAACACGGTGAAACCCCGTCTCTACTAAAAATACAAAAAATTAGCTAGGCATGGTGGCAGGCGCCTGTAGTCCCAGCTACTCGGGAGGCTGAGGCAGGAGAATGGTGTGAACCCGGGAGGCGGAGCTTGCAGTGAGCCGAAATTGCACCAGTGCACTCCAGCCTGGGTGACAGAAAGAGACTCCATCTCAAAAAAAAAAAAAAAAGATTTTTGCAACATTAACTGAAATAATACTATTTTTCTATCTTAAAATACTCTATATTATTAAATATTAATAATACTCTATTTAAAATTAATTAAAATACTCTATTATTAAATATTAAAAAAAAAATTTCATGGGGAAAAAATGAAGGGGACTGTTCTAAATTAAAAGAGACTGAAGAGACATCCAAATATAAAGCATGAGCCTTGACTAGATCCCGGGGCTGGGAGGTATAAAAGTATTTTGAAACAACTGGGAAACATCTGAATTTGAATCAGATATTATGTAATTATGGAATTATTAATTTTATTAGGTTGGAAATGTTATTGTGGTAGGTAGAGATGTCCTTATTCTTAGAAGATGCACGTCAAAATATGTAGGAATGACACCTGCAACTCAGTTTAAAATGGTTCACAAAGAAAGTAAATACACTAAACCAAATTGTTAACAACTTGTGATCTAATGAATGGTAAATGGTGTAAACTGTATTACTTTTTAATATGCCTATGGCTTTTCAAATTTCTCAAAATAAAATGGAAAAAGACTGAATGAAAGCCTATTTTCTAATAAAAACTGACATCGTATATTTGAAGAATATGAGTAGATAATAACAGTTACAATTTCCAATACCATGTTCAATGAGTTTTAGTCACCATTTTTTCGTTTCTAATGAAATCAGGATGTTTTCATCCTAAAAGGATGATGCTAAACAGTAAGTGTAATTCTGTTTTTCAGATGGTACAAACAGGAATTTCTTAATTATATAATGAGTGAAAGAACACAACTGCCTTACCAGATTATCATGACATTCTGGTTTACCATAAGAACTTACTAAGCCTTGCTTCCTTTTTACTTGAGTCTCCTTTATTTTATAATTATGCAATTTATTTATCACCCAAGTATTATCATTACTGCTCCTCTTCTCTACCAGTGAACTATTACAATATTACTTGGGAGGAGAAGGCAGACTGAGTATACTTAGATTATATGCAGATTTTATAGCTATCATACATTTTTTAAGTTATAGGGTAAAACAGATATAATATTTGTCATTTGACCCGTTTTAAAGTGTGAAATTCAGTGGCATTAATTATGTTCACAACATTGTGCTACCATCACTACTATCTAGTTCCACATAGTTTATATCATCCCAAAGAGAAATTCTGCTAACTGGTAAGAACTTCCCACCCCTCCCCTAGCCCAGCACCTCTGATAACCTCCAATCTATTTTTTCCCTTTATGCCTTTGCCTATTCTAGATTACTTGATATAAGTAGAATTAAATATTTGTTCTTTTGTGTCTGGTTTATTTAGTATGTTTTCAAGGTTCACTCATGTTGTCACATGTATCATAACTTCATTCCTTTGTATCAGTGAATAATACTCTACTTGTATATATAGATCACATTTTGTTTGTCCACTCATCTGTTGATGGACACTTAGGGTGCCTCTACCCTTTTGGTTATTATGAATAATGCTGCAGTGACATACGAATATGTTTGAGTCCTTGTTTTCAATTATTTCAGGCATATATCTAGGAGTGGAATTGCTGGATCATACAGTAATTCTATTTTTAGATTTTTGAAGAACCACTGTTTTCCACAGTGGCTGCACCATTTTACATTCCCACCTGCAATGTACCAGGGTTCCAATTTCTATACATTTTTACCAGCTCATTATTTTCTGTTTTGTTTTTTATAGCCATCCTAGTGGGTGTGGTTTCTCACTGAGGTTTTAATTTGCATTTCCCTAATAACTAATGATGCTGAGCATCTTTTCATGTGTTTGCTGGCTATTTATATATTCAAGTCCTTCGACCTATTTTATTTACAGACAGGGTCTTGCTCTTTCATCCAGCCTAGAGTACAGTGGATGATCATAACTAACTGTAGCCTTGAACTCCTGGGTTCAAGAGATCCTCCTGTCTCACTCTCCTGAGTAGCTAGAACCACAGGTGTGTGCCACCACGCCAGGCTATTAAAAAAAAACAAAGACAAAGACAAAAACAAAAACAAAACTTTTTTGTAGAGACAGGGTCTCACTATGCAGCCAGGCTGGTCTCAAATTCCTGGCCTCAAGTGAGCCTCCCACCTCATCCTTCCAAAGCACTGGGATTACAGAAGTGAACCACCACGCCTGGCCTACTTTTTTTTTTTTTTTGAGATAGTCTTGCTCTATTACCCAGGCTGGTGTGCAGTCGTGCAATACTGGCTCATTGTAACCTCTCCCTCCCAGACTCAAGCAACCTTCCCACCTCAGTCTCCTGAGTAGCTGGTACACAGTGTGTGCCACCATGCCTGGCTAATTTTTTAAGTTTTTTATAGAGATGAAGTCTCACTATGTTGCCCAGGCATGTCTCAAATTCCTGGGTTCCCATGATCCTCCCATCTCAGCCTCCCAAAGTGCTGAGATTACAGATACTGCACCGAACCCTGATCATTTTTAATTGGGTTGTTGGCCTTTTTATTGTTGAGTTGTAGGAGTTCTTTATATATTCTGGATAGTAAACCCTTATCTATGATTTGCTAATATTTTCTCCCATTCTGTTGCTTTTCACTTTCTTAATAATGTCCTTTAAAGCACAAAAGTCTTTGATTTTGATGAAGTTTAACTTACCCAATATTTCTTTTGTTGTTCATGCTTTTGTTGTCATATCTGACTCCACTGCCTAATCCAAGGTCATGAAGATTTATCCCTTTGTTTTCTTCTATGAGTTTTATGGTTTTAGCACTTATATTTAGGTCACTGATGCATTTTATTTTTATTATTATAATATTTGAGATGAAGTCTCACTTTGTCACCCAGGCTGGAGTACAGTGGTGTGATCTTGGCTCACTGCCCCCTCCACCTCCCGGGTTCATGCAATTCTCATGCCTCAACCTTCTAAGTAGCTGGGACTACAGAGGTGTACCACCATGGCTGGCTAATTTTTTGTATTTTTAGAAGAGATGGGGTTTTGCCATGTGGGCCAGGCTGGTCTAGAACTCCTGTCCTCAAGTGATCCACCCGCCTCAGCCTCCAAAAGTGCTGGGATTACAGGTGTGAGCTACCACACCCAGCCATTTTAACTTTTTATATGGCATGAGGTTGGGGTCCAATTTCCTACTTTTGCAATGTGAACTTACAGTTATACCAGCACCATCTGTTGAAGAGACTATTCTTTCTCCATTAGATGAACCTGGTAGCCTTGTCAAAAGTCTACCGGCTGTATATGTATGGGTTTATTTCTGAAAACTCAATTCTATTCCATTGGTCTGTATGTTTATCCTTATGCTAGAGTACCACAATGCTTTTGATTGCTTAGCTTTGTGGTGTGCTTTGAAATTGAGTAATGTCAATCTCTCAACTTCATTCTTCTTAAGATTGCTTTGGCTATTTGAGTCCCCTTGCAATTCTTGTGGATTTGAGTACTGTCTGTTCCACTTTCACAAAAAAAGCTATTGGAATACTGTTAGGGACTGCATTAAATCTGTAGATCACTTTGCTAGTAGTGACATCTTAACGATGCTAACTATTCCTATCATTGAACGTGGAGATGTCTTTCCAGTTATCAGGTCTTATTTTTCAGCAATGTTTTATAGTTTTCAGTGTACAAGTCTTGAACTTCTTCTGTTAAATTTATTCCTGGGTGTTTTATTCTTAGATGCTATTTTAATGGACTTCTTAATCTCTTTCTTGTATTATTCTTTGCTGGTATATAGACAACAGATTTTGTGTGTTCAGCTTATACCTTGAAACTTCGCTGAATTAATTTAGTAGCTCTAGCTTTCTTGTGGATTCTTTGGGAGTTCCTATGTATACGTCATTTGCCAAAAACTAAGGTCTTGATTATTGGTGAAAGTGGACATCCTAATTTCGTACCTTATCTTAGGAGGACAGTTTTCAGTCTTTTACCATTGAATATGATATTAGCTGTGGGTTTTTCATGAACACCCTTTATCATGCTGAGAAGTTCGCTTGTATTCCTAGTTTTCTGAGAGTTTTTTAAATCATGAAAGGGTGTTGGATTTTGTCAAATGCCTTTCTGCATCAATTAAGATGATCATGTGTTTTCTTCCCTCCCTTTCATTCTATTAATGTGATTCTAACACATTTTTAACAAATAATGAAGTCCTTAGTTTTTGGTAAATTTCATAGCAATTTTTATGTGACTCCTAGTATATTTGGCTGAGAGGATCTACTCTATCTTTGGCTTGATAATATAAAAGGAGCAATATATATAGTTATGTACAAAATGTTTACCAAGTTTGGACATGGCTGTTGAAATTTTCTTGTGCCAAAATTTGTTTAACTGTGTTTGTTTAATATTCCCTGAGAATAAAGAATTAAGAAATGTATTCTATTTTTTTCTTCACTAACATTGTAAGACTGTGAAACAATTTCACCATATTTAGATTATCATGCCTAATTTAAGCTGTTATAATCTCTCCCTTGTCCATTCATCCTTCTTTTTTTTTTTTTTTTTTTTTTTTGAGATGGAATCTCATTCTGTCATCCAGGCTGGAGTGCAGTGGCACGATCTCGGCTCACTGCAACCTCCACCTCCCAGATTCAAGCAATTCTCTGCCTTGGCCTCCCAAGTAGCTGGGATTACAGGCGCCCACCACCATGCCTAATTTTTGTATTTTTAGTAGAGACGGGGTTTCACCATCTTGGCCGGGCTGGTCTTGAATTCTTGACCTCGTGATCCACCCGCCTTGGCCTCCCAAAGTGCTGGGATTACAGGCATGAGCCACTGTGCCTGGTCCATTCATCCTTCTTATGGCATTATGTCACTTCTTCCTCTCTAAAATCCACAGTAGTTCAAATCCAAATATACTTGTCTAGACAGACTTCTTTTCATCAAATGTAAATACTATTCTCATTTTTTACTATGTATAGAGTTCTCTGTTTGAGTTAAGATGAGCTACTTAGGCTAGGCACAGTGGCTCACGCTTGTAATCCCAGCCCTTTGGGAGGCCAAGGTGGGCAGATCACTTGAAGCCAAGAGTTCAAGACCAGCCTGGCCAACATGGCAAAACCCCGTCTCCGCTAAAAATACAAAATAAATTAGCTAAGTGTGGTGGCACACGCCTATAATCCCAACTACTTGGGAGGCTGAGGCACGAGAACTGCTTAAACCTGGGAGGTGGAGATTGTACTGAGCCGAGATTGTGCCACTCCAGCCTGGGACACAGAGCAAGACTCAGTCTCAAAAAAAAAAAGATGAGCCACTTATGGACTGTTGAGAATGACTTTCGCATTCTTCCCTTTGCAAGTATAATCTTATCCACCCAGGATGTTCTCTTCCACACCAGTGTTTCTCTTTCTTCCTTCAAAATGTATACAACTGATCAGCCCTTTATTAAGTTTATCCTTGACAGTGTACTTCCTAACTAGTCTAAACAATTTTTTTTCCTGTATAATTTGGCTCCACATCTGATTGCTAATTTTCTTTAGGATAGCTCCCTATTTCTTTTGTATTCTTAAGACAATGGGAGTGGAAATGAAAAATCCCAACCAAGGGCTTTGTAAGTAGATCAACTGAAACTCCGCCAATTATCACAGGGATGTAAGGATCGATTTAAGGATGTAAGCACAATTTCTGCCTCTAGTGCTTACAATAGAAACTCAACAGATTTTGTGCATTTAAATAACTGTAAATAAGATTTCCAAGCAAACCTGTTTTTCAACTTCCAAGGGAAGTCTCACATCTCTTCTTAGAAAAAGCTGAGGTGTTTCCCTTTGAGGATCCAGATTAGTCAATTCAGCAAGTATTTCTGGCCAGTCACGAACATGTTGCAAGGGTTTATGATATGGTTTGAGTTGAAGGCCTGAAAAACATCATTCCTTTTATAAATGATAATGTAAAAAGTCAATTATATCAATGCATAGAAACTTTGTATTAAACTGTCTGCACTTCTGTACTGAATACTCACAAATTAAATTTAAATCTAAAATTAACATTTTAATCAATATGACTACCCAATTTGTGGTTAACTGCTTATTATCAAGAATATAAGAATTATTAAAAATAATTCTTACATAAAATTTATCAAATGTATATGAAATCCTTAATTCCATTATAGCCTATTTAATTATGACATAAGTAGAATTCCTAGTTAAAAAGATACAACTAAGCCATTAAATAACCAATCACATCGATCAAATTCTTTATGTATGTGTAATACTTTGAAGAACAAATATATAGTCATTAGGTTGATTTTAAATAAAAAGGTTGATTTTAAATAGAAAACTAATGTAAGAGAAAAGAACATTTGTATTATTTCAAAATGAACACAAAAAATAAAGGCAAGTTGCATTAGCACAACATTTAATGGCATTCAAATCAAATGCCATTGCCATAGAAGAAAAGTTTTGTTTTTTAATTATTAAAAAATGCTTTGAATGAAGCAGGGAACGGGGTGGGCAGGGACTTACCTGTTTCAGCAGTTTGAACACTAGTAATTTATATAAAAGAGAAGAACATTGTATTATTTCAAAATTTAAGAGTCAAGAATAAAAAGAAGTTGTATTTTCTACCAACCCACTCCCAAAAAGGAATAATGAGGTTTACTATAACATAATAAAAACTTTCTTACTGAGGTTTTCTGAACAAATCCATATAGTGAAATATTGCTGAGTTTCTTGAGAGAGACGCATTCCTTCCATTATCTGCTGCACTGTGGTATTATTTCCATGCTTCAATTCAACAGAACGATATGACCCATCCATTCTGTATATTCGAACTTTTTCATACTACAAGAAACGATAACTTACGTAACGAACTTAAAAAATTATACATCACAATCTAACAAGATACTTTCCTTCAACTTCATGTGCTTTATTATAGATTTCTAACATGAAAAATATCAGAAACACTGTTTTAAGTGAGAATCTGTTGGTGATATTTTAAAAACATTTTACTGGCCGGGCGCGGTGGCTCACGCCTATAATCCCAACACTTTGGGAGGCCGAGGCGGGCGGATCACGAAGTCAGGAGCTCGAGACCATCCTGGCTAACATGGTGAAACCCCGTCTCTACTAAAAATACAAAAAAAAAAAAAAAAAAAAAATTAGCTGGGCGTGGTGGCAGGCACCTGTAGTCCCAGCTACTAAGGAGGCTGAGGCGTGAGAATGGCGTGAACCCCGGGAGGAGCTTGCAGTGAGCTGAGATTGCGCGACTGCACTCCAGCCTGGGTGACAGAGCAAGACTCCATCTCAAAAAAAAAAAAAAAAAAAATTTTACTTCCATTACTTGTATTTTCTAAAATATTTTCTTCTGGATGTTCCAGAAATAAGTTTAGTAAACTAAGGAGAATGACTTAAAAACATACTCAATGTCAAATTCTTTTGACAGGATGTTTTAGCGCCTTTAATGTAATGTAAATATCATAACGAGAGATACAAACTTGGTTACTGAATCTAGTGTTCGTCAAGTACTTCACGAGTCTAGTGGGTCACATATAATACAACAGAAATGTGTACCACCAGTAACTTGTCCTAAGAGGAATTTGTGATGGAACACTTTGCAGGTAAAAGTTATCAATGAACTTTGAGCCAGTTTCCTTCCCCCAGTTTAGAAAATTCCAGAAAGTAGTAGCATTCTCAATGGATTTTTATTGTTATAGGAAGTAACTGATGTCCCCAAATAACTTCCAGGCCAGTTCACTTTGGATAAAAGAACTTCACCCCTCCTACCTTATTCATTCACAATATAAAAATTATATCAGGGATAAAAATGAGTTAACACTACATAGTTAGAAAATAAATTGCAATGAAGTATAACATAAGGGTACCTGTACTGCTTGTCTATTTCCTTGACTCTGTCTTATGCTCTTGGAGTAAGTGTTTTGACAAAATGCGTGCGTGTGTGGTATGTGTGTAACATTAAAGGCAGAGACCATATATTCCTTCTAATTTTCAGCACTTTGTCATGTTAAATCCAAAGAGATACTCAACAAATACTTATTGCATAGTTGTTGGTTAATGCCTGGAGAGGCTTAGGTAAATGGGTTATATCTGTTAGTATAAACCCTTTATCCTTTATTTGTTGGTATAAATCTTTTTATTTCAAACAGTTTTTAAACTAATGACAGCCAGGAGCGGTGGCACGTCTGTAGTCCCAGCTACTCAAGAGGCTGAGGTGGGAGGACGGCCTAAGCCTAGAAGGTTGAGGCTGCAGTGCATCACGATTGTCTGTGAATAGCCACTGTACTCCAGCCTGGGCAACATAGTGAGACCCTGTCTCATAAAAATAAAAATAATTAAATTAATAATTTTTATAATCATTATAACTCTTAGGCATAATTGAGTTTCTTCTCATTGTTAATTCTTCTGTATTTTAATGTCACTAATTTGAGCTTTATGCCTCTAAATAAAATTATTATTTTAATAGCTATGTATGCCAGCATTTTCGATTTATGAGTTTATTTCCAGTTGTAATTAGATGGAAAGGCCAGGTTGAGTTAGCAGAATAAAAAAGCTTGGAAACACCTATTTTACTTTTATGAGGAGGAAAATGAGTCTGTTATATATAAACTAACTTGCTGAGACTGAATGATGTGCAATGCTTTCATTTAAAAATATAAAATGTTGCTTAAGAGACCTAAGTATAGGGATATGTGACAATGAATAGATTAAAATTACGTGTAATCAGGCTGGGCGTGGTGGTTCACGCCTGTAATCCCAGCACTTTGGGAGGCTGAGGTGGGAGGATCACGAGGTCAGGTGATCGAGACCATCCTAGCTAACAGTGAAACCCCATCTCTACTAAAATTACAAAAAATTAGCCGGGCGTGGTGGCAGGCGCACGTAATCCCAGCTACTCGGGAGGCTGAGGATAACTGCTTGAACCTGGGAGGCAGAGGTTGCGGTGAGCTGAGATCGCGCCATTGTATTCCAGCCTGGGTGACAGAGCGAGACTCCATCTCAAAAAAAAAATTATGTGTAATCAACACATCAAGCATAGAAATTATATGAAAATTTTAAGTGTTTTGAAAGTTTTATTTACTTATTTTTGCAAGTTTTATTTTGTTATGCAAGAATAAATGTCCAAATGTTAGGGATAATGCAGTCTACAATGAGGTTTTTTGTTTGTTTGTTTGAGATGAAGTCTTGCTCCGTCGCCAAGGCTGGAGTACAGTGGCACAATCTTGGCTCACTGCAACCTCCACCTCCTGGGTTCAAGCAATTCTCCTGTCTCAGCCTCCTGAGTAGCTGGGACTACAGGTGCACGCCACCATGCCCAGCTGATTTTTGTATTTTTCATAGAGATGGGGTTTCACCATGTCTGGATCTCTTGACCTTGTGATCTGCCTGCCTCAGCCTCCCAAAGTTCTGGGATTACAGGTGTGAGCCACCATACCTGGCCTACAATGAGGTTTTATAGCAGTAAAGAAGCCATCTAATCGTCTTTCCACTCTTGCCACAGATCCTCAAATTTAAATCTTATTAATTTAAATACTATGCCTGGCTCTAACTATGAAGATAATTCTTACTGGTTTGTTAATTGCTTCCTTCAACAATTTTGCAGCTTCTTCCCAGTTGTTTTGTTTGTTTTCTTCACAAATATTTAATGGAGATCTTCCTTGTTGGTCTGTTATATGCTAGAAATGTGGGTGGGGAGGGGGAAAAAAGGCATTACATATTATGGTATTCTAAGGGAAAATGTCATCCAATTAATCACAGTTTCATAAAAAAGAGACTCTTGTCAAGTACTAAAGTAAATATTAACCACACTTGGTATGTATTATGTTTAGAATAAACAAGAGTTGCCAAGATAAAAGACTCAAAGCACTAATCAATGTGATGACTGTTTTTTTAAAAGTTCTGATACAGACATAATAAAAGTTTTAATACTATTATTTTCCTCTTTATGATATTCCTTTTTATGAATTTCCTTTATGAAATTCTGGAAAATCTTTTTCCTTTTTCAAGATGTTTTTGGAGAAATACAATATAAAATGAAAAGAGGTTAAATTCTACATACATTCTGAAGACAGACTGTGGTGATATAAATGTACTTAATGCCACTGAACTGTACGCCTAAAAATAGTTAATGTAAATTTTAGGCGAGGTGTATTTAAAAAATCTAAAAAAAAAATATGTTCAAAAGCACAACACATATATTCCATTATTTATTCTACAAAGTACAACTCATATATTCCGTTACTTATTCTATAAAGTAATGGAATTTATTTTTATTTTTCAGATGAACTCTCAAACATACAATTTAACATTTTAGTGTCATTACTTGTTATTCACTGCTTGAATATTATTTTTAAAAACCTGGAAAATAACTTACTCTATCCGTTTCTGGGTGGTTTAGGAGAATCTGTACTATTTCAGCATGTCCTCCTCCAGCAGCAAAATGAAGAGGAGAACTAAGTTGTCCATTTAAAAGGTTTGGATTGCACTTTCCTTTCTCTAACAATATGCGAGTGGCCTCAACTTTTCCATACCTGTATAAAAAAACAAACAAACAAAAAACAACAACAAAAAAAACTTACCTAAAAAGATCATCTGAAATGTTTTTAAAAATCCAAATTTTAGATGATATCTCAAAGAAATCTAAGAATTTTCTAGGACAGAGAGCAAAGGATTATTAAGATACTGACATAATGTTTTCAATGATTAGGGGTTTCTTATTAATTATTCTGGTTCAATTAAACTGTTTCTATTTCTGATAAACTGGAAGAAAATATAACCTCAAATACAAGATAGAGCAGACGACAGAGAAACATCCCATGTGTACTACAAAGGTTAGATACAATTTTTAGTCAAATATAGTTTCAGAAACAGAAAGTAACTCATATAAGAAAACTTAGTAAGAATGCTTTTCACTTAGGCCCGGCTGTTTACAAAATAGGCCCAAAGATGTAATTCTATACACAGTTGCTATATTAGACAATGTGAAAGAGACAAACATGTATAAAATATGTGGTCTCTACCCTGAATGGTTTACAGTGTAATTTGAGGCAAAACATAAACATGGGATAAGTTACATAATGCTGTAAAATTTAAGTATGGTAATGTTTGTCCATGCTTTAAAAAATATCAGAGGCTGGGCGCAGTGACTCACACCTATAATCCCAGCACTTTGGGAGGCAGAGGCAGGCGGATCACAAGGTCAGGAGCTCGAGACCAGCCTAACCAACATGGTGAAACCCCATCTCTACTAAAAATACAAAAATTAGGCGGGCATTGTGGCGCACGCCTGTAATCCCAGCTCCAGAGATATAATTCCAGAAAACAAGAGATATGATTTCAGTCTAGATGGTCCTGTAAAGTGCTCTGATAGAAGAACAATTTGAATTGAATGTTACTGTTTTTGAGACTGAGTCTCACTCTATGCCCAGGCTGGAGTGCAGTGGTGCAATCTCAGCTCACTGTAATGTCTGCCTCCTGGGTTCAAGAGATTCTCGTGTCTCAGCCTCCCAAGTAGCTGGGATTACAGGCATGCGCCACCACGCCCAGCTAATTTTTGTGTCTTTAGTAAAGATGGGGTTTCGGCCAGGCGTGGTGGCTCATGCCTATAATCCCAACACTTTGGGAGGCCGAGGTGGGTGGATCACAAGGTCAGGAGTTCGAGACCAGCCTGGCCAACATGGTGAAACCCTGTCTCTATTAAAAATACAAAAATTAGCTGGGTGTGGTGGCAGACACCTGTAATCCCAGCTACTATGGAGGCTGAGGCAGGAGAATCACTTGAACCCAGGAGGCGGAGGTTGCAGTGAGCCAGAGATCGCGCCATTGCACTCGAGGCTGGGTGACAGAGCAAGACTCCGTCTCAGTGGGGGTTGCGGCGGGGAGGTGGGAAGACAGGGTTTGGCCATGTTGCCCAACCTGGCCTCTAACTCCTGGGCTCAAATGATCCACCTGCCTCAGCCTCCCAAAGTGGTGGGATTAGAGGCGTGGGCCACCATGCCCAGCCTGAACTGAATTTTTAAATAGGAAAGAACTGAAGAGATGTTGAAGAGAAGTAAAATATTTTAGGTAGACAGAAAAGGAGTAAGCAAAGGTCTCAGAAGAGTACAATGCATACGCACACAGTGAGTCAACCTCTTGGTTACAGCCAAAGACTTATGTAAGGCTGCACTCTGAAGCAAGGGTAGAAAGTAATTTGTTGTGTGGAAATAAGAGGGTGAGGTGGGAGGAGGAATGGAAACTTGGTTTTGGTTTTAGATATGGAACATCTGAGGGGAAAACAGCCCATTTTTAGAACTGATTTTCCATCTGTTTTTCCTTTCTTCCCCTTCACAAATACTATGTCTTTTCTATACTCCAAATCAGACACTTTCATCCTACACCTTACTCAGGTGATTTGTTTTACTCAGGTGATTTGTTTTGCTCAGGTTTTGCTATTCTTTTTTTAACTTTTATTTTAGACTCTGGGGTACATGTGCGGGTTTGTTACATAGGTAAATTCTTGTCATGGGGGTGTGTCGTACAGATTATTTCACCACCCAGGTACTAAGCCTAGTACCCAATAATTATTTTTTCCGCTCCTCTCCCTCCTCCCAGCTTCCACCCTCAAGGAGGCCCCAGTATTTGCTGTTCCCTTTTTTGTGCTCATGAGTCCTCATCATTCAGCTCCCACGTATAAGTGGGAACACGTGGCATTTTCTGTTCCTGCATTAGTTTGCTAAAAATAATGGTCTCCAGCTCCATCCATGGTCCTGCAAAGACAAGATCTTGTTCTTTTTTCTGGCTGCATAGTATTCCATGATGTATACATACCACATTTTCTTTAACCAATCTGTTATCATGGACCTTTAGATTGATTCTATGTCTTTGCTATTGTGAATAGTGCTGGAATGAACATTCCATGTGTGTGCATGTGTCTTTATGGCAAAATGATTTATATTCCTCTGGGTATATACACAGTAATGGGATTGCTAGGTCAAATGGGAGTTCTGTTTTTAGCTCTTTGAGGAATTGCCATACTGCTTTTCACAATGGTTGAACTAATTTACACTCCCACCAACAGTATATAAGCGTTCCCTTTCTCTGCAACCTTGCCAGTATCTGTTATTTTTATGACTTTTTAATCATAGCCATTCTGACTGGTGTGAGATGGTACTTAAACTAAACAGCTGCTCTGCACAGCAAAAGAAACTATCAACAGAGTACACAGACAACCTACAGAATGGGAGACAATATTTGCAAACTATGCATCTGACAGAAGTCTAATATCCAGCACCTATAAGAAACTTAACAAATTTACAAGAAAAAACCACCCCATTAAAAAGTGGGTAAAATACATTAATAGATACTTTTCTAAAGAAGACATACAAGCAGCCAAGAGACATATGAAAAAAAGCTCAATATCACTGATCATTAGAGAAATGCAAATCAAAGCCACAATATTCTTTGCTATTCTTAAGACATCCTTTCCCCCTTCCTGATTTCGTTCAGGTTAAATTCCATTATGCCTCTGAAACGGTTTAAAATCTATCTTCTCTATATTCCCACTATGTTTTAGCATTCTATTTTTGCTTCTTTTTTGTGACTTATTTCATTCTACCTAATTCCATCCTTGTTTATCCACACCTCTTCTCTATCAGCCTGGAAGCTCCTTGAGGATAGGGACAGTGTCTTTATATTCTCCAAAGTGCCCTACATACAAAAGATAAGTGACTGAAATGTTTAGTAGGCAACTTGAAACTACTTAGGGGAAGGCAAAGGCTTAGAGTATCTATTTGAGAATATGTAAAATCATCTCACTGAAAAGAATTAAATGGTCTGAAAGAATGGATGAAATCTGAGAATGAATTTAGAGAAATGTGATCACCTTAGAACACTGAAATACATCTAAAAGGGAAAAGATAGTGAGGTAGCAATTCGAGAAGTAATAATAAAAATAATACAAACATACATTTTGTATGGTGCTTTAAAATTTCCCAGCTACCTTCTTATATAATTATTTAATATAATCATAGAAATTTATAAAGTAGGCAGAGGTACTTTTTTATTGCACAGATGAGAAAAATGGAGCTTGATGCAGTTAACTAACTTGCCCAACGTCTCATGGTGACTAGCCAGAGTTAGAAGCCAGTTTTCTGAATCTTAGTAGTACTACTACTAAGACACAGGTCTGGATCACAGAATGGAGGCCAGTGAGTGTTTCCACAGCAATGATAAGATATCAATAATACCTTGCATTTTTACTGACCTTCATTATAGCTCCATTATGCTCTTTCAACTCCTATTTGTTCTTAAAATGAAAAGTAGTCAAGAATTAAATGCTGCAGAGCAGGGAAACAGATCAAAAACTCAGAAAAAGTTAAGGTTTATGAAGAGTGAAAAAGAGAAAGCAGAGTGTGTCTCCCACTCACCTTTGAAATCTGGCTGTGAAAGGAAGGAAAGAAACAGGATGGTAGCTAAAAGAAGTAGGTTCAGGTGAAAGCAACTTTCAAGAAGGAAGAGAATCATGCATGTTTGAGGGAAAGAAGAAAGTAGGTGTGGAAAAAGAAAAGTGAATTTAAGGGGAATAAGAAGAATTTTTATGTGTATACCCTATGATACAGGAGAGAGATGGGGACAAAAAGTGATCATTAGGGATAGAGAAGAACATTTCTGACGCCTTAAATTTTCTTTGAAAATAGGGGGCAAAAAGGAGTATAGGGATTATGAAAGTAGAAAAAGAAAGTAGTGAAAGTTTAAGTACTTAGGAGTAGAAACGTTTAGAATAGCTTGGAAGGGGAGGACTAAAAGGCTGAATGAAACAAAGAGTACAGATAGCTAATATACAGTGAAGCTCCAAGTGAAATTGGATGAAATAATTTGTAGGAAGCCAAATCATCACAGTTTGAAAAACACTAACAATGATCTGAAGTCTGAAAGTACTATCAGAGAAAGAAGACACTGATTTGATTCAAAATAGAGGGTCTGGCATAGGGGTACGGGAAGAATAAAGAAGTGAGAGAATATGAAATGTCAGTGAGACATTTACTGAGTGGCTGTTAAGTTCTCTACAAGGGGTTAAAGCCATTTTAAATATTTTGGGAAAATGATGATTCTAGAAAGTAAAGAATGGTTTTTACATGTCTGGCTACCAATCTTGAATTTTAAACTCTTATTTTTTTCATTAAATTGTGTTATGTTAACATATATAGGTATTGTTATTTTTAATACACATGGAATATTTTTCAGTTTCTATTTCTAATATCTTAACACTGGATTTAATCCACATAAACAAAAACTCTTGGGAATCCTGTAACTGTTAAGAGTAAAAAAGTATCCTGAGACCCAAAAGTTTGAGAACCACTAATCTAATTAAAACCCTCATTTTAAAGGTGAGAAATGAGACCAAGTGAGGTAAAATATCTTGTCTTACAAAAATAGGACTAAACCCTAGTCTCTTCACTGTATCACAGTCAAGAGCCCAGTGTCCCCTCCTCGGTCTTTGTACCAATTAGTGAATAAGAGTATACTTCCAAGATAAATTTAAGTTCTTTACTGAATAGTTAAATCATTATTTGAATTCACGTCAATTAAATGAGGCATCCAACTAATAGTATTGCAAGGTGACCCATACTACTCCTGTTACATTAAACTTGATTATCAAGCTGACAGAAAATTAATTTATCCAAGTATAAAACTCTTTTCCTTGGCATACTCAAGTAACAAAAATTTGCAAATGAAAATATTACAGATTAATAAATTTTAGATTCAGACATCAAAATCTTTACATTTTTACAATATTTATTTTTTTATTTTATTTTTTGAGATGTAGTCTCACTCAGTCGCCCAGGCTGGAGTGCGGTGGTGGGATCTCAGTACACTGCAACCTCCACCTCCTGGGCTCAAGCGATTCTCCTGCCTCAGCCTCCCGAGCAGCTGGGATTACAGGTGCCTGCCACCACGCCCAGCTAATTTTTGTATTTTCAGTAGAGACAGAGTTTCACCAGGGCAGGCTGGTCTCAAACTCCTGACTTCCAGTCATCTGCCCTTCTTGGCCTTCCAAAGTGCTGGGATTACAGGTGTGGGCCACTACACCCGGCCAACACTTATTCTTAAAAGCCAAGATTTATTGAGTGCTCATTATGTGCTCTCAAAGCACGTTACTTGTAATTTTTCTTTTACTATTAGGGAAGGTACCATTTTTAAGCCCATCTCGTATAGATAAAGAAACAGACCCTTAGAGACATAAAGTAACTTACCAAAGGTAATATTTTAGGAACTAAAAATGGTACTGAAACATAGGTACATTCCAAAGCATATTAAATACAATGCCATGCTTTTGTTTTTATGTAATAGTTGAAAATATTACCATTCTTTCATTAGAGGGGGAAAAAAAAAAAAACACCCCTGCCACAAAAAGGAGCAACTATACAGTCAAATATAAACTTGGGATTCCTCAACTAAAATTCACTGCCTTTGCCTTTTCCAAATCTATAGTATACTTTTTTGGAATCTGAACTATATTCTCTACCTCTTTTTATTTAGCTCCTGGTAAAGCATGTGATTTCTTTTTTTCCTTTTTTTTGAGATGGAGTCTCACTGTGTTGCCCAGGCTGGAGTGCAGTGGCGTGATCTCAGCTCACTGCAAGCTCCGCCTCGCGGGTTCACACCATTCTCCTGCCTCAGCCTCCCAAGTAGCTGGGACTACAGGCACCCGCCACCACACCCGGCTAATTTTTTGTATATTTAATAGAGACGGGATTTCATGGTGTTAGCCAGGATGGTCTCAACCTCCTGACCTCGTGATCCGCCCACCTTGGCCTCCCAAAGTGCTGGGATTACAGGTGTGAGCCACTGCACCCGGCTGCATGTGATTTCTTTTAGTATTGTTTTTGCCGCCAGTATTTTCTGGTAATCTAAAGAAACAACTATTAACTCAGTTAAAGACAATTAGAGTAACTCTTAATACAAAAATTCCATGTAATAAGAAATATAAGAGCATATTTTTAAGGAAACAGAAAAAAGATCTTTTTATACACACACACACACACACACACACACACACACACATATAAAGCAACTATAGTTAACTGCTTGATTACAAATATTAAAATCAGATAAATCAAAAGAATTTCGAGTTGGAAGAAACTCTAGAAATGATCTACTGCATTTTATATATGGATAAATAAGCTGAGATGCAGAGAGGTAAAGTGAATTACCTTGCTCAATCTAATACAACTAAGACACTGTGGACATTTAACAAGGCAATAAATAATGTGGTACTTTTTTTTTTTTTTTTGAAATGGAATCTCACTCTGTCACCAGGCTGGAGTGCGGTGGTGCAATCTCAGCTCACTGTAATCTCTGCCTCCCTGGTTCAAGCTATTCTCCTGCCTCAGCCTCCCAAGTAGCTGGGATTACAGGCGTGCACCACCACGCCCGGCTAATTTTTGTATTTTTAGTGGAGACGGGGTTTCACCATGTTAGCCAGGATGGTCTTGATCTCCTGACCTCGTGATCCACCTGCCTCGGCCTCCCAAAGTGCTGGGATTACAGGTGTGAGCCACTGCACCTGGCCGGTACCTCTTAAATTAGCCAAGGAAGCTTACTTTAAACAATAGGTGAAGAGCAACTTTCCCACAGAAATAATGTAAAAAACTTTATTATATCCTTTCTAGAAGATGACTTATAGTAAACAGTTAACTACTACTCTAAACACTAACAACTCAGCCCAACTGAGGGGAAAAATAATTATGTGAGAGGAGACCAAGAGCTACACTGGGCAACTAGTGGAAAGAGCTAACCCCAATCCTGTCCCAACACTAGTATCTAACATAATGGAAAGCTGTGGTTCTAATGAAGGCTTTTGAGGGCTTCTTGATAACCAGTTTCTCAAAGCACTAAAAGGATACTTTTATAGCAAGACGCAAGGTCAAATCGTAAGTAGTTAACACATGCAAACTTCCAGTAAAGATAAGCATAACATAATCCCAATACAAAACAAGAGAAACTGCAAAACAAGAGAAACTGCAAGGGTGAATAAGTGACCTTGTACTCTACAGTGACATTTACTAGTCATTAAGTATCCTACTATATGACCTGGCAATGCCTAAGGACACTAACAGTACGTTCCCCATAGGGCAGACCTTACAATTCTGAACATTGGCACATATACAATCATCTAAGATCAAAACAGAAAACTCCTAAGGCAAACAGGTAGAGAAAAAGTATTTGGAATGAGAACAGTCTTGAAAAGAAGGACTAACATTTATAATAAAAAATGTATTCTTTCTAAAAAGAAAAGAATAAATATTCCATTTACCAGCATGCATAATGAATGGGTGCCCAGTGGTCACTATCTAACTGGTTGACTGAAAATCTTTCACTGAGAAGACGGCTTAGTAATTCTGAATCTCCTTCACAGGCGCTTCGGTGGAGAGGAAAATCATCTACCCACTGTCGTTCCCTAATCATTAAAAAGAAATTTTGAAAAATACAACAGGACTGTAAAAATTGTTTCAAAAGAAATGTGACACATCTATGAAAGCTCTGTATCACTAAGAAGCTGTAAACTCAATAGTGACTACAATGCATACAAATTGCATATATAATTTTAAACAATACTTTAAATTAGAATGTAAGTTTTTATAAAAGCAATGTGGAGTAAAACCGAAACAGTACTTGTCTTCTGTGACACTGCTCATGCTTCTCTGCCATTTTTCCTGTTTAGGTATTTGGATTTTTGAGTAGTCTGGAGCTCCTAGACCAAAGTATGGATTTATTACCACTTTATCTACCTAGAAAGGGAAAACAATAACAAAAACCCATTAAGAGCTTTGTCATCTTAATGTTTACATGTTTATATTTTAAATTTTTACTTATTTATTTATTGAGAATGAGTCTTGCTCTGTTGCCCAGGCTGGAGTTCAGTGCTGCGATCTCAGCACACTGCAACCTCCGCCTCCCAGGTTCAAGCGATTCTCCTGCCTCAGTCTCCGGGGTAGCTAAGACTACAGGGGTACGCCACCACATCCAGCTAATTTTTGTATTTTTAGTAGAGACGAGATTTCACCATGTTGGCCAGGCTGGTCTCGAACTCCTGACCTCAGGCAATCTGCCCTCCTTGGCCTCCCAAAGTGCTGGGATTACAGGCGTGAGCCACTGTACCAGGCCTTCATGTTTATAATTAGTAATAGATGTATATATCTCAGGAAAAAAAATTACACTTGAGATAAAACGTCTTTTAAATCAGAGCTAAAATTCATTCAACTCTTACCCGATTTGTATACTGAAGATCTGATCCAAACAAAGGGTTGTAAATACAGGTATCTGCTTTCTCTAGGGCTAACATTTTACTCTTTATTTCTAGTGCACTATAGCCCATATGTAGTGAGTTTTCTGTCTGACCTGATTCAGTAGCATATGCAGGATTTATGACATTAGTTTTTATCCGCTCAAGAGGAGAAGGTCGGAATAAAGCTGGAATAAAGTGAGATTGTGCATGACGTTCATCTAACCACCTGGCAAAATAAAAAAACAGGTAGAAGTAGCCATTCGAAAGTGAAGATGAAAAAGATAGATTACTATCTAACTCTGATATATGACACTTGTGAATATTACCTTCAGATTTTTATAATTTTAATTTAGTGTTAGTTAAGTACTTTATTATTTTTAAAATTTATTTATATTGCAAATTGATTTTTTTAACAAAAAAACATGCATAATACTGTACATACTTTAGGGGCACATGTGATAATATGTTCATATGATCTATAAAGATCAAGTCAGTATACAAATACTTCATTTATTAATAAAAGTTTTGTTAATGGATACAGCAAATAAATTTTTTAAATGTATGTGCCATTATAGTAATAAAAACTCCTTTCAAAAAACATAAAAGTACTGTTAAAATTCAAACTACTGAGATGTAGGTGACATTAGCCCTGTTCTTACAGAAAGACAAAGGCATAAGAGGTTGAATGACTTCTTCACTGATAAGAGTAACTCAATATTAAATGTATAGTTTCATAACAGGTAAATCTTAATTCTTAAGCCAGGGCAGTGTTTACCATTTCTGAAAAATAAAATTAACATGCTGTACCCAGGCCAGGACAACCTTATCTTCGGGTTTTTCATTTTTATATTAGAATTGAAAAACTTACCATTTTTTAATACATATATTATTTTCATTATTTTCTTCTCAAAGTGTCTGTATCTATGACAACTAATTTCTACTATAAACATGTATTTGATTAATTAAAAGATACTTCTAACGGCATTTCTTACTTATCCAAGGCTATTAACATCCTTGCTGTAAGTGTAGCAAAATGAGTACTGGATTCACTACAGACTCGCATAATATCTTGTAAGCAGTAAAAAATTGGGCATCCTGGGGTATATGTGTATTTAGTATTATCTGAAAAAGAAAAATGAAGAATTATGCTACCATATAAAAGGTTTACATCTGCATGTTTTCATCTAAAAATACATGTTAGAAAATGAAAACTTGTTAAGTATAAAATAAATTGTTCTAGATTTGGAATTAGAAGGCCTGGATTCAAGTGATGACTAGCTCTGTGACCTTGTCCACTCAGGTAAATGCAACATTTAGAATTTTGGAGGACTGCAGAAACTGTTTCATCTTTATCTTCCTCAACAATGCTGTAAAACTCATTAATAAGATTTCCAATGCTACTTAAGATACTGAACTTTTTAACCTAAGTATGCCTGGAAAAATATATCTGGAATGCTACAGCTGGCTAATAAAATACATGTCAGCACTGTGTAGCAGCAGGCTGATGGGATGTCCATGGTGGGTGATTAATATAGTATATCATCAGTGTTACTACTATCTTACATGATGCTAGTACTCTATAGTTTCCAAGGTGATTTCGTATCTAATACCTCATTGAATTTTTCCAGCACCATGAAACAAGTGGGAGTAGATAGCAATATTGTCCCTATTTTACAAATAAAGAGCTAAAGATTAAAGAGGAGATTTGCCCAAGGTCACAAAATTATAGGCTGCAAGGTCTGTACTGAAACTCAATGTGTTTATTATGCCAGGGTGCCAAAGGAATAAAACATTTTCACATTAGATTTCCTTCTTAAAAATATTACTATTAGGCAGAGTATATTAGAACTATTATTGATTCTTGTCCCAAATACAAGATAGGTTCTGATCATAATCTGTTAATTTTCCAGAATACTTAAGGATCAATTTTTATTTTATCTATGGCATATCTTTAGAAAAATCCTTTATTGTAACCTGAGCACTTTAAATTTCAATTATGCCTTCCCTCCTCATTTCTTCATCCTTTTAAAAACTAAAACAAAAACATTACTGTTGAGCCAAGAAGCCTGTATATTATTTTGAAATCAAAACATCTTTAAGTAACATATTTCCCTTCTATTAATTTTAAAATATGTATTTTATAATATTATAGTAGTAACTATGAATGCAAATTCTTAACTTCCTCAATAGACCTTTACTTAGCATCTAAAGTATATAAAGATTTGTAAGATACATTTAGACTTTACCTTTGACAACTGATGGAACAATAAATAATGATGCTTCTCTGCCCATCTTCTCTCCATCCAGAGGAAATTTTTTCATTAGTACAACTCGTTTTCCTAATCATTTTTAAAAAGTTAGCAAAACAAAAATAATACACTTTTAAATCTTATAAATTACCTTGAGAATTAGAAAACAGATACTTTAAAAGGCAGCATTAAGAGGAACTGAAATATACTAAGTCAATTTTATTATATGTACTAATAAAAACTGATAAATGCAAAATCATTCTGTGGACAATCCTTGTAGATTTAGGGTCCTGGTCTTGACCCCTAGAAGAGAAGCTTCCTAAGCATAGCTAGGAAAACTGTTCTGCTAAGAGCTGAGAAGGCAGATCAACAATGTACTCTGCAGGGTCAATATGCATATACCACCTCAGTCATCTAGAATAGAGACAGTAAGAATTGTATTATATTCTGGCATATGTAAGTTTCAAAGTCTTAATGTTTAGTGGCTCTTCATTTAATATTTAACCTCCATCCTCAATTTCAGGTTTTATTAAAATCTGATTGGGCTACAAACTATTGTTCTAAATTGTAACTACCATTCTTAATGTTTTTCCTGAATTGGCAGTAAGTTATTAATAAATAATAACCTACAAGTCTTGTATTCTAAAACCCCTCATTCTCTAGACCTTTGTTATGCTTTCAATGCTTTCAATTTCCTCACACTAAGAAACAGAACCTCGTTCCTGCCCCAGGTAGAAATGCCTAGTAGGCAGGTGGGATGCCTTCTGTGGGCAGGTAAATGATAAGACTTCAAATAGATTCACTTATTCACAAAATATCAGAGCCAATATTTGTGATTATTAAGACCTTCTATATTATAGCCTCCAATTATTTTACAAAATGAACACTTGTACAAAATATAAGTGCTAGATACAGAACAACATTCTAATATACTTCAGAGGCACTATTTCTTTTGTCTGGCTTGAAGTCTCGTTTCTACTTAATCTTTCCTGCCTTGCTGTTTCCCCAAATCCAGTTACGATCCATTATTTAAATGCCTATTTTGCATATTATATATCTAACTATGAGATCTGTCAGTGGGGCAGGGAAGCACTGACAAGTTAGGAGATGAAGGTTCTAGTCCTAATTCCTCTACCAATGGAAATGCTTATAGGAGGAGACAGCCTATGCCTCCATTCCCATTTTATAGATGTGAAAATCACTACCTATCGACAGGACCAATTTAAGAGTTTCATGTATAAGTGTGATGGTGCTTTGTAAATGACATACAGCACAGTACAAAAATTTTAAGCCTAACTACTGCTAATAGTCATTTGTGATTTTCATGTGATGTTTATATAAGGAATCTTATTACTTCAAAAATATTTCATAGATTTAGAAAAACAAATAGGATATTCAGGATACAGTATGGCTCATTAATACATTAAACTTTTCAACTTTAATTTCTTGTTAAAAGCTCCCTGAAAATATATTAGTACATTTTATGTCTGAGTATACAGGGCAAAATGGTGCTAGATATGTTTCACGGTGACTGTCACTCGTAACTCCTCCTAAGGGAAAGTACCCAGCCTTCTGGACCAGGGGAAGTTTTTTGTTAACAGTGAGATCTCTTCCATATCCCTCTGGGTAAATGGACCTAGTGGCTGAGCTTATTTAATTCACAACAAATTATGACTTTTTTAGGTCTATAATGATTTGTCAGCTCAAATATGTGATTTAGGCTAATTAGATTTCTGTCTCAGGGATTTGGTGTCAGGATAGATGCTGATAACTATAACAATCTGGCATTAGTAAAATAAGTTCAGATGAAAATTTATCAGAGAAGTCCAAGACTGAGGTAGATAAGACTGACCAATCTGTGGCATCCAAAGAGAGTCTTCACATGCCTTGATTCCCAAAAAAGGATAGCTCCCTCCACCTTTTTAATAAGCTAAGATTGCTTTCCTGATCATCTTATTATACAGTGAATCTGGTAATTAGAGAAAAGGGATTCTCTTTGTGAGACTCGGAGTGTTTATCACAGATCATATGCAGGAACTTTTTTTTTTTTTTTTTTTTTGAGACGGAGTCTCACTCTGTCGCCCAGGCTAGAGTGCAGTGGCACAATCTTGGCTCACTGTAACCTCCATTTCCCATGTTCAAGCGATTCTTCTGCCTCAGCCTCCTGAGTAGCTGGGACTATAGGCGTGTACCACCACACCGGGCTAATTTTTGTATTTTTGGTAGAGATGGGGTTTCACCATATTGGCCAAGCTGGTCTCGAACTCCTGACCTCGTGATCCACCCACCTCGGCCTCCCAAAGTGCTGGGATTACAGACGTGAGCCACTGCACCTCACGTCTTATAAGTAGGAACTACTTATAATCCTGAGTTAAAATGCTTACAGTCCCAACCCACAAAAACTCTTCAGGCTCTATTAGGGGAAGAAACCTATCAGGGAGCTATAATACAGTGAATGGTACCGCCAAAAGTTATGAAACACAGGCTTATAGCTCAGTTATGTATCTCTAGAAAACAAATATCCAAAATAACTAATAAATCAAACCACAGTATTTGGCTGTATCTCTGCAACAAAAACCATCTCTTTACTGAAACATATGAATCAGATAACTAATCCCTATAAAAATGTACACTGAATAAGCTTTGAAAAACCAAAAAAGCAGGCATAGAGAGGTATGCTTTACTTCACTAAGAACTGTTTTCTACTGCTGCTTGACTGAATTGGTTTTACTTTTTAAATTGTAGTAACTGAATCTTGGATATAGTTTGTAGTTTCTGTAACGTTTGATGGCTGTTTCTACAGCCTGAGAAAATGGATCATTAATTTTTAATCTATCTATTATGTAATATTTTAAATGGGGCCTTAATCTTTCAGGGTTAATACTTCCACAATTCAGTTTGACTTTCTGAAAAGGGTCTTCTTTCTATGACCAAATAGGAAGAAAACCTCTGCTACTTGGTAATTTACAGGACTTTCCCTAATCCATGAACATTAACTTTTACTTAGTTTTGGAGAGATGAGTATAGTTTCCTCTGTCATTAAGTAAAGAAATAGGAATAGTAGTTAAAAGATACTTACCTAGGGAACTACACTTCACATCAACATTGTGAATTCTTTAAATACTTCTCAACTTTTAAAAAATTTGTCAAGTTACATCTTGAAGGGGCTTGGGTGTACCTTAAAAAACACTTGAGTTTTTTTGCAAGTTTGTTAAATGTAAAGGAACATAAAAAGAAATTGGTTTAATATGTGTATATTTTTAAAAGAATCTTTCTCCACAAGTATTTTAAACAATGTGTTTTTTAAAAAAGAAGTTTCCTACCTCTGATACCCTGGTTTGCAGGAGAAATTGGTTTGGTGGTTTCTACTACGTAATCCAATATGCCTTGTGTTATTTCACTGTTGCCTTGAAGTTTCGTTTCCAATAAAACTTTCTTTCTCTTTTTTTTCTGTCCTTCAATGGGAACTTCATGCAACAAAATCTTAGATGAGAAAAACATTAAGAGAAAGCTTAAAATAAAGTCTACTTGCCCTAGAATACTACAATAAGCTAGCAGTCTTTCTCAACTCTAGCTGCATATTAGAATAATTTGGGAAGCTTTAAAACAATAGCAATGCCCAGCCCCATCCCACACAGATGGGAATGTCTGGGGCCTGGTTCTTACAGTTTTAAGATGCTTCTACAGTGCAGCCAGGAGTGAGAAATGGTAAGCCACAGCACTGCTGATGCAGTAGCCTACTCAGAAACCCTACAGTACCCTTTAACAGGTTTCAGACAACCTTAAAAAAGCAGTTTAAAGGAAATGCTAGATAAATTAGGTTAAATTAGAAGTATTTCATATTGCTTGAAATCTGTTGCATAAAAAAGTAACAAGTTATATATATGTATATGTATGTACATATAGCCTTAATTATATGTTTACTAATAAATACGATTCAACACTACAGAAAAGTAACTTAATTGTCTAAAAATTTAAGGCAAAAAAGTATTTTAAAACGAATTGTTAAAAATAGTTATTTGGAAAAATAACCAAAAACAAAGTTTGGATTGAAATTTTAAGTGAGCTGACTTTTGCAGTGGTTTTTAATTTTTGAGAGCCATTTCACAAACTGTAAGAAAACTGAAAGCTATATATTGTAAGAAAAACTCAAACAAGTAACCTTTAATATCTAATAACCTACATGTCAATAAACAGCAAATGGTCAAAAGGCACGTGGCAGAAAAAAGACAAAATAATGGGCAGAGACCTAAAATAATTGGCTTGTTAATACAACTTTACAAGATATAATAAGGCTTTATATGTGAATGATAATACAGAATGACATTCAATGGTAGAAATAAATTATTATTAAATGTTCTTACTTCATATGACTTAGCTCTGTATTCCCGAGAATTGAGACTGGCAGTATTCTTTGGACGAATAACAGCAACATATGCATCTTCTATGTTTTCTGGATTTCCCATTGCTTTACAAAACAAATAAAAAAATCCTTTGAAAGATTAAATGACACATTTGATGGCAAGATAAAAAAAAGTAATGCATCTTAAATTGAAAACTTTTATTTCCACATAATCATGTCGAAAAAATTAAAAAAAAATAAAATGTTCTCTATCCTAGAATATACAGTGCCTAAAAGGCAAGCCAGGAATGACTTTGACTGCATCTTTACTGTTCAACTACTCAAAACCTTAGCTGATAATTTAAGATTTCCTTTGTATTTCTTTTTTCATTTTAAAATAGGGTTATACATTTTCATAGGTGTTAACTGCATAGTAAGAATCTGCCTTTGGGGCCAAAAAAAAGTGATGATGATTATAAAATAACTTGTAAATAATGACTTGAAATAGTGATTCAGAATAATATACACTTTTTCCATAAATTACAAAAGTGAATGTTAGTTATACTGTTAACAGTTTGGAAGCTGGAAATGGTAGATGTTTTATATCCATTGACATTTACTCCAGAACTTTCAGCAAGGATAACTTTGATATCAGACATTTGGATGAGCTAAAGCGTAGTATGTAATTTTCTTTGGAGTTGCTTATCACAGAACCAAAACTATTTGGTCAGTTGATAAAAGCTTTCTGAAGGTGATTTAAGAATCTTTTCCATTTCCCTTATCAATTTCCTTGATAATCCAAATTTTTGTTTTGTTTTGTTTTAGACAGAGTCTCGCTCTGTCACTTAGGCTAGAGTGCAGTGACAATCTCGCCTCAATGCAACCCTCGCCTCCCGGGTTCAGGCGATTCTCCCTCCTGCCTCAGCCTCCTGAGTAGCCAGAATTAACAGGCGTGTGCCACCATGCTCGGCTAATTTTTGTGTCTTTTAGTAGAGATGGAGTTTTACCATGTTGGCCAGGCTGGTCTCAAACTCCTGACCTCAAGTGATCCACCTGCCTCGGCCTCCCAAAGTGCTCGGATTACAGGCGTGAGCCACCACACCTGTCAATAATCCAAATTTTTTATTCCAAATATATTCACTGTGTGTGTGTGTGCGTGTGTGTTATGCATATACTTTGTCCCACTAAATCTTAAGTCTCCATTGCGCAATTTCCAACAAGTGACTGAATTTCAACCACAATCTTAGTTGTATAATAGTTTTCTTCATTGAATAAATTTCTTTCATGGCTACACTAAAGTGCATCTTTCTGTACTGATTATTTTTTATCTTTTTTTGAAAAAGCTTCTCCCCATTTATTTGTCAGTAAATTTCTAAAAGAACATTAAAGAGTTTCTTTCCCAGCTATGTTGAGATGAACTTTCTTCAGTTTTTTAAAAACCATTAGGCATTAAAATTACCTGTTCATATTTAATGAGTTCCCTACTGCTGCAACTCTCAAGATAGACCATTTTCAAGAAAGGGTTTTGAATGTTATTTGAGAGGCGATAGAGTAATTTATCCTGTTTCTTCCACTGCAACTGAAAATGTCACTCTGTAACTTTTAATTCACTTCCCTAAATAATAATTAAAAAGTGCCTTATGATTGTAAAATTACCCTAAGAAGAAATTCTTTTAAAATACAGTAGCTTTTGGCATTTTACATAAACTTTAGCCTAAGATTAAAACAACCATTAAAATTATTGTACAAAAATTTTAAATAAAATAATTTAAATACTTTTCAAATTTATTTTAAATTCTAAAACTTTCCATTGATTTAGATCCAAAAAAACCCTACAGATATTTCACTAGAAAAAAATACAGTGACACATTAGGATAGAGACATTTCATTGTGTGAAAGGTTTTGAGGACGTTATCATTCTTTATCATTATATACTTCATGAAATTTTTTTCAGTTCAATTTTTTGTATAAAATCATTCTTAAAACCCACCTCATGCAACAGACCTTCCTACATCATGTGAAAAGGATGAGGCCTTTTTCTTCTCAGAATTTCTATTTAGCAATTACTTTTCACCACAGATTAACAATGACTTCAAGATAATAAACGTTTACAAATTATGAGACAGACGCATTGAAGACTGCAAGCCCCAAAAAGAAAGACATTGTATTGTGAATACACTGTATGATATATGGGCACAATTACAGAAACCATTTTATCTATTAAGGACCTAAAAGAAAAATCAAGTAACTCTTACTTTTCTAAAGACAATTTAAAGCAAATCAATTCCTGTCTTGGTCAACTCATGTTAAGAAAACATTTACTAGCAAAGTACTTTGTCAATACTCATCACTTCTCTAGAATATTTAATTAATACTGCACAGAAGCCTGAACTTTTAAAAGGTAAACAAATGTGATTTTAAAAAGACATAACTATGACAGTAACAGTATTTTGTTTTCTTAAACCAAATACTTTTTTACCATATCCCCAAAATATTCTTAAAATTCATTTTCAAGAACTATTCGTACTTGACTACTTAAAATCTACATTCTTCCAGTGACATGAAAGAAGGAAACAAAGGCTTAACAGGAAAATAACAAAAGTAACTAACATAGGAAGGTAAAACTGCTAAGGGAGAAACACAGACAAACTGATAGAAAATGAGTAGCTTGAACTAAAATACAAGAAAGGTATAACTAGAGTTTGCAATATGTTTAGACTGAGTCTGAGATGAGGGTTCAAGTGAATAAGTACAGGAAACGTGGCATTTTGTTATATGGCTCACTCCATTCTGGAAAATGTTAGGCACAAATGATAATATGCTCCCTAAGTAATAAGATCTTATAAATAAAGCAGTGGAAGTGGTCCTTAATTAGGGGGGTGGCACCTACCTGGGATCACTGGAAAATATGGAGGGCATTTCTGGTTGTCACTATGACTGATGAGGGGAGATGTACAACTGCCATTTAGTGTCCATGGAACAGGTTTGCTAACATCCTCTTAGTATGCTAGACAGCGTTTGCAAACAGAAACTGTAAAGGCACATATGCACTCCAGAAGGGTAAGAAAATAATGAGGCTGAGATCCTGAGTTGGACCACCGAGATGAAAGACTTCTGGTGAGGCTAAAAACATGTAGAAAAAGCGATGAAAGCCAAAAACCTTAAAAGGTGGAGAAAAGTGTAGAGGCGAGAAGTGAGTTACAGGGGGAGAAGTGAGTTAGAATGACAAGCTGTGAATCCCTTTCCCTGCAATGACAAAAATACGTAATCACTCTGCCTGGGAGGTTTTTTCCTGCGCCACCACCCGTCAACGTCCACTACTGGGGAAAAACGTAAGCCTCTTTGCTCAAAGAGTTTCCACCCAAAAAGTGGCTATGGTTTCTCTGTAACTACATGTGAAAAATAAACTCCTTGCCTGGGGCAACTAGATGTGGAGATGGTTCAGTCTCCCACCTCCGTTTTCCCTCGCTGGAGTCGAACTTGCTCCTCCTGTTTCCCGAAGGACACCGAGAGGTCCCACCCGTACGGGCTGCCGCGAGTGCCTCTCTGGCCGCTACATTCAACTAAATGGGTGGGACAGTCACCTGGCGAGGGGGGGCAGGGACCGTCACCGCTTTCTCATTCCTCCTTCCCTCCTCCCAGGCACAGCAGCCCGGCCCAGCTTCCTGTGGCAGAAAAACCCTCAGTCGCCAAAAGAAAGCCGTCTTGAGGGTTCCCCCGCGCTCCCACCCGCGCCCCAAAAGCTCAGGTCTCTGGAGTCGGAGACCCTCCTGCCCACCTGCTCTTTACTGTCCTTCCCTCTCCTCGCACCTCAGCACCATTCACCCCTCACCCTCTCCCGAAACTACGGGGTCCCAGGTCTTCAAAGGCCTTAGCTTTCCACCCCGCCGTTACCGTGGCTATGAAATCGCTTCCGGGTTCACACCCTTTGCAGCCTCGCGGTTGGCGGTGAAAGAGCTTCCGGGTCGGCGGCCGGGCTGCTGCCGTTCCTGCTCCTTTTCACTGGACCTGCAGTCTCTCAGGGGCTGGTGGCAGGCGACTAGGAGACTAGGGTGGTGGCGGTGGGGGTGCCAGCGGCTGAGCCGGAGCCGGAGCCGGAGGCGGGGGAGGGGAAGAGGGCGGCCGGGGCTGCGAGCGCGCAAGGCTGGAACATGAGCCGGGCTTGACCGCGAGGCGGAGGCAAGAGCCACCGCCCCCTCTTCCCCTCCCCCGAGTGAGGCGGCGCAGCGGCCGGAGAGGGATGGGGGGCGCCCACCCAGTCTGAGCCTCGCCGCGGGCGCCTTCGGCTCACGCAGCGCTTCCCGCGGGCCGCCAGTGCGCACCCTCGGCCACATCAGCCTCCGCCTGGCGGGTGCACCCGGGCCGGCGAGGAAGGGGCAACCGTCCGGGTGGGTGGGGCGGGCTGGGTACCTGAGGTCACCAGCTCGGCTGTAGAGGCAGGGGCGGCGGAGGCGGAACTGCGGAGTTGCTGGGTCCACCGACCCTTACCCTCAGCGAGAGAAGTAACCGTAAGTCTCAGCTTCGCGGTACAGATGTGTTTGAGGCTGCCTCTACCCATTTGTGGCTCCGAGTTCAGAGCTACCTACTTCACACCCTCCCGGATCTACTAGGAGTGTGTCTGTCGCCTGTTTTGGAGCATTGTTGTTCTGTCTGTCCCCATCCCTGAACAGGCAGCATTCTCTGCCCTACAGGGCTTTTCTCCCAGCGAATTTGCAAGCCTCCGGGTCTCCGTGACGCGTCCCATCCTCCCCATCTGGATGCATCTCCTTGTCCCTCTGTCCTCAAAGGATCTGTGTCCTTCCTCGCAGCCTCCCCCCCACCCCCATCCTTTGAGACGTGGAAAGCCACGGGTTCTGCCGACCTCGGGGGCTAGAGAGAGTCTTGAGAAGCGGATGGGTAAAAGTGCTCTGCAGGGCTGTGATGGGTGGGGATAGGTGCAGATGGCTCCAGTGAACCTTTATTTTTGCAGCTTCTGCCACCAAAACAAAAGAATGGAGCGCTCCCCTGTATTCTTATTCTTCTCCGTATGTATGAGCTGTTTTTCTGTACGTAGCTGTTTGAGTCGCAGGAAATTGAAACTAGAGCTGTAATAAAGCATCTCCTGAGGAGATTTTGAGAATTAGTCTCCCAAGCTCTATTCACACGGAATGGCATATCGAACAATCTTGTATTGGAATGACCATTTCAGAAGAGCTTTACTGGTAGATCTGACAGATAAATGTAAAGATAAGAGTCTGCTGTTTCAAATAGTGTATTTTAGATACCTTTAAATTTTAGTGTTCTAATTTTCATCTAGTTCTTAATTTGTGAAGTATGTGGGTATGTGTAAGGTGTAAAAATCTGTGTATTGGAAGGTTTTGCTTTGTTACAAGCTTTTGCTTTGTTGCTTTTGAGACAGACGTTTAAAGATCATATTAGATTGTATTTGATAATTATTTTCAATCATTAATTCCAGAGAAATCTTTTTTTGTATCAGCCACTCACAGATGTTACACACCTTGGTGCCTATGACCCTCCTGCTGCTTAAACTGTGAATGTCTTCAAAGTATATTTTCAGATTTTTGAACTAGGCGTTTTTTCTCATTAGAATTTGATTTGCTTTTCAAACTGCTCCTGCAGAACTTTCCAGAAATTAGATTTAAAAATAATTTTAATGCTGTCAGTGATTGGACAATAGCTCTTATATGACTTTATGCATTTGCTACTTTTCAGAGCACCATAGGAAGCAAACGATAATTTAAGAATAATTTTACTGTGTACTGCAGGTTGTCATTCTGCAAACTACTGTGTAGTGTAGACTGGTAGCTTTGGTGTTTTGTGTTGCTGAAAAACATTGTCATTTCATTAAGAAAGATGGATGTGTTTAATGACTTTTCCCCCCAACCTCCTTTCAGCAGTTGATTTTGGGCTATTATCTGATTTGTAACTTCTCACTGTTCACAGATTTTAATTTGAAGTAGGCTCAGGAGATGTAGCTCCAACTCTGTCTCTGGAAATGTACTTAGCACAGAAGCCAAGCACTGTGCAGAGTTGAGTGTATTATTAAGGGTGTGGCTTTTGCTTTCTGTAAAATTGTTCAGTTTCTGAATAAGAGTAGGGTGCTATAGTGAGGTGATGGGCGCTATCTTGGAGAAGTCTTAGAAAAAATGTTGTTGATTCTCTTTTCCTTGGGGTAGGATGGGGAAGATAGAACTATATTTTCCTATTTCACTGTTCCCTTGACCACTACACCGAGAATTTTGAGTTTTCAATATGTAAGGAGTCTGAAACTGTGCCAACTGTGCTGTAAACAAGGGCTCTAACAGGTAGGTGACTCCTGAAACATGGGAGGGAAGTTTTGTTAGCCACTCTTTTGTACTCCTGTGGCACTGCCCACTTCTCAAAGAGTGGGTTTTCTTTCCTCTTTCTTTTCTGGGGTATGCACTCAAACTTGTGAAAGTGAAATATGTGTATTTACAACTTGCTTGTAGATAAAAGTGCGAGCTCATTTTCATATATAAGTAGATGGAAGAACTATGAATTAAGTTAATCTGAATGTCCTTGAAATGAAGTTGGAAAAGATTCCTCAGTGCTTTGGGTAATTTTTCCCCCATTGAGGATGCATATGACATTTATTTAGATTAAGTTTTAAAATATTTCCTTCAAATATTTGACACATTTGCCAAAAAGGATTTGGGAGTGGACTAAGTCATTATTAAAGAGACCAGTCTGTGGGAGTTTTTATACATTGATCTAAAAATGTTTAGGTTTTTAATTTACTTTTCAAAGTGACTTCCTTAGGGGGAATGGTAATTTTTGGATTCTCAGTTTATTTTTCAGATAACCTCAGACTGCCTCTTTCTTTTCCAGATACTTTTTTTCTTTTTTCTTTTCTTTCTTTTTTTTTTTTTTTTTGAGATGGAGTCTCATTCTCTTGCCAAGGCTGGAGTGCAGTGGTGTGATCTTAGCTCAGTACAACCTCCGCCTCCTGGGGTCAAACGATTCTCCTGCGTCAGCCTCCCAAGTAGCTGGGACTACAGGTGCCCGCCACCACACCCGGCTAATTTTTGTATTTTTAGTAGAGACGAGGTTTTGCCACGTTGGCCAGGCTGGTCTCAAACTCCTGAACTCAGGTGATCCGCCTGCCTTGGCCTCCCAAAATGTTGGGATTATGGGTGTCAGCCACTGCGCCTGGCCTTCCAGATACTTTCATGTCCACTTCATTTCAGTAAACCTTTGTTGAGCATCTACTGTGTGTGCCAAGCACTTTTATTAGGTTCTGGAACTACCAGGGTAAATTAGTCAAGGTTCCTTTCCTCATTGAGGTTACCAGTCTAGATATTTGACTGTGATTTCTATTCACCTGCCTTTATTGGCTTCTCTTACAGGTTTTTAAGCCACTTGACCCTGTTGCAAGGTTGTTTCATATCCTGTGTATAAGAATAAGCGGCCGGGTGCTGTGGCTCACGCCTGTAATCCCAGCACTTTGGGAGGCCGAGGTGGACAGATCATGAGGTCAAGAGATCAAGACCAGCCTGGCCAACATGGTGAAACTCTGTCTCTACTAAAGATACAAAAAACTAGCTGGGTGTGGTGGCACGCCCCTGTAATCCCAGCTACTTGGGAGGTGGAGGCAGGAGAATCACTTTAACCTGGGAGGTGGAGGTTGCAGTGAGCTGAGATCGCACCATTGCACTCCAGCCTGGGTGACAGGGTGAGACTCTGTCTCAAAAAAAAAAAAGAATAAGCACAATAGATGCCATTTATTGAGTGCCTAATTTGTGCCAGTCACCATGCTAAGTGCTTTACATACGTTATCTCATTTAATCCTTAGAACAGTCCCAAAATATATTTTATCTCCATTTAAAGATCTCCCCCCCCACACGCGAATAAACTAAACTAAATTATTTTAATAATAAAAAGCCATACAGAATCTTGTGTATAGTATTACTGGATTTTTTTTTCTTGTAATATTCTCGAAAAGATTTGACTTACAGTCCTTAAAGGGGAGAAGCTGTCGTACAGTCATTAACAGTTTTTAATTCTCTAATATTGCTTTGAATAGAAAAATCCTAATTTCATAAGGTACTAGTATATCTTGTGTTCTAAAGCAGATAATTTGGCTGGGTGCAGTGGCTCACACCTGTAATCCCAGAACTTTGGGAGGCTGAGGCAGGCGGATCACCTGAGGTCAGGAGTTCGAGACCAGCCTGACCAACATAGAGAAACCCCATCTCTACTAAAAATGCAAAATTAGCCGAGCGTGGTGGCACATGCCTGTAATCCCAGCTACTCGGGAGGCTGAGGCAGGAGAATCGCCTGAACCCAGGAGGCAGAGGTTGCAGTGAGCCGAGATCACGCCATTGCACTCTAGCCTGGGCAACAAGAGCAAAACTCCGCCTAAAAATAAATAAATCAATAAAGCAGATAATTATATACTATCAAAAATAATTTTCAGTCATTGTTTAAACTTTTGAAAAGACATAATTCTAAAGTTCATTATGGTTAACTGTAACAGATCTTCAGGCATGTTTACCTTTTTTTCCCTCTAGTTCTACAACGGGACCACAAGCTTTTAAAATGTGCTAAAAATGTGTGTATTCTCCAGGAAGGGTAGAGTATTGAGCCATGTGAAATCTATTCAGCTTTTAAAATTTTTGAGTTTGATTTTGGCAACTAAGGGCCTTGGAGAGTTTTAGTTTCTGCAATGAAAATGTATTCTTTCAGATTTGAAAATTATCATGCTCATTATTGGTAGGATATATACTTTATCAGTAATTTGATATGATTCTGTCTAATACTTTTTCAGACACTCAGCATTTTTTAAAACATGGTTTTTCACTGTCAACTCTTTTCTCCAAAAGCCTTATTTTTATCCTCAACATTTTATTCTATCATTAATTTTTAACCAAAAACTGTTAGCAGTTTGCTATTCTCAGGATAATGATTTTTACTACTGGTTATACACTCTTCTGTTTTTAGGACTGTAGAGCAGATATTTAATACTTGAGTTGCTAAGAAAGTTAATCCTTGATATTTTTCTGTCTTCAGTCTGACATATAATTTTAACTTAACATAGACAGTCCTTTCATTTCAGTGTAGCAAAATCCTTGCTACTCAAGTCACTATATTTTTCTCACTGAAACAATATTGGAGGTAGAATTCCTGTTCAAGGACATTAACAATGACTAAATTATAAATGGGCTAGGTGCTGGGTCTACAAAGATGAGTAAGTCAAGATTCCTTTCCTCACTGAGCTGTAAAATGTTCATTTAAAATCCATGAAGAGAAGGGAGAGTTCATTGAGATGCTCTTAGTTCTCCAAATAGACATGAAAACATTGCCCTTCTTGTTAATGCGTCCCTTCAGAGTATGGTAAAGGAAAGTATGTAAATCAACATATTCAGCCAGGGTTTTCATTCTGTTTCCTGGCCTTAGGCAATAGGTGATTCACATTTGCTGTATCACTAGATGTTCTATATCACATCTTTATTTTCAGATGAAAAAAATCATTTTGAAATAATTTCAAATTTAAAGAAAAAATGCCAGAACAGTACAAAGAACTCTTACATCCCCTTCACCCAGATTTCTCCTATTGTTAATATTTTGCTTACTTTCTTCCATTGCCTGCCCTCTCTCTCTCTGTCTCCATACATACATACCTCCTCATTACAGTCTTTTTCTGAACCTTTTGGAGCAAACTGCCAACATGGTATCACATCACTCCTAAACACTACAGCGTCTGTTTTTTAAAAATAGGCACTCTCTTATACAGCCAACATACTACTGTCCAAAGAAGAAAATCAACGTGGATACAACACTGCTATCTAGTCCAAAGAATCTATACAAATTTCGTGTACTATGCCAACAATATCTCTTTATCTTCTGGCGCAGGATCCTATCCAGGAATACATGTTACAGTTGGTTGTTATGTCTGTTCGTAGTTCTTCAGCCTCAGTTTTCCATCTTTCATGTCCTTGATAGTTTTAATAAGTTTATGCCCTGTATTCTGTGTGGTGACCCTCATCCTAGATCTATATAATTCTTCCTCATGATTCCAATCAGGTTATGCATTCCTGGCAGTAATACCACAGAAATGCTGCTGTGTGCCCTTCTTAGTGTGTTGCATCCAGAGGCATACAATGTAAAACCATGCCACTAATAGTGATATTGGCAAGATTATATTTGTGCCCTTTGTGATTTATTAGTGTTTGTGGAGATGTATTCCAAAATTATGCTAGTATCCTGTTTCTCATCAACCCTCCACTCATTAGCTTTGGTGGGTGTCATTGATGACTCCCACCTGAATTAACCACTCTTATGATGATTGCCAAATAATATTTTTTCTGTTATTTCTTCTATGCATATTAGTTGGTATTATGTCATAAGGTACTACTTTTTTTTTTTTTTTTTTGAGACAGAGTCTTGCTCTGCTGCCCAGGCTGGAATGCAGTGGTGTGATCTTGGCTCACTGCAACCTCTACCTCCCAGGTTCAAGCAATTCTCCTGCCTCAGCCTCCCGAGTAGCTGAGATTACAGGCACCCACCACCACTCCCAGCTCATTTTTGTGTTTTTAGTAGAGATGGGGTTTCACCTCTTTCTCTCTTATGTATTAAAATTAAAATAGTAAAGACTCATGGATTTCAATTTTGTGAAATGTGTTCTGATTTGTTGCTATTGTTATTTATTTTGCTTTTTAAGGTATTCCTGACTTAGCCAATGGTAACCTCTTCAAGCTGGCTCGTCTGCCCGTATATCATGCCCCTATCTCATTGATTGTGCATTTCCTTAGGGCTTTCTGGCAGAACAAGCTGTTCCTGGTTCATCTTGTGCTTTGTCTACTAGAGTAGACAAAGTAGATTCCAGGGCTAGAGCCCTGGAATCAGCCATTTCTCCAAGGAGCCCTATTTTTGTTTTTTGTGGGTTGTTTTTTTTTGTGAAAGATGGTATTTAAAAACAAAGATTTGGGGGCTTAGTGTGTTCATTGCTACTGGAGTGTCATTGCTTCCAAGCCGTCATAAAAGACAGAATTAGGACACTTGTATATGGTTTGTATACACACACATAGGCAAAACACACACTCATGTACATACATAATTATTTCTGTACCTGTGTGTACATATTACAGAATCATAAAGTTGTTCCTGTAGTTCCAATTCTAGTCCAGCACCCCAGGGTTTTTCCTAGCTTTCTCCCTTGAAATGTTTATGAATGCCTTCTCTGGCAGCAATAAACTAGGCTTTGCATTAGCCTGAATATATTTATCATTTCCCCAGTTGTTTTATTTATTTGCCCAGTAGGCTACCATTCTCCCTGCCATGTAGACCATCTCCCACCTTCATCTACCCCTACTAACACACATCATTAACTGAGGGGCCTGCTGGCTTTTGCCTCTGTGGAACCACAACCCTTCACTGGGCCTATGACTCTGTGCAACTCTCTGTTTCCACACAACACCCATTGTCCTCGCCTCTAGGCTAATTAGCCTGCACTTCTGGTAGTCTTCCCAACATGACCTCACTGCCCTGCATCTTCAGCTAGCTTGCAGACACCTTTACATATTCTAATAGTTAATTTTTAAATCTATTTCAAGAATTTACAAACATACATATATGTGATAGAATATACACATAGTTTCCCCAGACACAAATGGTAACATACCATATTAAATATTCTACACCTTTTTTTTTTACTTATCTAGAAAACCTTTCCATTCTTTTTAACAACTTACATAGTATTTCATTGTGCATGTGAGTATGTGTGTACATTCAGACACACACATACACACACCTGTACCTGCCTACCAGTGGTAGAATGTTTAACAGTCATAAATTTCTCCTGTTTTGGTAGGCATTCTTCTTTGCAGTGTGCCTTTGCTTTTTCTGTCTAGAGGTAGAATCTATTTCTCCATCTCTTTCTTGAGTCTTGGCTGGCCTTGTGACTTACTTTGACGAACAAATATGATAGAAGTGATCTATGAGTTCAGGAACCAACTCCTTACAAGGCTTCAAGGAATACTTTCTTGCAGCTGAGTGTGAGGAAGCTGGTCTAGTGTAAGGAAGCACTAGATGTGTCTTGCAGGAGAACCAAGATACCCCAGCTAACAGCAAGCACCAACCGGCAGATATGAAAGTGGTTTATCTAGGACCTAGTAGCCCAGCTGACCCTTTAGCTGAACGCACAGGAACCAGAGATGAAAACAGCAGAGAAACTGCTAGCCAACCTACAGAGTTGTGAAAAATAACATACTGTTTTGAGATACTAAGTTTGGGATGGTTTGTTCTGTAGCAGTAGATATCTGAAACCTTAACTGTGTTCATTTTGGACATATGGATGGTCTCTAGTATTCTATTATGAATAATATTGTAATTAATATCTTTGTGCATAGTATATACCAATTTAATTTTAATACTTAATGCTAAATTATTTTTCAGAAATATTGACACAATTCTAATTGTCACCATTAATGTCTGAGAGTAATTATTTTCTCTATAAACTGTCACTGAATGCTTTTCTTTTACAATAAAATGAGTTTTAAAAAAAAGTTTCCTATGGTGCATTTCCCTAACTACTTATGAGGCTAGCTACTTATGAGGCTAGCCATCTTTCAATATATTTGTTGGGCATTTTGATTTTCAGTTCTGTGAATTGCTTATTCATATCTTTACTCATTTTTTCTTGTTGGATTTTTTCCCTTACTAATATGTTGGTGTTCTTTGATATCCTTATTATGGATATAAACCTTTAACTTAATTTACAAATAAGTTTTGTAAGTTTGCTTTTGTTTTAGTTTATGGTATCACTTATTATAAATTTTTCTTTTGGCATTTCATGTAATCATTGCTATGGTTTGGCTATGTCCCCACCCAAATCTCATCTTAAATTCCCACATGTTGTGGGAGGGACCCAGTGGGAGGTAATTGAATCATAGCATGAGGGCAGGTCTTTCCCGTGCTGTTCTCATGATAGTGAGTAAGTCACACAAGATCTGATGGTTTTAAAAAGGGGAGTTTTCCTTCACAAGCTCTCTTCTCTTTGCCTGCTGCCATCCATGTAAGATGTGACTTGCTCCTCCTTGCCTTCTGCCATGATTGTGAGGCCCCAGCCATGTGGAACCATAGGTCTATTAAATCTCTTTTTCTTCCCTGTCTTGGGTATGTCTTTATCAGCAATGTGAAAATGGACTAATAGAATCATCTATATCTGTCTTTTAAAGACTTTTTGATGTTCCTGTCTTGAGAATCTCTCTCTCCTCTCTAGGTTAAACAAACTTTTTCCTAAACTTTCTTCTGACTTTCTAATCAAATAGTAATCATGTTCAGCGGCCACAGAAATCCAAAAAAGGGTCATATAAATAAACAAGGGGGATTATTTTCCTCAAGTAATGAGAAATTAGAGGTAGACTGGAGCTGGTATAGTGGTTCCACAGTGCTATCAGGAATGCAGGCTCATTTGTCTTTCTGTTTAGTCATCCAGGCTTGTCACCTCGTGGTCTTCAGATGGCATTCCAGACTGAGCAGTAGTTTCGTTATATTCTTTCGCTCTTCATGGCTCTGCTTGCTTTAACTGAGAATCATATCCAGTTTGGTGACTGTAACTTCTGGGGATGGGGCCAAGATAAAGCAGCTCCTTCCCCTCCCCCAGAATAACAAGTTCTTATGAAATATATTTTTTTCTGTTCTTTGAAAAAAATAGTGCTGATTTTGCTTTCTGTGCCATAATAAATGTGTCTTCAGGATAAAGCCCCAGAATTTTTTTTCTTTAACCTATTGGGCTGTCATGTTTTAAAGTTATTTATACGCAAACGGAAATAAACATGATTATATTCTCAAATTGGAACTGTTGGGAACATGGGACTTTAGCATTATGTTCAATAAGTAATACTTATTCAAGGTGTTCTGTGTGCCAGTAACTATGGTAAACAAGGGGTATAAAACTGAATATGGTGTGATTCTCATCCTTAAAGAGTTTACCAGATAACTCAAGAAGCAGATAAACATTTAATTATAGTTTTAGATGGTAAGTTGAGTGTAGTATCAAGTTATGGAGGAAGGACTTTGAAGTTAGTTGAGGGCTGGGGAGCTATTATCATGAAACTTGATAGAGAAAACAACTTTTAAGCTGATACTTGAATGAGTAGTAGGAGTTACCGTTTTCAGGAGGAATTGGTAGGGAAGAGGAGACAACATTCTAGGAGCTTTAGTAGTTTAGTGGGCAGGGCTGAGTTATAAGTGATAGGCTGTGAAGAGATGAATCCTGGTCTTAGCAGGGACTTTTCCTTAGAGCTGAGAACCTTAAGAAGGTTTTAAAATGGAATTGGACAAGATCAGATTTGCCTTTTAATAAAGTTAATTTGGTTATAGTAGAGAAAATTCAGTTGGGGGTGGGATCTGGAAGCAAGGGCCACCTATTAAGGAGTTTATCTAATACATTAAAATCTATTCCAGTATTAGTCAAATATCTCTTGAGCACCTGTGTAAATACAATGTGGGGGAATGCAGAGGTATGTAAAACATATAATTCCTATTTTCAAGGAGTTTGTATTTTAAAATAACTGAGAACTAGGTAACAACAATATGAGGCAGTATACTAATGTTACGGCTTCTATCTTATAAAATGAGGGCAAATAAGGCTAGAATTAAGACTTGAAGCCAAAAGATCTTCATGGCTACAAAGCCCATATTCTTTCTAGGCATGCTACACTGCTTCCCATGGCACTTATTACCACTTGATTTATTATCTGTATGTTACCTCAGAACCCTTGTGACATAAGATTAGAGTACAATTAAAATGATTTTCAACTTGGAATACCAAGTATCATATGATCTCCACTCTGGCTTTCTCCAGGTAGTCTCTGTTGGATGGAATATAACCAGAAAAATAAATGTTGGGTTAGAAAAATTGTCACAAGGGGCTGGCCAGGCTCTGTGGCTCACGCCTGTAATCCTGGCACTTTGAGAGGCCGAGGCATGTGGCTCACCTGAGGTCAAGAGTTCGAGACCAGCCTGGCCAACATGGTGAATCCCTGTCTCTACTAAAAATACAAAAATTAGCTGGGCATGGTGGTGCGTGCCTGTAATTCTAACTACTCAGGAGTCTGAGACAGTAGAATTGCTTGAACCTGAGAGGCGGAGCTTGCAGTGAGCCGAGTAGATCGCCCAACTGCACTCCAGCCTGGGAGCAAGACTCTGTCTCGAAAAGAAAAAAAAAAAGAGAGAAAAAAAGAAAAAAAAGAAAAGAAAAATTGTTACAATGAAGAAGTCGTTATGAACAGTCTTGAGATTAGTTTCTGTGAAACTTAGTATTGCACTGATAGGACAGTGGGGGACAAGATGTGCCATGTCATTAGATAGCTAGATAGCATACTTATTAATTTAAGGTTCTTTTTTCTATATTTATAAGTAGAGCAGGGAATGAAAAAAGGGCATGCACTACTGCCAATAAATAAAGAATTGGTGGTTTTTGATTATGTATTTGCTTTTATTTCCGGAAAGCAATTATAAAAATAAAGATTACTGTAGCCAGACGCGGTGGCTCACGCCTGTAATCCCAACACTTTGGGAGGCTGAGGCAAGTGGATCACCTGAGGTTGGGAGTTCGAGACCAGCCTGACCAACATGGAGAAACCCCGTCTCCACTAAAAATAGAAAATAAGCTGAGCATGGTGGCACATGCCTGTAATCCCGGCTACTCGGGAGGCTGAGGCAGGAGAATCACTTGAACCCTGGAGGCGGAGGTTGCCATGAGCAGAGATCGCGCCATTGTGCTCCAGCCTGGGCAAGAAGAGTGAAACTCTGTCTCAAAAAAAATAAAATAAAATAAAATAAAGATTATTCTATCTTTCAACCATTCTAACTCTTAAATCTGTTAAACCAACTATTGAAACTCAGGCCTTGTAAAGATGGCTAATTTATTCTTTGATCTTTCTCTATTTCTGTAAGAGGTGTGTTTGCCATGTGGTGACATTTTCTTACCTGTATGTTGATGCATTTGAGTAATCTTCTGAGAGTCTTTCTTGCTCTGAAATGTGACTTGACATGATATCTACAGAATTACTTAAAAAAATTAGGATATGATATTCCGATTTGAAAAACATTACTTTTCTTATAAAATAGGAAGAAGTAAAAAGGGAGAATAAAGGTTGGGCTGATAATTTGGTATTATAGGATGAGGAGAAACAGGGAAACTCAGAGGGGATACTTATCTTTTAACTACCCAAAAACTCTGAATGTGGATTAAATGTCAGATGCATAAGGCAAGAGAAAATGAAAAATAATAAGGTTCCAATTCAGGGATTTTATAGTCTAGTAGTCTTTTCTACTGATAATCCTTGAGAGAATTGAGTGTTAATGTCCTAAGCCAGAGGTTCTCAAAGTTAATGTGTATCACACTCACCTGGAATGCTTGTTAAAGTGCAGATTGCTGGGCCTCACCCCCCCAAATTTCTAATTCAGTAAGTCTGAGTGGGATCTGAGAGTGTTCATTTCTAACAAGTTCCCAAGTGCTGCTGCTAATTGCTGTTGTCTTTTGTATGAAATTAATTTGTTTCTCTCCTGTGTCTTAGAATGGTACTGGTTATATACGATCATTGGGAGAATTTTAGAAATAGTTCCTCAAATCATTTTTCTGTGTAGTGAGAAACTCTGATGGAGAAACTTAATTTTTTTAAAAAAATTGATGAAATTAATTATAATTCCAAACTTCAGCTCATAAGAGAAGGTAAAAACAAAATTGAATAGACATAGAAAAATTAATCTGGCAGCCATTTGCAGGATGGGTTGGAATGGGAAAAGACAGAGTGTAGGTTCTCTCATCCATCTGCTATCTAGATTATGATTTAAATAAAAGAGATCATAAAAGAGATCTCTCCATTTGGAATTTTTTGCCCTTAGATGGAAGTAGCATCAACCACACATCAAAGGCCAGGTTTTTTGTTTGTTTTTTGGAGTTTTTTTTGTTTTGTTTTGTTTTGTTTTTTTTGAGACAGAGTCTCGTTTTATTACCCAGGTTGGAGTACAGTGGCGCGATCTTGGCTCACTGTAACCTCTGCTTCCCGGGCTCCATTGATCCTCCTGTCTCAGCCTCCTGAGTAGCTGGGACCACAGATGCATGCCACCACACCTGGCTAATTTTGGTGTATTTTTGGTGGAGATGAGGTTTTGCCATGTTGCCCAGGCTGGTCTCGGACTCTTGAGCTCAAGTGAGCCACCTGCCTCAGCCTTCCAAAGTGCTGGGATTACAGGCGTGAGCCACTGCACCAGGCTAAGGACCAGTTTTAAATATAGCACATGCCATAATGTCCACGTGCCAGGTCGTAACCTAAAAGTTGTGTAGTATTTGACTTTCTCCATGGTTCTTACCACCTTCCTTATCAATACTCTTTACTTCTTGTTGTAGTTTCTGTATACTTCTGTCTCCCTAATTGGATTTCTGGCTTTTTTTGTATTCAATTTGATATCTGTATATTAAATAATTTATGATTTTGAAGTCTAGATGGGATGGGCAGGATGAAAATCTCTGCATTTTAAATCTGGAAAAATAAATCTGAAAAAAGGAAATTATCAGGGGATTTATATTTTTGTAAACTTTTTATACAGCAATTTAATAGCATGTGTAAATTGTCAACTTCCAGGTTGTATCTCCAGCCCAGACCTCACATTTCAGCTTCAGAATAGTATATCCTTTTGCCTACCTAATATCTAATAAGCTTCTCAAATGTAACTTGTTCAAATATAAGCAGATTTTCCCTCACATGCCCAAACCTCACCTCCCGCAGTCTTCCTCTCTCAGTAGTGGTAACCCCTTGCTTCCAGGTGCTCATGCCAGGACCTTGGAGTCATTCTTATTTTTGTCTTCTCTCTCACTTCTGCTTCCAATCTGTCAGCAATTTTTTTGGTTCTTACCTTCAGAGTACATCAAGAATCCAACTAAGAATTCACCACCATCACTGCTACCTCCTGTCTTTAAGCTACCATCACCTTGTACTTGGATTAGTGCAGCCACTTCCTAAATGATCTGCTTCTAGCCTTTCTTCTCACCCCCATTAGTCTTCTTAACAGACAGCTAGGCTAGTCCTGTTAAATGTAAGTCTGGTCATTTCACTTCTCTGCTAAAAACCTTCCAGTGACTTCCCCTTTTACCGAGAATAAAAAGGTAGTGATTTACAGTGATCTTTAAGACCCTACCTACACAGTTGCCTGCCCCTATTCTCTTGAGTTCATATCCTACTAGTTTCTTCCTTACTCTCTATGCTACAGTAACACTGGCCTCCTTTTTGTTCCTCGAACACACAGGGTATGCTCCTATGCATGCACTGGCTATTTCCTCTATCTGGAATACTCTTTCCCCTAGATACCACATGACTCACTACATCACCTTCTTTAGCTCGTTGATGAAACGTCACTTTGGGCTTGGCCGGTGGCTCACCTGTAATCCCAACACTTTGGGAGGCTGAAGCAGGAGAATTCACTTGAGTCCAGGAATTCAAGACTAGCCTGGGCAACATGATGAGACCTCCCCTCTACAAAAGGTAAACTAAATTAGCTGGGCGTGGTGGTACATGGCGGTAGTCCCAGCTGCTCAGGAGGAGGCTAAAGTAGGAGAATCACTTGAGCCTGGGAGGCTGAGGGTGCAATGAGTCATGATTGTGCCACTTTACTCCAGCATGAGTCACAAAGCGAGACCCTGTCTCAAAAAAAAAAAAAAAGTCATTTTGGTAAGGCTTTTGCTGGCTACCCTTTTAGACATTGCAGCACCACAAAACTCTCCTTGCTGGCTTTATTTGAGAAAGAAACAAAAAGCAGTGATTTTAGTTTATTTTGTTCCTGCTGCATTCCCCTTCGCCTACAATAATGCCTAGCACATGATAGGTGGTTGATAAATAGTTGTTGCAGGAGTTTATTATTTTAGCTGTGAAGAAGAGTATTCCTTTCCTCTGAGAAGTACACTTGAAAAAATCCTGTAACTCTAGCGTAGACTACCAGTTATTGACTTCCAACATTTACTCTGCTTTCCTTTTTCTAAAATTGATAAAGTCCAAACCTCTCTTGTTTGGATTTGAAATTACTATGTTTTTTGGCCGGGCGCGGTGGCTCACGCCTGTAATCCCAGCACTTTGGGAGGCCGAGGCGGGCGGATCACGAGGTCAGGAGATCGAGACCATCCTGGCTAACACGGTGAAACCCCGTCTCTACTAAAAATACAAAAAATTAGCCAGGCGTGGTAGCGGGCGCCTGTAGTCCCAGCTACTCGGGAGGCTGAGGCAGGAGAATGGCGTGAACCCGGGAGGCGGAGCTTGCAGTGAGCCGAGATCGCGCCACTGCACTCCAGCCTGGGCGACAGAGCGAGACTCCGTCTCAAAAAAAAAAAAAAAAAAGAAAAGAAATTACTATGTTTTTTGTTTGTTTTGTTTTGTTTTGTTTTGTTTTGTTTTGTTTGGCAACATACTACACCTGGCATAAATCCTTTCATTCTCTCTAAGGTATATGAGTTATTAATTGCTATTGACTGCAATGATTCCTAACACTCGTAGTGATATTTTGGTATGCATTTTGCTTTTAGATGACTTTATGTCATGATTTATAACTTTAAAGCCATAGCTTTTTTTCATATTCTCCAAGAAATGTTAATACCTCTTTCTTCCTTTAAGCCTAGATTGAGAGTATTGTTCCTGTTTTGATTTTGAGGGTTTTGTTCATTTTAGTATTTTTGTGTAGCTAGTGCTTAATAACTGCGTGAATTGGAGGAGTTAGGTTCCACAGAAGCACCTTGCTCTCTTACTCAAACTTGAATTTTATGTGCTTGCTATGGAAGTCATATGCTTCAGATATTTCATTTCAGGTATTTTGCGCTAGTGTCAGATCATGTTTTGAATCATGTCCTAACTTTTCTATTTGAAAGAGTCATTGTAGCACTTAACGTTGATCCTGCTGCCATTTCTTCAGGATGTAGGGAAGCGCAGTGACTCTAATCTCACTTCTTCGTATCTTAAAAGAGATAGGTGTTACAGGCTGTTATACTGTGCCCTTCATTACTTCATTAAGATATACGGAAAATAAGTGAATTCGAAGACATTAAGTCAAATACATAGGATTCAGGTTCTTATTTCTGATGTTGGAGAGGTGCTAGTCTCAGACTAGATCTATGGCCTTGGCAACAGACAGTAGACATGGGAGCTCTTAACTCCCTCCTAAATGTAACTGTTATATTTTGTTGCTATGGCAATAGAATGTGCTTAATGCTAAGATTCCATATCTATAGCTGAAGATGTATGCAGTATAAATTAATTCTTTTTCTCATATCCAAGCCAGGACTTGAATGTCAACATGCATAGTAATAGGGGCTTTGCTGAGAAAACAGATACTGCTACATGACTTAAGATACCCTGTAGGAAAAAAAGCCTGGGTTCAAAGATAAACACAACTTTACCCAAAATAGTGATAAATTAGAACCAACTTAAATGTAAAGCAAAAACTGAATTATCTGTATAGCAGAATTTGATTATTATTAAAATGTGTCCAAGGGGTAGTTAATCAAATGGAGAAATGTTCATGAGAAAGTAAGTACAAAAGAAAAGATTCCAAGTATATAGCATGATCTGGTTCTGCAATTAAAAGAAGGCTATATACATACAGGAAAGAGAAGAAGAAAATATACCAGTATGTTGACACTGATTAATTCAGGATTTGGAGATTATAATGATCTTTTTATTTTCTTCTTTATACTTTTCCATATAATTCCCAGTTTAGATAACTATCTATAATTTTATTATTTTTAAAAGAAAGAAAAAAGATTTTAGAAACAGATACAGCTGTGTGATTCTAGGCAAGTTAATTAGTGATCACAGTGATGATGGCTACATTTTACTGAGTACCTACTATTTAACAAACATTGTGTGTATTTTACACATTTTGTCACCCTTACTTCATAATGGCCAAGGAAGGGAGGCCTAATTGTCTACCTTTACATATTGGAAAAAAGACTTAAAAACTTTAAGTAGCTTGTAAGCTAGTAAGTTGTAGAGCCAGGATTCAAACCAAGATTTGTGTTCATAATTTTCTCAATATACTATAAGGTCTTTCCAAAATGATTAAACTTCCAAAATCTGTGATTTCTTATTGTAAAATGTAGGCAGGATTGTATGGGAATGAAATGACAGGAGGTACATAAACCACAGGATTAGGTTTTTACACATGTATTCTTCAAGCTTTATTATTAAATATGTTCATTTAACAACATTATCTAAGATTTAATTCTGTAATATTAAACCTGTAAGTTGCATTTCTTCAAAGAAGAGCAATGTTAATCCATTGGTTAACATTTTGTCCTGTTTTTGTGTTTACACAGTACAGTTTTACAGTCAGTTTTTGAAAGGTTGGATTTCATAAAGATAAATGATACTGTGTTAAAAGAGGTAAAGCTTATATTTCCCACTTTCCTTAAAACATGTCTTAACAAACCTGATATTTTGCTGGGATTTGAAGGGACCTCTGTTCCTTACTTGAGTTCTGAACCATGTGAGTAGCCAAAACAGTAAGCATATCCAGTTTTTTCTTCCCAGATTTGGTAATATCTCTGGGGTAGCTAAGGTCAGGAATATTATTGCAAATGGAAAAGAAGTATTACTGTCAATACCTCTCTCAAGTTTCATACTTTTGTTTAGAAGTTAGTGTAAAAAAGTTGCTGAAACACCGAAGTATGATAGATTGGGTTCTGGCTGATAGTTACCATTATAGTCATCAAAATACATACATACATACATGTATAGATATAGTTTACTTACTCTTATGTTCAGTGTTACACTGTTGCTTATGGGTATAATGAGCACACTTCCCAGAATATCCAGGACAAGTATGATTTCAAGTATTACTTAATATAGTTGGTCTCTGTTAATTATGTGTCTTAATTTGGGATTTGGAAAATATGGACGGTATTATCTGTGGGAAATATAAAGAGGTATAAAACCATTGCCCACAAGTTTACAATTTGACTGGACAAATAAAATATTCCTTAAGACAGTGAACGTGTAAAATTTTTTTCATGTGTTATATCTATTGCACAGTGTTCCATTGTATGATTAACCATCACTTATTTTATCTATCCTAGTGATGAACACCTAGAGTATTCTTCATTTTTAAGAAACAAACTTCAGGATAGTGTTTTTCGTCGTCGTTTTTTTTTTTGTTTGTTTGTTGGTTTTTTTTTTTCTGGAAGCGAAAAGGAGGGAAAGGGATTGTAGCAGAGGGAAAACCTAAGTTACATGTTTAAAAAAATAAGAAATTTTACAATTATGGGGAAAGAGGCAATGGCATTGTGGACATGAAATAAATTAATGTTAACCATAGTAACAATTCAGAGAAGAAGGAGAATATTTTCAGGAATCAATCTTTCATTTGTCAATAAAAATTTTTTTTTTTTTAAATTTTGAGACAGAGTCTTGCCCTGTCACCCAGGGTGGAGTGCAGTGGCGTGTTGTCGGCTCACCACAACCTCCGCCTCCCAGCTTTAAGCAATTCTTGTGCCTCAGCCTCCTGAGTAGGTGGGACTATAGGTGCGTGCCACCACGCTTGACTAATTTTTTTTTCTTTTTTTTTGTATTTTTAGTAAAGACAGGGTTTCTCCACATTGACCAGGCTGGTCTCGAACTCCTGGCCTCAAGTGAACTGCCTACCTTGGCCTCCCAAAGTGCTGGGATTACAGGCATAAGCCACTGTGCCCAGCCTCATTTGTCAATAAATATTTATTAAGTTTTTTAATGTGCCAAAATGCTAGGTGCTATTGTTACACCTGTGAATAAAACAATTATGGTCTCTGCCCTTAGCAAACTTATAACCTAGTAGAATAGACAAACACTAAACATATAAATACATCAAATTTATAGCAAATGATTTGAAGGGATACATAGATTCAGTGATAGAGAATAATGTGATAACAGGATTAAAGACCAATATATAGGGTGTTCAAAGAAAGTATCTCTGAGAACATGATATTTTTTATTTTATTTTAGTGACAGTCTTGTTCTGCTGCCCAGGAGAGAGTTCAGTGGTGCTATCATATCTCACTATAACGTCAAAATCCTGGGCTGAATCTATCTTCCTGCCTTCCTCCTACCCAAGTAGCTAGGACTACATGTGTGTACCACTATACCTGGCTCATTTTTTTCACATTTTGTAGAGATGGAGTCTTGCTGTGTTACCCAGGCTGGTCTTGAACTCCTGGCCTCAAGCGATCTTACCATCTCCCAAAGCACTGGAATTACAGGTATAAACTGCTACCCCTAGTGAAGGACATGATATTTGAGACAAAGATGGAAGGATGAGAAGATGTTAAAGCCTAAGAATTGAGGAGGGAGTAATGATAAGAATATTTTAGGCTGAAGGTAGTGCGTATGCAGAAGCCCTAAGGGTTAAAAGAGAAAAAAAAAGAGGAAAAAAGTTGATATATTCATGGAGCAAAAAAGGGGCCAGTGTAGCTGGAGCATACTAAGCACGATGTGGGAGGAATTTGAATACTATTCTAATGCAGCTTCAAGCCATTGAATTATGCTGTAAAGCAAAACATAACTATTGTCTGGCTGCTGTGTGGAAAATAGATTGTAGTGATGAGAGGGCAAAAGTAGAAATAGACGAATGAAGCTGTTGAAGTTGTTAGGGTAAGAGGTGAAGGTGACCTGAGCTGGGATTACCCAGGAGATGGGAAGGTTTGGTCATATTCATAGTATATTTTCAGGCTAAGAAAGGACTCAAGGATGAATTTTCTGTTATTGGCCTGAGGGAGCCGGTGACAATGTCATTTATGAGATGCATAAGATTGGAGGAAGAATAGGTTGGTGGAAAGGATCAAAAGAATGGAGGTAACCAGTTATATCTCTAGTACAAGATGTCAAGTAGGCACTGTTACAGGAGTCCGGATTTCAGAACAGAGGTCAATAGTTCAGAAGTTAGGAATCATCAGTATATGTAAGTTTTTGTAGTAGTTAAACTCCTAAAACAGAATGAGATCAACCAGGGGAAAATGTAGTTGAAGAAGTAGGTGTGGGGCTTAGGAGCAAGCTCAGAGGACCTCCAACATTTAGACACCAGATAAATTCCATCAGGAATCTGAGAACCAGGTGTCCAGTGAGGTTGGAGGAAAGACAGGAGGTCCTGGTATCTTGGTAGCTGAAACAGGGAAGTATTTCAGAAAGGAGGAGGAGAGAACATTTGTTCAGAGGGCTGCTAAGAGTTCAGATAGGATGAGAGTAGGAGAAAATATACTGGATTCTGTGATATGATCAGCGTCCAGTTAAGTGACAGAAACCACAAAGTAATTGAAAAGGGAAAGTTTAATATAAAGAATTATTTACTATAACAGGAGATTACCTACTGAGGGGAAAAGGGAACTCTGAAGAATATGTATATATATGTAGCAGATATAGGGAGCAACCATTACCACTAGGCCTGAGGCAGAGCACCCAAGGAAGGAACAAATCTGAAAGAGGCCCCCCTCTACCATCCCTGGACTGAGATTCAGAGATCACTGGGATGGCAGAGAAGTTCTCTGGGGTACTGCACTTAAAGAACTCACCTGTAGAAAACCCTCCTCTGAGGGGCCAGGGAAAACAGCTCATAGGAAGTGCTCCACCAGCGGAACTCACTGGGGGCACTGTGTACTGCCTGGAAAGCTATCTTCTAGGGTGCTGGGGGAAAAAACTGTAGACCTCTCTGGGAGTCCACTCATGGGGGTGATACATGCTTAGAAGCCATCCCCCAGGATCCCAAGAGAAGTTGCCGACAGGAAGGTATGATTCACTATTAGCATCCACACATGGCAGAAGCCTACTGAGAGAAACAGAGCAAAACCAGGAAAAGAATCCTTTCTCCTGTGGTGTCCCTCCCATATCTTCTACTGACAAAGTTTAACAGCATGACAGCCAGCAAAGGAAAGTAGTTTCCAATGCCCACCTTCATTATAGCGCAGTGGGTAATGGAGGATGAATTTTGAGTTGAGAGGCAGTGAGTTGACAGTTGGCACACATGGGATATTGCTGCTGATCTTGATAAACAGTCAGGGAGTGGTGAGAATAGAAGCCAGATTGCAGTGAGTTGAAGAGCAAATGGGAAATGATGAATGGAACAGGTATGTAAACAACTCTTTCGAGAAGAAGATTTACTGTTAGGTAGAACAGAGTTAAGGTGTAGTAGCTACGTGTGGGATATTTGTGGAGTTTTTGTTTCATTTATATTTTTTAGAATGTAAGAAACTTTTTGAATATACATACATACATAAAAACTTACAAATCAAGAATACAGCTCAATAAATATTCACAAAGTGAACACAACTATGTCATTAGCATCCAGATCTAGATATAGAGAAATATAACTAGTACCCCAGAAGCCTTCCCTCATCCATCCAGTAAAAATTATGTCTCCCAAGAGTGACTATTATCATGACTTCAGCAACACAGTTTTACCATTGTGGTTCTTCATATAAGGTGAATCATGTAGTATATGCTAGTCTGTGTCTTTTCATTCATTCTACTCCTAAATGATATATATACTCCTAAAAAATCTCCATAGAGATTTTTATTTGTCTTGTATATCTTTGTTTACACTGTGATCATGAAGATGTTCCTTCATGTTTTCTTCTGAAAGCATTATTGTTTTACCTTTCACATATACATCTGCAGTTCATCGGGAATTTGACTTTGGTGTGGGGTTTTGGGTAGAGTTCAAGATTATTTTTTCCATGTGGATATGCAGTTGACCATGCATCTATTGAGAAGACCATCGTTTAAGCCAGGAGATTTTTTAATGATAGAAAATAACAGAACATGTTTGCATATTGATAGGTGATCTAGGCCCTTTATCATTCTCTAGATTCTAGGGAAATGGTGGTATAGGAATGGGTTAAGATAAATGAGATAACATAATTTTTGGAAAGGAAGGGAAGGTTTTTGAAAAGGAAGGGACCTATTGCATAAATAGAACATACGCCTTTGCTTCTAAAGATGTGTACTTTCGTTGTGATAGGTAGAAGAGAAAAACGAGTTCAAGTACAGATTGGTTTGCAAACTTAACTATGAGGAGAGGAAAACATTCTTTCTGTGTACTTTTGTTTTGTTTATGAGCTAAAGATGGGTCCTGAGAAGATACGTCAAGAAGGAAAGGGTTTCTTTGCACATGGATATTTAGTTGTTTCAGTACCATTTGTTGAAAAACCTATTCTTTCTCCATTGAGTTAACTTTGTACCTGGAGTGAAGCCAGTTCTACTAAACTATGCTTTGACTGTGGTGAAAGGGGATTTCTCCAGAAAAATTGGATTGTTCTTAATAGAGAAGTGATGGAACCGCTGTCAGGTAAATAAAATTGGAATATAATGGAAGAAAGCATTTCTAGCCCCTTGATCTTTAAAGGCATATGATTGTATTTTTTGCAAAATCAGTGAATTAAAAACTGAAGCGATCATGTTATAAAAGGCATTATCTTCTTTTAGAATTTGTCTTTACTCCTTTTGGTGGAGGAGAGGACAGGCCCTCCACTCTGTCGCCCAGGCTGGAGTGCAGTGGCGCAATCTTGGCTCACTGCAACCTCTGCCTTCTGGGTTCAAGCAATCCTCCCACCTCAGGCTCCCGTAGCTGGGATTAGAGGCATGCACCAGCACACCTGGCTAATTTTTGTATTTTTAGTAGAGACCAGCTTTCACCATGTTGCCCAGGCTTGTCTCTAACTCCTGGACCCAAACGATCCTCCTACCTGGACCTCTCCAAGTGCTGGGATTACAGCTGTGAGCCACTACACTTGGCCTGTCTTAATTGGTGTCCTTTGACTTAATATTAACACTACCACAATGGACTAGGTATTTCCTTTCGGCTTGCATCTCATCTAGCTGTACCTTACGTTAAATTTTTGCTTAGTAAGTTTAAGGGATCTAAGGGAGAAATACCCTTCATTTTTAGAACAGCTTGTGGTAGAATGTTTGGGGAAAGCATTACTCTAAAGTATAAATTATTCATCATGAGAAGATACTTTTGCAAATGTGGCAGTAGGCCACAGTGTTTTCCAGACTCTTCTTAATGTTTGACTTTAAACAGGAAGAACATTAGAAATTATATCTTTCATTTTATAATACAATTGAAAGTATTATGCAATACCTATAGCATAGGTTCACTTTCTCCTGAAATCTCTTTTGTAATAGCATGTCTCACCCTGTTTCTTAGATTGAATCAGTGGGATAGCATTGAGGGACAGGAAAATAGTAAAATATTCCCTGATTCTAAACCAGTTTTCTTAGGTGAGGGCTATAGTTGTTCAGCAGTATAAGAGTTTGGCTATTATCAGGTAAGCCTACGATTCAGAAATAATCTTTCACTTAAATTAGAAAAAACAAGTAGAACCCAATAGAAAAATAAATGTCTTTGTATTATGTTGTGATTTGTTCTTTCAAGAGAAGGGAAGTAGACCCACTAGGAAAGTGTCTTTGTGTTACCTTGCGCTTTCATTCACATACTGATTACTCAGTAACAGCATCTGAATTTGTGAAGAATATTTAAGTATGTGATTTTTTAAGAAAGCTCTGTAAGGAAAACGTTTTTCCTGTTAACAAACATTTTATAGGGACCTGTTGCCCTGTTATAGACTAGAATTATTCTGACTTTATTCTATGTAAGCCTATGGTAACTTGATTCATTGATACCTTCCAAGGGGTTAGCAGGCATCACCTAAAATATATTGGCTACCTTGGTGTTGTATCTTCTTTCTTCCCTATAACTGAAAGTGTTCAACTATCTCTTCTATAACTATCCGTAATACAGTTTCTGGTCTTTTTTTTTTTAAAAAAAATTATACTTTAAGTTCTAGGGTACATGTGTACAGCGTGCAGGTTTGATACATAGGTATACATGTGCCATGTTGGCTTGCTGCACCCATCAATTCATCATTTACGTTAGGTATTTCTCCTAATGCTATCCCTCGCCAATCCCCCACCCCCCACCGACCCCCTGACAGGCCCCAGTGTGTGAGTTCCCCGCCCTGTGTCCAAGTGATCTCATTGTTCAATTCCCACCTATGAGTGAGAACAGTTTCTGGTCTTTTAAAAAAAATTTTTTTTGGAGATAGGGTCTCACTGTTGTCACCCAAGCTGGAGTGCAGTGGTGTCATCACAGCTTACTACAGCCTCGACTTCCTGGGCTTAAATGATCCTCCCACCACAGCCACCCGAGTAGCTGGGACTGTAGGCGCATGCCACCATGCCTGGCTAAATTTTTAATTTTTTGTAGAGACAGGATCTTGCTATGCTGCCTAGGCTGGTCTCTAACTCCTGGGCTCAAGCAATCCTCCTGCCTCAGCCTCCCAAAGTGCTGGGATTATAAGCATGAGCCACTACACCTGGCCTCCAGTCATTTTGAAGTACTCTTAACTGAATAATGAGCCAAAAAGACACTTGAGGAACTTCTGTACCATGACATAGAGAAGCTGAAACAAATAAGTTGGGGTAGGGGAGACTTGGATGATTTTCAGTAATTCAGGTAGTAGAAGAAAACTTTTATTTTTTAAATTCTCATACAGTAAAATGGACATATTTGGATATACAGTTCTATGAATTTTAACACATGTATAGATTAGGATAACCACCATCATAATCAGGATTCAGACAGTTCTGTCACCCCAAGAAAACTCCCTTGTCCTGTCCCTGTATAGTCGTACCCTCTGCCACTCGCTAGCCTTTAGCAACCACTGGTCTGTCTTCCATCGCTATAGTTTTTTTTTTTTTTTTTTTTTTTTGAGAATGTCATATCAATAGAATCATATAGTATATAGCCCTTTGAGACTTGGTTTCTTGCATTCAGCATGATACCTTTGAGATTCATCTAGGTTGTAGCATTTTCCTTGTTGGATGTGTGATTTGCAAATATTTTCTCCCAGTCTGTAGTTTTTCTTTTCATTCTGTTAATGACAGTCTCTTTTGCAGAGCACAGGTTTTTAATTTTGATAAAGTCCAATTTATCAATTTTTTTCTTTTATAGATAATGCTTTTGTTGTTATGTTAAAAATTCTCCCTAATCCCAGGTCATGAAAATTTTCTCCTGTGTTTTTTCTTCTAAAAGTTTTATAGTTTTAAGTCTTGCTTTTCAATCTATGATCCATTTTTAGTTAATTTTTGTATAAGTTGTCCTTGTATCTTAGGTGACGGCACTTTTTTTTTCCCCATGTGGATGTCTAGTAGTTCCAACAGCATTTGTTGAAAAAACTACCCTTTCTCCATTGAGTTGCTTTTGCTCCATTGTCAAAAATGAATTAACCATATTTGTATACACCTGTTTCTGAATTCTTTTCTGTTGTATGAATCTGTGTCTGTCCCTCTGCCAATAGGACCCTGTCTTAATTCTTGTGGTTTAGAGTAAGACTTAAGATCAATTAGTGTGTTTCCTTGAACCTTATTCTTCTTTTTAAAAATTTTTTAGTTATTCTAGTTCCTTTGCCTTTCCATACAAATTTTGGAATCAGCTGTATCTATAAAAATTCTTGCCAGGAGTTTGATTGTAATTGCATCAAGTCTGTAGATCAGTTTGGGGAGAATTGACACCTCTAACTATGTTGAGCCGGAAAACTTTTTTAAAAGAATATTTAATGCCTTTGTATAGATGAGACGCTAAGTCCAAGCTGCAAATATAGGATATTATAGGAAAAGGAGCAACAAGATGACAAGAAAGAGCTATAGAAATTAAAATATGATAGCAGGAATCTAGATTGAGTAGAATATTCGGAAGATAAAGTTAGGGAGATTTCCCTTAAAATAGAACAAAATATAAAGAGATTAAAGATGAGACAAAGATTGGAAAGTTAAAGGATCTAGCTAGGAGGTCCATTATCCAAATATTGGAGTTCCAAAAAAGTAGAGCAGGGAAATGAAATGGACAGGCAGGAATGATCAAAGAATTTATCCTAGAACTGAATGAAGGAGCTGGATTTCCATATTAGAAAAGTGAATTTTAAAAAGAACCACATGATTTCATGGAGATAGAAAATGGAATGGTAGTTACTAGGGGAAGGGGAAATGAAGAGCTAGTGCTTAATGGGTATGGACTTTGAGTTTTAGAAAATGAAAAAATTTTGGACTTGAGTGGTGGTGATGGTTGCACAACAATGTGCATATACTTAATGCCACTGAATTGTATGCTTAAAAATGATTAAAATGGTAAATTTTGTGTTATGTATATTTTACCTCAATTAAAAAAACAGAACCGCACCAAGGCATATCAGTGAAATTTTATAGCTATGGAGATCCATGGGAAGATAAAGAGAAGATCCGAAAATTCCACAGAGAGCAAAACTAGTGACATTTAAATGTATTGGGAATTAAGACACCTAGCAGTAATATTGTAAGCTAGATGATGATAAGATAATTACTTCAAAATTGTCAGCAACCTTGTCGAAGGAGAGAGTAGAAGAAAAGGACAAAAAAATTACCTTTAATTGTTTTCTTTCTCAGTAGGCTACTAGAGGATGTGCTCTAGCAAAATGAGGGCATAGTTCAAGAGGTAGGAAGATTTAGCCTAAGACTGTACAGCAGAACCAGATCCAGAATGAAAAGCCCTAGGATGACAGTTGTACAGCAGGCCCATAGAGTATCTGGCCCAGATTGGTGTAGGAGGGGATCTCGGAGTAGGGAGTGCAATAGGAGTTATGATAGATTATTTTGCATATGGAGAATAATGTGGATATATAATGATGAATCTGATGGAACATTTTGGAAAAAATAAGAATATGGTCGTGTGTCACTTAAAATGGGGATACATTTTGAGAAATACATCATTAGATGATTTTGTCATGTGAACATCATAGAGTATACTTATACCAACCTAGATGGTATAGCCTGCTATACACCCAGGTTATATGTAAAAGCCTATTGCTCCTAGGCTATAAACCTGTACAGCATGTTACTGTACTGAATGCTGTAGGCAGTTGTATTGTAACCAAATGGTAAGTATTTGTATATTGAAACATATCAAAACATAGAAAAATTATAGTGAAAATACAGCATCATTGGATATATATAGTACTCTATATAAGTACAGTATTTGCCACATAACATTTTGGTCAACAATGGACTGCATATATTATGGTGGCCCCCGTAAGTGCAAAAAAGATAACAGTTATCAATTCCAGGAAAGTCAAGAAAGACAATTTATGTATTAGTTAGAATGCCTTCAAATTCAAGAAATAGAAAACTTATTTGAGCATGAACAATGATAAATTTATTTTGTCACACAAAATGGCATAAACAATTAGAATGATTTATCATCTTATTCAGCTGAACTCAGATAGGATGGATCAAGGACTGGTTAATTCAGTGATTCAATGACATCATAAAGAATTAGGATTCTTTGCATATTCTTGTCTTCCACTTTCAGCTTTGTCCTTTCTGTCTCTAGACAACATCCATAAACAGAAGAAATGATTTATTACTATGAGTTTCATTTTATGATCCAGAAACCTCTCCTAGATCACCCAGTAGAGTTTCTCTGTGCCTCACGACCAAGATTGCATTGCCTGAATAGTGAGAATCATTGTTACAGAAATAACTACTAGAATCATTGATGAAGATGAAGTAAATGTAGGGAAAACAGGTGGAAGATTATAGAAGGGAAAACAGATGGAAGATGGGTTATTATAGTCTGCCAGGCAGGAGAGTATGGCAGGCCAGAACTAATACAAAGGGAGTGGAGGTTTGTAGCACTTGGAAAATGACTGCATTAAAGATTCACTACTTAACATTGGTTAATGTTTCAGACAGCTATTTTTTTTCTTTTTTTTTTTTTGAGACAGGGAATCACTCTGTCACCAAGGCTGGAGTGCAGTGACATGATCAAAACTTACTGCAGCCTTGACCTCCTGGGCTCAAGGGATCCTCCCACCTCAGCCTCCTGAGTAGCAGGTACTGCAAGTATGTGCCACCATGGCTGGCTAGTTTTTTTATTTTTTGTAGAGATGAAGTCCCACTATGTTGTCCGGGCTGGTCTTGAACCCTTGGGCTCAAGCAGTCCTCCCACCTCCGGCCTCCCAAAAGTGTTGGGATTACAGGTGTGAACCACTACCTGTGGCCTCAGACAGCTTTTTAATAGTTAAGCTTTTCTGTTTCCAGTCAAGAATTTATTTTATCTCCCTCCCCTGAACTACTGATATTATTATTTATTCCTAAAATTCAAGTACCTACAAACAATTTTTAAAGTTTGTATTGATAATATGCAAAACACTACTGGGCACTGCAGATTTGAAAAAACAAAAACAAGAGTATAGATGTAGTCCCTAACTTTAAGGAACCTAAGCTCACCTTAGAGCAGTAAGAAATTTACACAAAATATCAGTAATAAAAGGTAGTTTATGCTTAGGTCAAAATTAGTTTGTAGTAAAGAACCTAAAATTGTAAATTCCACTGTAATAAGGTATATGAGTGTGCCTTTAAAAAAATTTTACAGTGACTACTATATTGAAGGGTTTTAAGTAAGGAAATTGCATTTTAGATGCATAAGGATGTTTGCCATGTACATTTATCATACATACTTTTGTAAATCTAGTAATTTTCTTTGTGGTCATTTAAAAAAAAAAAGCAATGTTTCAGAACAGGAGCACTAGCTCAGCTGCATTAGCTGGGAGAGAGAATCTGGTCATTCTTAACTCCTTATAAGATTTTTTGGCCAAGTGTGGTGGCACATGCCTGTAATCCCAGCACTTTGGGAGGCCAAGGCGGGAAGATCACTTGACACCAAGAGTTTGAGACCAGCTTGGGCAACATGCCCAGCCTGCAAAACCCTGTCACTAAAAAAAAAATTTTTTTTAATTATCTACATGGGAGGCTGAAGCAGGAGGATAGCCCGAGCCCAGGAGGTGAAGACTGCAGTGAGCTGTGATAGCACCACTGCACTCCAGCCTGCGCAACAGAATGAGACCCTGTCTCAAAAAAAATATTTTTCAGTCTCTGCAGTTTTTAGCCACATCCCATGCCTCAAAGCTACCTATACCTCCAATTTCTGAGACTTTTTGGTGTTCTTTAACAAAAAGTAGGCTGCTTTTTTTTCTTTCTTGGTTGTAGAATTAGGTTTGACCTTTGCTTACTCAATTTAGCTTTGCTAAACTAGTTGCCTGTTGTGTATTTGTTTTCCAGTTTTCAAAATTCCAGCTTTTTTGAAATTTTTCATCAGCTCTTGTTTCCTCTCATTCTTTTTGACCTTGTAGATTTATCCTTTTTTCTTAATTTATTCTCACTTAATGGGATTTCAGGAGCATATTGACTAAGTTTTCATTTTTACATGTATACTGGGGAGTATGACATAGACATCTCTGTACTTAGATATTACTGATGTAAGTCTACTTTGAATCAAATGAACAGATGTTTAAAAAGTATTGTTCCCAATTGTTTTAATGATTTCTTCCTGTGAGTTGGGGTGGTGCTGCCCATCACCAACTCAGGACGGTATTTGAAAATACCTGGAAAAATTGTAACAATGTCTGGAAAACACTGCAGATATTTAATTGGCAGAGGTCAGGGATGATTAACATTGCGAAATGTGAGGGACGGTCCTACACAGTGAAAAATTAATTCAATCCCAAATGGCAAGAAGAAGACAGGAGGTGTATTAACCTGGAAAAACTGTGCCAGAAGGACAGGGACATAGAACTGGGGGTGATGCACCATTCTGGAATTGGGATTAAGTAGAAGTGCACAAACTAAATGGCGAGACCTCCCCCAGCTTCTTTCCTCCACTTAGCCTAAAGGAATAGACCTAAAGATTTTGACAGTTGGGGTACATAATGAAACCACCAACTCACTTTCATTGTACAGTAGCCCTTGCTGGTTGCCTAACCCCTGCTATTATAAATAATGCCAAAATAAGCATCACTGTACATGTCTCTTTGTGTACCTGTTATAGGAGTTATCCTAGGATAATATCTATTAATTTTTCAAAATTATAACCCACAATAAGTAATTTTATATCATAACCTTATATACACATACACATGCCATATGTCTTTGTGTGTGGTATATCTACATCTATATATAATAAAAAAGTTTTGCAAAACTACACTTAGTATATAGATGCACACTGATCTTTTTAGCTTGTTAAAAGTTGGTCTCATTACGTCTCATTTAGATACAGAAAATACATATATTAGGTAATACATAGAGGTGAATATATGTAAAATCAGGATTCTAGGCCCAAGGCATATTTATTTTCAACATGAACAAATACTGTAAAATTATTCTACAGAACAATTGTTCCAAGTTGTACCTCCACCAGCAATGAGTAATGACTTCAATTTGTGTTTCCAAACTCATTTACCAATTTAATAGGTAGAAGTGGCATCTGTGACAGACACAGACACTGTATATATACTGACCCCATCTTTATTTCTAAAACTTTAAAAATTCCTGTCTCCACTATGGAAACCTTAAAAGGTCGAAAGTTTATTCCCTAGGAGAGGAATCCAAGTTTCCAGATACCAATCATGGGCCAGTCTTGCAAGGAGGCCTTTGTAAGGATAGCCATCTCAAGCCTGATATGTTAACTCTTTTCTGCATGGTCCACTCCCTTGGCATTTAGCCAAGGTACCTTGACAGCTAAGCCCTTTAGAGGTCCAGAATGTGGCCAGTTAAAACAAATTTCATTGATTATAAAGGTCTATCATAGAAAGCCAGGTGGCTTCCGCCTTCAGTTTCTGCATTTTAGTTTCGTTTTTATCTGGCCTGAAGATAAATTTGGACAGCACATATCTGGTTAAGTTGAATCATCTAGTTCTTCAGGCTTTTCAGAAGTGTCCTGATAATCAGGGTACACATGAAAGGAGTGCATTTCCAGAGGACACTCATAGTACCTGATATGGTTTGGATCTGTGTCTCTACCAAATCTCTTGTTGAATTGTAATCTGTAATGTTGAAGTTGGGCCTGGTGGAAGGTGATTGGATCATGGGGGCGAATTTCTCATGAATGGTTTAGCACCATCCCCTTGCTGTGATAAAGAGTGAGTTTTTGTGAGATCTGGTTGTGTAAAAGTGTGTAGCACCTTCCCCCTTGCTCTTTCTCTTGCTCCTGCTCCCACCATGTGAAGTGTCTGCTCCTCCTTTCCCTTCCGCCATGATTGTAAGTTTCCTGAGGCCTCTCCAGAAGTGGAGCAGATGCGGTCATCATGCTTCCTGTACAGCCTGCAGAACCATGAGCCAGTTTAACCTCTTTTCTTTATAAACTTCTCAGTCTCAGGTATTTATAGCACTGTGAAAATGGACTAATACAGTACTCCTGGAAACAAAGAATTCACAATTGTTAGGATACTCCAAACAGGACATATGCAGACAGTCCTTGACTTAATGATTATTTGAATTACAGTTTTTTGACTTGGTTTACAGGGGTATTAAATGCATTTTTGACTTGTGGTTTTGATTTACAGTGGCTTTATTCAGATATAACCCCATCATAAGTCGAGGAGCATCTGTATTAGTCAGGCAGTCCCCAGTATGAACTCTTACCATTGGGTCTCCTGCCCAAGGGTTTCCAGTCCAATTAATTCAGTTTGGTATTTGGCTTCAAGAATGCCTAAATACAGTCAGTTCCAAACAGATTTGCATGTCCATGTTACGAGTTCATTTGCCTCACATCTATGGATGACAATATTTATGGATGTTCTGTGTGAAAGTGCAGGGAGTGGGCGTGGAGGCTCATACCTGTAATCCCAGCAGTTTGGGAGGCCAGTGCCAGAGGATCGCTTGAGGGCAAGAGTTCAAGACCAGCCTGGGCAACATAGGGAGACCTCTTCTCTACTAAAAATAAAAAAAAATAGGCCAGGCATGGTAGCTCACGCTTGTAATCCCAGCACTTTGGGAGGCCGAGACAGGTGGATCACCTGAGGTCAGGAGTTCGAGGCCAACCTGGCCAACATGGTAAAACCCTGTCTCTACTCAAAATACAAAAATTAGCCCAGCGTGGTGGCAGGTGTTTATAGTCCTAGCTACTCAGGAAGCTGAGGCAGGAGAATCGCTTGAACCTGGGAGGCGGAGGTTGCAGTGAGCAGAGATCGTGCCACTGCATTCCAGCCTGGGCAACAAAAGTGAAACTCTGTGTCAAAAAAAAAAAAAAAAGTTACCCAGGCATGATGATGCGTGTCTGTGGTCCTAGCTACTCAGGAGGCTAAGGTGGGAAGAGTGCTTGAGCCCAGGAGTTCAAGGTTTCAGTGAGCTATGATCACACCACTGTACTCCAGCCTGGGCTACAGAATGAGACCCTGTCTCAAAATAAATAAATAATAAAATAAAGAATTTTTTAAAAAAGGAAAAAGAAAATGCAGAAGCTGGGCCAGCCTCTGCTGTCTCGTAGTCAGGGCTGTTAGGTGTAATCATAGGCTCAGCAGTCGGTTTGAGTTCAAAGTGCTGAAGACATTTAGGAAGGCAGCATGGAGAAGTTTTCCTTCAGGAAGAGAGGAACCCTTCCAAAAACAGTTCTGAAAAACAAATCATTTCCTATGCCTCCCTAGGTGCCAGGTTTTTGTTTTATGTCTTGTTACAAAATGTGTCCCATTTAACAATCTTAACTTTATAGTTTTCCAGCTATCTCTTGTTCTCACCCAGACTTTTTATCCCAAAAGGTTGAGTGCAAGAGGGACAAAAGCATTTTCTTAGAACAATATATTTATATAATTTGACCAGAAAGACACATTATATTCAGGAATTGGTCAGGATGAACTCTGAATTTTCAAAAATTTTTGTAATGAATTTACATAACTTCCCCACTCTTTTTTTCCTAACCAATTATCTGGTGAGCAGCCTAGGAAAAAATCCCATTTTGGGGAAAGCTTCCTTTAGTAATCAAACTGTCCCACTAAGATGTGTGTGCGAGGAGAAAGGTAAGGGAAGTAGACTCAGGTTTATCAGTCTATTGTTGTAAGTTGCAATGAATCAAGAAACCCAAACACAAGGCAAAAGCAGTGAGACATCCCCTAGAGCAGTGGTCCCCAACCTTTTTGGTACTAGAGACCGCTTATGTGAAGACAGTTTTTCCACGTACAGCAGAGTGGGGATGGTGTCGGGATGAAACTGTTCCACCTCAGATCATCAGGCATAATGAGCATACAGCCTAGATCCTTTGTGTGTGCAGTTCACAATAGGGTTTGCACTCCTATGAGAATCTAATGCTGCACTGATCTGACATGAGGCAGAACTCAGGGGGTAATGTTCACTTGCCCGCTGCTCACCTCGTGCTGTGTGGCCTGGTTCCTAACAGGCCATGGACAGGTACCAGGCTACAACCTGGGGTTTGGGGACCCCTGCCCTAAAGGGAGTCCAGAATCCAGTCTGTCAGGAATAGGTGTGGAGGGATCATACTTCTTGTGATGTGCGCCAACTTGTAGCTTTTGGCAGGAATCACAAATTAAGAATGCAATTAGCCACTTAATCAGAAATATAGAGTCGATCAGCAGCTCAATTTTAGATTGTCCCATCAGAGAATAAGTCCTTTCCTGTGGGCATTTGGATGTGACCCAGACAATCCAGCTGGCATCTACTGATGTTTTTCATAGTTTAGGGCCCACAGAGGGGTGTCCTAAATTTGCAGCAGTCCCAGAGTCACAGTTCTATTCATTGAGCCTGTTCCTGCTTTTAGTTCAGCAGAGCTCATGCTGAGAGGCTGAAACAGCCCATATCAGACAGCATGAGGTTTTAGCTAATAGGCCCAGGTAATTAGGACCTGTGAATTTAACATTCCCAAAAAGCTTGCAGTTAGTCTTTGCAGCAAGAAAGCTGAGACTCTGTAAAACCAGACAGCTGTGTTCCATGTCCAAGTGACAAGGCTTTTTCTTAAGCCTTTTTTATCCTGGCAACCTTAGAGTCCAAATTGACCCACTCAAAAAACAAACAAACAAGCACACACACACACATACACACACACATCAGGGTGAAAAATTGTCAGCCTCTACGGGTCAGAATCTGATTTTACAAGAGCTCATTAGTAAATAAAAACTGGTTTTTAAAACTAAATGTGTATCTACATCTGGAAATTGCTTCTCTTTAACTGCAGACATTCTAGTAGGCAAAAATCATCAGCTATGGAGACTTATTCTGTTTCTGATATTCAGAGTGTTCTGCTCACCAGTAGCAGAAAGCAAGGGAGTTTTGTCCCATTAACTGTTCTTCTTTTCAGCTTTCCTGATTGGGATGATCCCTCTAGCATTTATGAAATTACAAGCATATAACATTTTACATCACTTTCATCATACATCCAGATGCAATGCCCACAAAATACAAAATGATTCTGTGAAAATTTCCTTTTTCCTTATAATAATTACATGTTTATTTAAACTCCTAGCAGTAAATTTCTCATTTATAGATTCATATTACAGTGGTGGAGGTGGGAGGATTTGTGTAGATCTTGGATGGAAACGCAAGGGTGATGGGGTTGGTGTAGCAGCAGCTAGGCTTAAGAAACGTTTGGAGGGCACCCCCCCCCCCTTTTTTTCCTCTTGAGTTTTAAGCTTTACTCCAGCCTTGGGAGTTGATTTAACCTTTATCCCTGGCACTTGGAGGAGAAAACAGTGTAAGCTTTTAACATTTTTTGCCCACTCAGTGCTCACTTTTAGTAATATTTGGACTCTTTCTCCTCCTATCTCAGGAAAGAACAAAAACAAAAGACATCACCTTGGATGTATCCCCCAACCCCCAACTTTAGCCAAAATTGCCAAAGCAGCCAAGGGATCAGCAGGTGAACTCTCCCAGCATTGGATCTATCATTCTCAAATCTCGCTGACAACTTTTATCTCTCATAACAAAAAGCAGCTTACCTACTGTTTCATATTATGAATAATTCCATAGCTGCCCAGGCATCAAAGTTTGTGATACTCTACCTATTCATCCTTTCTTTTCCCAAACAGTGCATTTGCCATATTTTAGTGAGATGGTCTGGTAAATCCCACTTCTGACACCACTTTTTTCAGGTGTCCTCAAGACCCTGCCAGGTTCAGTGATTCCCTTAGAGAACTCACAGGACTCAGCGTGTAGTTTAAAGCTAGACTTACAGGAAAAGGATTCGAAGCAAAATCAGCAAAGGGAAAGGGTTCATGGAGTGAAGCCCAGAGGAAGCCAAGCACAAGCTTCCAAGAGTCTTCTTCCCATGGAATCATACAATACTTATGTAATTTACATAATTTATCCAGTGTTGAATTATGACAATGTGTATGAAATGTAATCTGCCAAAGAAGTTCCTTAGAGACTCGGTGTCCAAGGTTTTGATTGACAGCTGGTCACATAGGTACCTTCTAACTAGCATGTACCAATATTCCAGACTTTCTGAAGAAAAGCAGGTGATTAGCATATACTGCATTATTTATACAAACAATTTGGGCACTTTGAAGGACTCCTATCAGTTAGGGTGGTGGGAACCCTCCTGAAATCCAAGTTCCCAGACACCAGCCATGGATCAACCTTGCAAGAGGCTTTTCTAAGGATAGCCATCTGAAGCCTGCTATGTTAACTCTTTTCCATATAATAAAGTAGAATGTCCTCAGACAAATGGGGCTGAAATTGTAATATTGAATAAACTTAGTTTAACTTAATAAATTCATTTAGGTTCAGCAGGACAATGGAGAAAAAAGGAGAGTTCCTAGGAGTGAAATAGTTTTGTACTCTGACACAATATAATACCTCTAGATTTTCCCTTGTAGTAATAATAATGGGTAATAAACAGTACCTAATGGTGGAGGACACAGCAAAATTAGGAAGACTCAATGACTTTGAAACAGTGGGTGGTGGAGCGAGTTCTTTTCCAGTGAATATAATCTAAACAGTTTTGTACAGCAGCAATTTGTAGTTGTTCTTTGTAGTTAGTTTGAGAAAGGGAATTGTTGTCTTTTAATATTATTTTGTAAACTTGTACTAATTTTATATGTACATAATTATTAAAGATATATTAGAGAGAAATCAGTTCCCCAAAGTGTAAACATAGAATTCACTTTTTAAAAAAATTTCAAGCATTTAACACTGCTTAAAAGCAGTAAAAATTATTTCAAAAGATATTTGACTATAGATTTCTAAACTTCGATACATAGTGTGTAATTTTTATTTTTTCTTTAATAGAAAATATGATTGATTTAGGTTTATGGGGCCCCAGTTGAGGCTAAAAGTTCACCTTTTGGGGCATAAGTAATTTTTTTTTCTTTCTCTCTTTTTTGAGACAGGGTCTCTGTCACCCAGACTGGAGTTGAGTGGCGCCATCTCGGTGCACCACACCCTCCGCTCCCCAGGCTCAAGTGATCCTCTCACCTCAGCCTCCCAAGTAGCTGGCATTACAGGCACGTGCCACCATGCTTGGCTATTTTTTTGTATTTTTAGTAGCGACAGGGTTTCACCCTGTTGCCCAGGCTGGTCTTGCCAAGCAATCCACCTACCTCTGCCTCCCAAAGTGCTGAGATAACAGGCATGAGCCACCACGCCTGGCCAGCATAAGTACTTTTTGTGTCTGTCTTAGATGCATCAGCTTTGAGACCTTGGCTTCCTAATTCCAAGATAAACCCTTCCAGTTTAACATGTTCACTTATATTTTTGCATTAAGGACAATACATTATTCAAAAATTATGAAAGCCAACACTGAATAGAGATGCCGAAGTTACTAAAATTACACTATTTGCCAACAGCACCACAGTGTAAGAGCTTGAAATGTTTACTTTTCAGTCACTGTATAAAATCCTGAATTCAAAGTTTGAAAAATAGTTGTGAAGGGGAAGTTAAAGTATAACACAACATTTTGAGTAGTTGAAAAGTCAAATGTTTAAAAGCTGAATACTGCCTATGAAAATTTTCAGCTATCTGAAAATTTACTTATTTAGAGAGCTGTGATCATTATAGGTAATTGTGTTTTCATGGGAAATAAAAAAGTAAGAGTCATGTTTCATACAGTAGTTGTATTCCAAGTTTCGACAGTTTTCTGCTTGTAGACCTCATGCTAGCTATTTTCAGTGTTCATTTGCCAGTTTGTCAAAAAGAGGCAGGCTTTTGAATATAGCTTTTGCAGCTATTTTCATTTCTTCTCTAACTACAGTATCATTTTTTACACTGTGAAAGCTATGTAGATCTAAAAGATATCTAAGAGGAGCCAGAATATATTGTATTATCTCCTTGCTTACTGAGAAACCTCAGACAGCCAAACTGCCATAGATATTTTTATTACTGTCATGATAATACTTTTGTGTTTATGTAGCCATTTTATTTGGAATGCTGCCATGTTAAGATACTGGAATAACAGAAAAGTGAATTTTAATTCTGGAATTTATATTATAGGGAAGTTGCTTTCTCGGTTAAAATATTTTTCTCAGCTCAGGTAATTTTCGCTACCCTCTAATACTTGGAAGTTTTCCTGCAAACTGGGTATTCATGAACTTCTTTCAGAGTAAAGCCACATTGGACTTCAACTTAATATGCAGTTTGGTAAGCTAGGCCCCAAATCTCCTAAATCAGACTTCATTTTTAGCAACATTTCAGACTAAGACCTCTTTGCTCCCTGCCAAAGGTGTGTGTGTTTTGCACATACTTCCAGTATAAGGTCTGTCTCCTGCTCCTGGTTTTGTACTTAGGAATTCTGTGTCCCCTTCAGTTAGTACAGTCATGTGCCACATAACAATATTTTGATCTACCACAATGGTCCCATAAGATTATAAATGGAACTGAAAAAATGCCTATCGCCTAGTGACCTCGTAACATCATTGTGCAGTTATTTTATTTTTTAAATAAATTTAATGTGGCCTAAGTGTACAGTGTTTATATTTTATTTTTATTTCATTTTATTTTGAGACTGGGTCTCGCTCTGTTTCCCAGGCTGGAGTGCAGTGGCACAATCTCGGCTCACTGCAACCTCCGTCTCCCTGGCTCAAGTCATCCTCCTGCCTCTGCTTCCTGAGTAGCTGAGACTATAGGCATGTGCCACCAGGCACAGCTAATATTTGTATTTTTAGTAGGGACGGGGTTTCATCATGTTGGCCAGGCTGGTCTCCATCTCCTGACCTCGTGATCTGCCTGCCTCGGCCTCCCAAAGTGCTGGGATTACAGACATGAGCCACTGCACCCGGCCACTTTCCTTATTCTTTACTTTAGATGAATACAGGTTAACATTTCAATATAATATTTGTGACATTTAAACTGTACCTTAAGTTATGTTCATTAATGTTTGCACTCAAGCAGAGTTTTTTTGTTTATAACAACGCACAGAATACCTTAGATTTTAACAATCTGTTTTAGTAATAGGATGAAGATAATGAGGCATGTACTGGGGAGTCAGGGCACATAAGGAACAGAGGCTACAGTGTATTACCTATGGGGAATGTAAAATTTCCTAGTAGACTCTGCCCTGATTGCCGTTACATTTCTAAAGGCCTTCTTTATTGTCAGTTGGTCAATCAGATTCAGCCTTTTTATCTCAAGTCCATTTTCTGAGTGAACTACACCAGTTTCATCTTACTGTAATACTTTCTAATGCTTTTATTGTTATTGTTTGTTTCCTAAATCTTTATGGACTTAAAAACTAGTTTGCCAGTGTTTGACATCTCAGTTCTTAAAAGAATAAAAGGGGGAAATTAACATTAAGTCATTTTAATTTTTAAAAATTCATATTTTCTTACCATTTTCTTTTCTTTTTTCATTTGTTCCTTCTTTTACCTTTCTTCCTTCATTCATTCATTTGTTCCTTCTTTCTTTCTTTTCTTTTTTCACATAGAGAAGTACATAATGTATTGTCCTAAATGGAACTTGTGATTTACTTATGGCCCAGCTTAATAATTTGTACGTGATTGCGTAGAGATTAGATGTTTGGTACCCAAAATAGTAGTGAATAGCATTGATTTTTCTTGGAATGGCCTTTCTATTCATTTTCCAGTGAACAACTGGTCCTTCAAGGGTTTGTGAATTTAAGACATTGTTTTAATTTTATTCAATGACATTTTATAGCCAAATTTAGGATAAGCTTTTTAGGTATCTAGCGTAGAAGGTAATTATTTACTTAGAACAACCCGTGAATGTTTGGAGGTTTTATGAGTGGAGGTTTTATGGTTAAATCTTGGAGTAGAGGCTAGGTAGATTTTTTTATTTTTTTGAGACAGAGCCTTGCTCTGTTGCCCAGGCTGGAGTGCAGTGGCACTATCTCGGCTCACTGCAACCTCTGCCTTCCGGGTTCAAGCGATTTCCCGCTAATTTTTGTATTTTTAGTAGATGGGGTTTCACCATGTTGGCCAGGCTGATCTCGAACTCCTGACCTCAAGTGATCTACCCACCTTGGCCTCCCAAAGTGCTAGGATTACAGACGTGAGCCACTGTGTCCAGCCTAGGCTGGGAAGATTTAAACGTAGTTCTTTCTAGTCCTATGATTTTTTAAATTCACACAAATTTTATACTATAAACATTTTTCATATAGAAAAGTATAAGGCATGTTTTTATATTGGTGGACGTTTTAGTCTTAAATGGAAGATAAGTTATGTTAGATAATTTCTTACAAATTGTGAAACTCTATGTGCACTATCAAATTTAATCTTTACAATAGCCTTTTAAAAGAATATTATTTTCTAGATGAGAAATCCTCAGTTGTCATTAAAAGACTTGCCAAGTTCTAGACTAGCTCCATCTTAAATGCTCTTTCAACTCACTAAACTATATTGCATTAATTATTCTGTCATAGGAAACAAGATCTATACATAACACTGAATTACATTGGCCAAGTTCAGAGTAGACAAAATAATAGATGAGCTATCATTTCAGAAATAGGAAATATCACTAAAAACTATGATGAACTAAAATTAAGTTGAGAATGTTAAAGCTGAAGCCAGACTCTTAGGGTAGGAATCAAAGGGTTCAGCCCTACCTAGCTATACAGTTTTACTTCTGCTTATTCCCTGTGCAGATCCCCAGCTTCAAGCAAACTCATTGTGCTTAAAAACACTTTGATGATTTAGCCTTAGTTATGCAATTCCTAAGTTTGCCTTTATCCTGTCACCTATAGGAAACAATTGGAGGTTTTATAGAAGGTAATTTAATGACTACTACTACCCCTTCACCTATAACTTAAATATGGTCAGATCTTGAACCCTGGTATCCCTGAAGCTGACTGTAATACCCCATGCCCTAATAGAGGCCATTCTCCTTATTTTTCTCCAAATGAGATATTTTAATGTTGGACCTGATTACCAGCATGTGTACCTTTTAGTAGAAGGTATGCATATTGAACCTAGATTCCCCCAGCTGTTTTAAACCTTTCCCCCACTTCCTTTGTCTCTTCTCACCATCAGGGAAATCTACTGTAGAGGGACCAGTGGACCTTGTCATTTACATGTGGCCCAGCTTAATAATTTGAGTTACGAGATTGCATAGAGGTTAGATGTTTGGTGCCAAAAATCATAGTAAATAGCATTGATTTTTCTTGGTGTGGCCTTTCTATTTATTTTCTAGAGGACAACTGGTCCTTCAAGGGTTTGTGAATTTAGGATATTATCCGTATTTTTTTTTTTTTTTTTGAGACGGAGTTTCGCTTTTGTTGCCCAGGCTGGAGTGCAGTGGCACGGTCGCAGCTCACTGCAACTTCTGCCTCCTGGGTTTAATCGATTCTCCTGCCTCAGCCTCCCAAGTAGGTGGGATTACAGGCATGCACCACCATGCCCAGCTAATTTTGTATTTTTAGTAGAGATGGGGTTTCACCATGTTGGTCAGGCTGGTCTCGAACTGACCTCAGGTGATCTGCCTGCCTCAGCCTCCCAAAGTGCTGGGATTACAGGCGTGAGCCACCACGCCTGGCTTATTATCCTTATTTTATTCCATTTGTTGCTTTATTTTATTGGGTGATTAATAACCCATACTGCTATGTGTACATCTTCAAGGGTTTCTTTGAGAAAATACTATTTAGAACATATCCAGAATCCAGACAACTTCTCAACACCTCTGTTGCTACAGTCCTGGTACAAGAACCTATCAGCTGTTGCCTGATTAACCCTAGTAACCTGCAAATTGGTCTTCCTGTTTCTATTCATGCCTTCCTACAGTCTCTTCCCAAACACAGGAGCTAGAATTTTTTTCGCCTTTTTATTTTTAAGTAATTTTAGACTTATGGAAAGGTTGCAAAAATAGTACAGAGAGTTTCTGTATGCCTTTCAACCTAATGTTAACACCTTGCATAACCATAGTTATCAAAAGTAAGAAATTAACATTGGTACAGTACTACTAACTAAACTATTTACTGTGTTTAGATTTCACCAGTTTTCCATTAATGTCATTTTATCCATTTCAGAATCCAGTCTAGGGCCCTATATGGCATTTAGTTTTCATTCTCCTTAGTCTCCTTTAAACTGCAAACAGTTGTGCTGTCTTTTCTTGTTTTGATGGCCTTGACACTTTTGAAGAGTACTAGCCAGTTATTTGTAGAACATCTCTCAACTTGAGTTTCTGTGATATTTTCTCATATTATGTTGATATAAATTTTTTCACAAGAGTACTACAGAACTTATGTGCCTTTTTTAGTGCATCAGGTTGGGGTACAGGATGTCAGTAGGTTACAGGTGGTGTTTCCTGGTCAGAGTATTAATCTCCTGTGCTTCTCCACTGTGAATTACTGTTTTTTACATTCTAATTATGAAATATCTTGGGGGAGATGCTTTGCGTCCATGCAAATATCATGTTTCTTCTCAAACTTCTGTCCACAAATTTTAAAATTCATCTATCTAGTGCAGTAAGGCAAGAAAAATAAATTGAAGACTTGCAAATATAAAAGGAAAAAAAAAGGCCAGGCGTGGTGGCTCATGCCTGTAATCCCAGCACTTTGGGAGGCCAGGGTGGGCAGATCATGAGGTCAAGAGATCGAGACCATCCTGGCTAACATGGTGAAACCCCATCTCTACTAAAAATACAAAAAAATTAGCCAGGCATGGCGGCGTGCGCCTGTAGTCCCAGCTACTTGGGAGGCTGAGGCAGGAGAATGGCCTGAACCTGGGAGGTGGAGCTTGCAGTGAGCTGAGATTGCACCACTGCACTCCAGCCTGGGCGACAGAGCAAGACTCCGTCTCAAAAAAAAAAAAAAAAAAAAAACTGCCACCATTCATGGATAATACAAATCTACTTTAGACAATCCCAAAAAATCCATGAAAAAAAAACGAAATCTAGAACTAATAAGTGAATTTATCACATTTGCAGAATACAGGGCCAATATACAAATTCAATTGTATTTCTATATTCTAGATATGAACACTTGGCATTTGACATTTTCTAAAGCACCATTCATAATAGCATCCCCAAAAAATAGGTACTTAGGTATAAATCTGACAAATACGTGCACCATTTGTATGATGCAAACTACAAAACTCTCATTGAAAATCAATTACAGAAGACATAAATAGAAATACCATGTTCATGGATTAGGAGACTTAATATTGTTAAAATGTTTGTTCTCCCAGTAATCAAGACAATATAGTATTGCTAAAAAGAGAGACACACAGAAAAATAGAACACAGTCAATTGGCTTTTTACAAAGATTCAAAGGGAACTCAATGGAGAAAGGACAATCTTTTCAACAAATGGTGCTGGAACTATTGGATGTCTATATGCAAAACACCTTATATACAAATTTGCTCAAAGTGAAATATTTGCAAATTACATTTCTAACAAAGGACTTTTTATAGCATCTATATGGATCTCAAATTCAATAATATTTCATCTTAAAAATGGGCGAAAGATTTATTTAAACAGACACTTCACAAATCAAGATGTATGCATGGCAAATAAGCATGAAAGCATGTTCGACATCATTCATCATTAGGGAAATGAAAATGAAAACCGTTGTACAATACTACTACACATCCATTATAATGGCTACCAAAAAAGAAAAAAAAAAATCCTACTAACTAGAAACTGACAATTCCAATTGCTGACCATGGTAACTCTGAATGCTCTGAATCCTGGTACATTTGCTCTGAAAACCAATTTGGTGGTTTCTTATAAAGTTAAACATATGACTTAGTACATATCCCAGCAGTTCCACTCTTGGATATTTACTCAAGAGAAATTAAAACTTAAGTTCATTTAAAGCCTATATATGAATGTTATGGCAGCCTTAATAATAATTGCCCCAGCTGGAAACAACCAAGTTGTCCTTCAATAAGTGAATGATTAAACAAGTAGTGGTATACCCATACAGTGGAATACTATTCAGTAATAATAAGGGTTGAACTATTGATTTATGTATCAACATGGATAAATCTTAGTGCATTTTGCTTAAAATGTTAAGCAAGAGCTAAGAAAGATCAAGCTTAAAAACCTGCACACAGAATAAATCAAAGCCTTACAGTGTTCATCTGTGTATCCCCACTGAAATATAAACTCCATAAATGTAGTGATTTTTATCCTTTTGTTCATTTGTATTTTTTGACTGAAGAAAGTAGATATTAATACTGCTGGTTTACAGTTGAGGAAACATCTCAAAGAGGTTAAGTTACCTGATAAACTAGATAACAAGCTGACTTCCACCACACTGCTCCTCACCATCACATTTCTGGCCCCTACTTTTGGCTTAGCATAGTTTCAAAATTAGTCCGTGGTTCTAAACTCTGACATGCATTATAATCAACTGGGAAGCTTTTAAATTTCCCACTCTGGCCTCGTTCCCCTTAAGACCAGTTGAAATCATCTCCTCAGGTGATTCTGATGCACAGGGACAAAATTACCATTGGTCAATAATGCATGCAATAATGCATGTTGACTGGGGGAATGAACAGGTTGAGAGCTTAGTATTTTATTTGCCCACATGCTTTTTGTCCACTGACTTTTCTTTTTTCTGCTGCCTTGTTTTCTTTCTTTACCTTATCCTTTGAAAGTTAAGTCTGGCTCTATCACCCAGGCTGGAGTTGGGTAGCACTATCTCGGCTCACTGCAACTTCCACCTCCTGGGCTCAAGCCATTCTTCCACCTCAGCCTCTCAAGTAGCTGGGACTACAGAGGCACACCACCACACCTGGCTAATTTTTGTATTTTTTGTAGAGACAGAGTTTTGCCATGTTGGCCAGGCTGGTCTTGAACTCCTGGGCTCAAGCGATCCTCCTGCCTCAGCCTCCCAAAGTTCTGGAATTACAGGCGTAAGCCACTGTGCCCAGCCCATCCTCTCCTTTTCTTGAAGTATTATTACAGTAACCACTAGAGCATTTCTTTGGAATTTGAGCTTTCTGGAATCTTAGAAACTCATCTGTTTGATTTCAACCTGGAGTGGGATGGGGTTGTGTTGGGACCTGCTGCCTGAATGAACTTCCTGCCTGTTTCTCTACTGGCTAAAGCATTTAGTTGTAGATTTAAGGTTGTTGTTATCAGTAATGCAGATAATTGCAGAAGACTAAATTGAGTATATGTATGAAAGTGTGTGTGTGTGTGTGTGTGTGTGTGTGTGTGTATTGGGACCTGCTGCCTGAATGAACTTTCTGCTTGTTTCTCTACTGGCTACAGAGTTTAGTTGTAGATTTAAGGTTGTTATTATCAATAGTGCAGATAACTGCAGAAGACTAAATTGAGTATGAGTGTGTGTGTGTGTGACCTATATCCAGTTAAAATGAAGAATGGGAATCAGTTATATACTTTTATATGGTTACTATTTTTACTAAAAATACTTTTATGGGAACAGTTGAATTAGGATTTGGTTATTTATTTGTGAAGAACTTCATCTTCTGTAAAAGATTTCTGGGAGTAGTTTGTTAATTTAAGTACCGTTGAGTTTTTGTTACAGATTATTAACCTATCAATGGTGCAGTTGGGAGACAGAGATTTGAAGCTAGAATTATACACTTATTTGTGGGAGTTGAAAGTTAAAATAATTGAAGCCATGGAGATAGAAAGTAGAAGAATGGTTACCAGAGGCTGGGAAGGGTTGTTGTGGGTTGAAGGGGAACTGGGGATGGTTGATGGGTAGAAAAAAATAGAAAGAATGACTAAGATCTTGCTATCACAGTAGAGTGATTATAGAATTTATTGTACATTTTAAAATAACTAGAAGAATATAATTGGGCTGGGTGCAGTGGCTCGCACCTGTAATGTCAGCACTTTGGAAGGCCGAGGTGGGCAGATCACCTGAAGTCAGGAGTTCGAGACCAGCCTGGCCAAAATGGCGAAACCCCGTCTCTACTAAAAATACAAAAATTAGAAGGTTGTGGTGGCGTATGCCTGTAGTTCCAGCTACTCGGGAGTCTGAGGCATGAGAATCGGTTGAACTTGGGAGGCGGAGGTTGCAGTGAGCTGAGATCATATTGCTCCACTCCAATTTGGGCAACAGAGCGAGATCCCGTCTCAAAAAAAAAAAAAAAGAGTATAATTGGTTTGTTTGTAACACAAGGACAAATGCTTGAGGTGGTGGATACCCCATTTACCCTGGTGTGATTATTATGCATTGCATGCCTGTTTCAAAATATCTCATGTACTCCCTAAATATATACACCTACTATGTATCCACAAAAGTAAAAATTTTAAAAAAGAAAGAGTTATAAAGGCATTCACAATTAAAAGTTAATCAGAAATTAAGTAAAGCTTTCTGGAGTCCATCAACAGGCTACATTTTTCTTTTTCTTTTTTTTTTTTTTTTTTTTTGAGACAGAGTCTTACACTGTGGCCTGGGCCTGGGCTGGAGCGCAGTGGCGTGATCTCAGCTCGCTGCAAGCTCCACCTCCCAGGTTCAACCAATTCTCCTGCCGCAGCCGCCTGATTAGCTGGTATTACAGGCACCCGCCACCACGCCCGGCTAATTTTTTGTATTTTTAGTAGAGACGGGGTTTCACTATTTGGCCAGGCTGGTCTTGAACGCCTGACCTCATGATCTACCTGCCTCAGGCTCCCAAAGTTCTGGGATTACAGGCGTGAGCTACCACACCCGGCCCAGGGTACATTTTTCTTCTTCTCATTAAATACTTATTAAGTGCTGTGCTTTACTACTCAAAGATGATGAAACCTTGCCCAGGTTTTCCTGTAAAGAATTAGAAGCCCAAAATAAGGAATTCTTTTCGCCTGTTTGGTACTCCAGTACTTGCCTCATGAAGCTCTATACATAGACATATTTTGGAGTTCCAGAAATATTACTTAAGGTTTTGATTCAAACAGAGGGAACAGTCACCTCAGGCAATAATAGCTGTGGCTAGGGAAAAGTAAAAGGATACATGTGGCAAATTTCTAGGCAAGGTTTGTGAAGATAAATCTGAGGGGAATTGAGCTGTGACCGTTTAGATGATGCATTTCTTAGTGACTTTCTGGCTCATTGATCAAAATTTTAAAATGAAACAGATATGAAAATAACTGAAAGCCACAAAATGACTTCTCAATGCCATTATCCTTTTCAACAGAGTAACAGTAATATTTAATGCACATTTAGAGTATTATAGATTTTTTTTAAAAACTTGTTGCTTTAAATGAGTACTCCATGATAACATTACTTTCTTAGATATTTCTTTTTTTTACTTCTTAGATACAAATTATTTTTCTTATAGAATATTTCACTAAAGTAGTAATATAAATCTCAGAAAATGTGCTATTTATTAATCTAATCCAGAACTTTGGAAATGTTTATAATTTGTGTTTTATTCTATCAAGGACCAAAACAACTGAAAGTTTCCCAATAGTAGCTGTAGTATATTGTGTATAGTATGGGAGAGAAGGATTTGCTCCTCTTATTGGATGAAACAATAAAAGTATAATATTTTAGGCTAAAGGTTTAGCAACCCTCTGAAAAATTAAATAAAAACTTAACTATGTCATATGATCCAATTAATATATACATGTTTATGTTGTGTATATGCATACATATTTTATACACACAAACACACACATACACCTTTAAATAGGGTGGTTATGTATCAAAATGCTACCAGTGGTTTTCTTGCAGTAAACCGTGAGGTAAACCATGAGCTTTTAAATTCTTTCTCTTTGTTCATATATTCAAAAAGCTCTACTGTATGTATGTATTTGCATATTTAAAATTAAAAAAATCAATAATAACGCTTAAAAAACCCAAATGGTGACCTCATTACATATAGTAGTGGGCCAGCAAATGTGCTGCTATAGTAAGTAGGTAGTTAATGCCTACCTCCAGAATAGGCTTGGCAGACATCTTACTCTGATACTTAGCTGCAGGGCACCAGAAGCCTTTTATACAGTGGTGTCTGCACATTGAAAATCACATAAGGAGCTTAAATACCCGTGCCTGGGTGCTTCCCCTAGAGACTCTGATTTTTGTTATGAGATGTAGTTTGGTCAGTAGAACTCTGAAGTTCCCCAGGTTATTATACAGCCAAGGTTGAGAACTACCCTACACAAAGCCTATGTCGAACACTGTGCATATTATTTTCACCTGTGTTTGTTGTTGTTATTGTTGTTGTTTGTTTTGAGATGAGATCTGGCTCTGTTGCCCAAACTGGTTTCAAACTCCTGGGTTCAAGTGATCCTCCTGCCTCACCCTCCCGAATAACTGGTATTATAGGCATGTGCCACCACACCCTTCACCTGTTTTTTAAAGCTATGTTTTAGTGTCCAGCCTCCCACTGAATTAATAGAGTAACATGAAAGACTGTTGTATTCTCTGCCTCTAAGTTTTCCTCCCTCTATTCTATCTTCTACATTGTCACAATAATTTTCTAAAGCATGAAATAATTATATCATTGCCCTGCATAAAAGCCTTTAATTATCTGTTCTTTTCAGGTTAAAGTGTAAGTTCCTTATCTGGTCCCAACCTATTTTTTCTTTTATCTCTTGTTAATCTAATGCTAGAGACTCTGAACTCTATTCATACTTAACTGTTCCTTGTGTAGGCCTTTTTTTCATACCTGCCTTTGCATATGCTGTTTTCTTTGTCACTAATTTTCATCATAGCTCAAGAATAGATCCAGAAACAACGTTTATTGGAATAGAATGAAACTAGCATTTATTGGACTCATTAACTAAGGACTGCAGTAGGTACTTTAAGTAACTCTTATAATCCTCACAGCCATACCTAAGAAATGGTCATTTTCCATGCTGTACAGATGGGAATCTGAGGCTTTTAGGGGATGAATAACTTGCTTAAAATTACATAACTAGTTGTAGGCAAATACGGTATTTTGAACTTCATGTCCAGTGTTTGTTTCTATGACCTTCCCCCACCCACTTCACATTGCTTCAGTAGTAAATAAATTAGCAATCACATTGCCCATGTGATGATTATCATAACCTCTTTCCAGACATAGTATGCATAAACATTTGATGTTTTCAGACTTAAATTCTGTATAGCAGAAAGAAATAAATTTAATGGTCTTAAATGGTAGAATAATCACTGTATTGTTCTGTGTATTATCAGTTTTAGTACTTTTCTGTGATAATCTAAGTATCATTGAATTGTGTATTCCTGTATGTTTACATTTTAAGTCTTTTCTGTGATGTCCTCATAAAGTACTGAGCAGTTTCACTTTTCCTTTACTGCATTTTAACGCCTCTTCTGCAGTTCTTGTTTGGGCAAAATTTCCTACATTTTTCACTATCCCACAAATTGGCTGAGTAAGATTTATACATAATTTATACAGAAATTTAAGTGTTTTCAACCATAAAATTCAGTCAAGCTCATTTTCTGCCATGTGAAGAGGAAAATTGAAAAGTTTTATATATAGATAATTTTTGTAATCCGAAGGACTGCCTGTGAAACCTTAACAGTCTCTGTGTGGGAAAGTGTTAAAGTTTAACAATAAGTTAATTTGGACAGTGTTAAAAATTTGAGATTTTTTTGGCTGTTAAGATAAATTTGGTAAAATGTAATATAGTTGGTTCCCTTATCGATGATTCCCAGATTTTTTTTAGTGTTCCTAATTGTGTTATTGTTTCTTTTGTGATTATTGTTTTACAATCTAATTTGAATAACTTTTCCTTCATTAGAATGTGAAAGATGTTGCAGAAGTGTTCCAGAAGTGGCTGAAGATAGAAGGAAAAAAGTGCCACTGCCTATCAGAAAAAACAAAACAAAACATGGGAAATACAACCACCAAATTCCGTAAAGCACTCATCAATGGTGATGAAAACCTGGCCTGCCAAATATATGAAAACAATCCTCAGCTAAAAGAATCTCTTGATCCAAATACATCTTATGGGGAGCCCTACCAGCACAATACTCCATTACATTATGCTGCTAGACATGGAATGAATAAAATATTAGGGTAAGTATTACTATAAACTAATTGGTATTAGGGTATTACCGTAAACTAATTGGTAACAAAGTGGTGAAAAAAAAGGAACTATGATTTTTGAAAATACGGACATATACAGACATGATATATATACAAACATGTACATGTAATATGGTTTTATAGTGAATTAAACTTTCTAAAACCAAATATACCTAAATATTTGATATCATTTTCTTTATTATGATTTAGTCAAATTTTCTTTATTATATCTGAATTAGTCCAAAGCTTTTAATGGTGAGGTTGGTTCATGTGTTCTTGTTGCTATAAATATATTTTGATCCTCATTATGTTTCATAGTATGAATTCTTGATAATAATGTATTTAATTTACAACATTTCAATTCTAGAACAGTACTTGTCAGCTGTCAAAAAAATGCAGGGAATGGTGCCAAAGGCAAAGTTCCAAACTCTGATTAGCTATTTTTAGTTAAAAAATGGGTGCATTTGCCTTTTCTAGTCATGATCAGTTTGAATTTCCTTTCTTTTAATGGGATTCAGTTACTTGAAAAGATGTTTCTAAAATCCAAACATTTTCTTAAAACTGAAAATACTAAGAAACTTTAAAAAATACCTATTCAACGAGGAAGCTTTAGTGACATAGCAAATCTATTTATATGAAGATTCTTACCTAATCACATGGGAATTACATTTGATATTTACTAGCTTATAAAATAAAGGGAACAAAGAATAGACCAGTAGCTACAAAGCAAGGTTAATTTTTTTAGAAGTAGATTATGCAGGTATAGGAGTCTGATGCTGGAAGAGAAAGGAAAAAAATGCTTATTTTCTTATGCAGTGAAATATAATTCTAGAACTAGTATTCAGAGCTCTTTGGAACTTGATTAAAAAAACTTAACGTTCAGCCTTTTTCCTGTTTCTTCCGTGTACAAATTATTGTTCCAATTAAGCTGCTTTTTTTGCTATCTCCAAAACATGCCGTGAGGTTTCTGTCTGCCATGTCCATGCTGTTCTCTTGGCCAGGAGTATCCCCCTCTTTCTCACTCCTCTCCCTTTTCCCTCTCTTACCTAATTTTTTTTTTTAATAGAAACGGTGTCTTGCTCTGTCACTCAGGCTGGAGTGTAGTGGTGTGATCATAATTTGCTGTAACCTCATACTTCTAGACTCAAGCTATCCTCCTACCTCAGCTTCCCAAGTAGCTAGGACTACAGGCCTCGGCCACCATAGCCAGCTAATATTTTGTGTGTTTTTTGTAGAGCTGGGATCTTGCTGTGTTGCCCAGTCTAGTCTTGTACTCCTAGCCTCAAGCCATCCTCTCACTTGGCCTCCCAAAGGGTCTTTTTTATCTAAATTTTGCTCTTCAAGATCCTGTGTGTGCCACATCTATCTACTTAGATTGTCATAACCCATGGGAACCTCTCTCTTTTTAAAAAACTTTTAAGGCTCTTTATCATTTGTTTGTTTGCCTCACGTATTTGCTATATATTACCTATTATATTTTACAATTTTGTATAGCTTCTCTCTGCCTACCTATATTAATAACTTTTTTAAAGGTATCTTTGTACTTCTAGCATCTAGCATAGTATTTTACACAGAGTAAATAGAAGTTCTATAAAATCATTACACAAAGAAATATTTTTATTATCAGAATTTATGAATGAGAAAAATTTCATAAATAATTTAGGTCATCCAGGCCTATGACTTAATTAGGTTTATCTTGATTTTTATAGGTATTTCTTTTATCTAATTTTTTTGCTTCTATCTTTCATTTTTATTTCTCTAAAAATAGATACTTAGAAGCCACCTCCAGCTTAGTTGTTTGAAATTTTATATTTTCCCTTCCAAAACTGGGTCTTCCACATGTTAATGACACCAGCATATCATGCTGATATAATAATGGCAAATGTTTATTGAGGGCTTACTGTTTAATAGAGCTATTAACAGTGCTGTACATGCATTATCTGAATCCTCATTACAATTTTATGAGGTAGTTTATTGTCTGTATTTTATAGGTGAGAAAACTGAAGCACAGTAAGGTCTCACAACTTGTAACTGGCGAAGCTTGTTGCCCAGCTAGACGACTGTAAGCTTTGGGCTCTTAACCACTGTACTGACAGCCTCTTATTTCTATAGTCGTATCAGCTTATGTGTCAGGGCTGCCTGTCACTTATTAGCAAAGCAAATTACTTTGTCACTCTGGACTGCAGTTTTCTTATCTGTATAATGGATATTTACCTCACAGAACTTGTAGAACAATTAAACAGTTAATGTGTTACATGTCTATTATGCTGCCCAACATACAATATACACTTGCTAATGTTTATTATTTCTCACCGCTATAATCCTTAATATCTTTAAATCATCCTTGATTTACTCTTCTTTACCACCATGCTGCTAAGTTCACTAAGTCTTACTCTTGGATTTACTTCTTTCCATTCCTTTTGCCCTAAACTTATTTCACTCTTAATCATCCCCTGCTCCTAACACTTAAAAGTATCTGGCATCTAAATGGTTTTTTTTTTTACAAGTCTCTTCTTATAGTTTAATGTCCAGATTAATTTTACTAAAGCATAGCCTTTCAGTGTTCTTTCTGTCTTGAGAAAGTTATAATACCTTGTTTTCTACATTATATTCTATTTGGCTTCCAAAACTCTCTTTACTTCTGGCTTCATTCTACTCAGTTAGCCTATTCTCTTGTTACTTTCTAACATGATCTTGCCATTCAAACTGGTTGATTGACTTCCCTCTTGCTTTTCCCACTTTTAAGAATGCCACCCACTTAGCTTCATTCCGGTTGTTTCTGGATTCTCAAATGGCTTCTCTCTTCTCTAATTACCTGTCCTTTAAGTCCTAACTCTGTTTCTGCCTTCTTTGTGAATTCATCCCCAACTACTCTGACCTCCAGTATTCTTTCTGTTCTCTGAAATTCCTACAATTTACATTTAAAATCATATTATTATTATTATTACTAAACTCATCTCTACTAGAATGTAAATATTATAAATACAGTGCTAGACACCTAGTTTGTTCTCAATAGATTGTGGATTACTAATCTATTAAGGCTTTTTAACATGATCTTTTTGTTTTGCTTATTTAAGTTGAACATTTTAAGTGAAATTATAAAACTGTTGATATATTACAAAACTCCTAATATTGGATACTTCAGTAATATTTAATATCAAATATTATATGTGATTAATTAAAACTTATTTATAATACCAATATAAAATGTATTTAAGTATTATTATTACTAAGGTAATGTGTATATTTTAACATAAACCAAGTGGTAAAATACTTTTTAACCCCTTATAGTAGAGTTTACAAATATACTTTATATAAATGGAAAACATATAAGTAAGTCATTTAGTCCAGTGATTCTTAAAATGTGTTCTGAGGACTCCTGGATCCAGAGACTCTTTCAAAGGGTACATGAAGTCAAAACTATTTTTATAATTATACCAAGATGTTATTTGCCTTTTATACTGTGTTGGCATTTGCAGTGGCAGGACAAAAAATAGAGGATAAAACTGCTGGCACCTTTAAGATGAATGAAGGTAGTTGTACCAAACTGTATTAGTAATCATTGTATTCATCACTGTTAGGCACTTGCAGTTAAAAAAAAAAAAAAAAAAAAGCAGTTTCCCCTAAAAAAATCCTCGATTAAAGCAGTAAAATTAATTTTAATTAATCTCCACCCTTAAGTAACACATCTTTTTAATATTCTGTGACAACTTCAAGGTATGCATAAAGCATTTCTGCTACATACCAGAATACGACGATGGCTCTGAGGAAGCACACCTGTGCTGTTGTTTGAGTTGTGAGTTGAACTGCGTACTTTTTTAATGGAACAGCATTTTACAACTAGCAATAACAAGAAAACAATGGTTGTTTAGACTTGGGTACTTAGCCAACATTTTCTTGAAAATGAATTGAGTCTGTCACTTCAGGGAAAACTACTGCCAGTTATTTGTTGCTAATGATAAAATTTGAGCTTTCAAGTGATTATTAAAATCCAGGAAAACTTGTATTCACTACCTTCAGCTCAACAACTTCTCAACACAGACTTTTCTGATAAGATTGATGATGATAGCTTTTTATATTGTTTAATGAAATGTGACATCTGGAAGATCTGCGTAACTCAGTAAATCAATATTTTTGAGAAGATCAGTGTATGATTTTTAAAAATTATGTATGGGTGAAAGATATATTCAAAATGTAAGATAGACCAATGGACTTTAATGTAACAGTACAAAAAGGTCATTGATATCATTTCAAATACTACACTGCAACTAATCTTTAAGAAATTACCGATGTTGAATTTTTGGTATAGTATCAAATATGAATATTCACTATTATCTGAGACAGATATTTAAAAACATTTCTCACTTTCCTAACTATATAAAGGCTGGATTTTCTTTATATAGTTAAATCAAAACAATACATTACAACAGATGGAATCCTGTGAAAATCCAGCTGTCTTCCATTAGACTAGACATTAAAAGAGATTTGTAAACATGGAAAAACAATGCCGCTCTTTTCACTTAATTTTTTAAAATGTAGTTATTTTTATTTAAACATGTTGTTAATATATAATGGGTTTATTTTTAAAATTAATGTATCCATATAAACAAAAACTCTTAGGAACCTACAGTAATTTTGTTTTTTTTTCTGAGACAGGGTCTTGCTCTGTTTCCCAGGCCGGAGTGCAGTGGCACAATCACAGCTCACTGCAGCCTCGACCTCAGGCTCAAGCAATTTTCCTGCCTCAGCCTCCCAAGTAGCTGGGACTACAGGCATGTGCCACTATGTCTGGCCAATTTTTTTTTAATTTTTTGTAGAGATGGGATTTCGCCATGTTGGCAGATAGATCTTGAACTCCTGAGCTCAAGCAGTCCACCCTTCCTCGGCCTCCCAAAGTGTGGGGACTTACAGGCATGAGCCGCCACACCTGGCCAGTAATTTTTAAAATCGTATAAGGGTCTTGTTAACCTAAAATAATATAAGAACTGCTGATCTGGTTCCTCCAAGCAGAAATATGTCTGTCTGTCCCTGTCATGTGGTTATCATTCTATTGAATGCGTATTTAAAGACCTACAGGAAATATGATTGTATATTCTCTTTTACTTACCAGTTTGGATTATTTTTATGATACTTAACTTTATACTTATGTTTTTACAACTTCTACCAAAAGTCTTTGGATATTTTCTTTTTTCTTTTCTGGTTTGAAGGACAATGGCTCATAATTTTTTAATTAAAGCTTTTAACATATTAAGCTAGAAACAAATTACCTTATTGTTCTCATTTCCTGAGAATAAACAACCCTAATTCTTTAATCATATATTCTTTTGTCTTTGGAAATTTATTTAGATAGTACAGAGAGAATCACAAATCAGTTTTTTTCCAGGTTTATTTAGGTATAGTTGACAAATAAAAATTGTATATATTTAAGGTATACAATGTGATGTTTTAATATATATATATACATTGTGAACTGATTATGACAGTCAAGCTACTTAACATATTTATCTCCTCAAATAGTTTTTCTGTGTGGCGAAAATACTTAAATTATACTTTTGTAGCAAATTTCAAGTATATAATATATAATTATTAACTATAGTTACCATGCTGTTTATTAGGTCTCCAGAACCTAATTCATCTTCTAACTGAAAATTTGTACCCTTTGACGAACATCTCCCCATTTTCTTTACCCCTGACCCTGGTTAACCACCATTCTAGCCTCTGTTCCTGAGTTCAACTTTTTAAAATTCTACATATAAGTGAGATCTTGCACTCATTTGTCTTTCTGTGTATAATGCACTGAACTTAGCAAAATATCCTCTAGGTTCATCTATGTCGAAAATGGCAGGATTTCCTTCTTTTTTAAGACTGAATAATATTCCATTGTATATATGCCACATATTCTTTATCCATTCACCCACTGATGGATATTTAGGTTGTTTCTGTATCTTATCTTTTATAAATAATGCTATAGTGAACATGGGAGTACTGATATCTCTTCGGAGTTTGTGATTTTATTTCCTTGGATGTATACCCAGAAGTAAGATTCCTGGATCATATGGTAGTTCTGTTTTTAATGTTTTACTCAACTTCTGTACTGTTTTCCATAATGGTTGTACCAATTTACATTTCCATGAGCAATGTACCAGGGTTCCCTTCCTTCCACATTTTTGCCATCACTTACCTTTTTTTTTTTGATAATTGCCATGCAAACAGGTATAAGGTGATACTTCACTGTGATTTTGATTTGCATTTCTGTGATTATTGGTGATGTTGAACATTTTTTATATGACTGTTGGTTATTTGTATATCTTGTTTGGAAAAATCATCCATTTAGGTCCTTTGCCCATTTTTTAATTGAGTTATTTGTTTTGTGCTATTGCATTTTATGAGTTCTTTATATAGTTTTTATTCTATTTTTCAGGTGTATGGTTTGCAAATGTATTTTCCAGTTCTACAGGTTGCCTTTTCATTTTGCCAGATTATTATTTTAAATGATTAATTGATTTTGGAATAAGAAATTAACTTTCTTATACTTTTACATCATGTCTAATAAGGATAAACAGCATTTACTCATCAGCATTAAGTAAAATAACTTTTATTTAATTATTTTTGTTTTAGGCAGGTTAAAATGTTGTGTTAGATTTAGTCCTACTTTACTTTCTCACAAGTTGATGACTATTACTTTCTCATGCTGCCTCATATAATCTGGGATGCCTTTCTGAGACTTCATTGTAGACTGTAGCTGAGCTTGGCTAGATTCCTTTTTTCTTTTTTTTTTTGAGACGGAGTCTCATTTTGTCACCCAGGCTGGAGTGCAGTGGTGTGATCTTGGCTCACTGCAACCTCTGCCACCAGGGTTCAAGCAGTTCTGCCCCAGCCTCCCAAGTAGCTGGGATTACAGGTGCCTGCCACCACCCCTAGCTAATTTTTGTATTTTTAGTAGAGATGTAGTTTCACTGTGTTGGCCAGGCTGGTCTGGAACTCCTAACCTCAAGTGATCCACTTACCTCAGCCTCCCAAAGTGTTGGGATTACAGGCGTGAGACACTGCATCCGGCCTAGATTCCTAATATATGATGTATATATGTAGGCAAAGGTAGATATTCCTAGTCACGGACCTTTTAGCTATAAAGTAAAGCACCTGTTTGGAATAAGACCTTGATTTTTTTCCCCATTTCCTTTAGCTATATGGTATCTGCAATAGCAGGCATCACTTTCTTCGTTTCTTAGGTAGAATAATATGGTAATAGATGCACCTTTGCATCTCTCTCTCTCTGAACCCACATGCTATGTGGTTATATTATATCACATCACAATCACACTGCCTCTTTTGTGGGAAACTAAATCCATACTCACAGCTACTGCTTAATGTATAAAAAAGCCGTGGACTTGGAGTCAGTGTGTTCTAATTTGGATATATAATTCATTAGTTGTATCTTCTATAAAACAGCCTCTTTTGCTTATTTGGAAATAAAATAGAAAATATTTATTAGAGCCTGTCTTTATTAGAGCACATGTTAATATCAAAGTCTGTAGCTTTGAGGATTAGTTAAGATAGAATTTCCAGTTATTGATTTCTGTTTTTTGACTGTTTTATATTTTAGGAGCTAAGTTCTTTTCAATAAATTGAAATACAGGTCTCCTCTCCCAACCCCCCTTATCTTGCATGCAAACCCCGTAGGGCAGGGACTTTATCTGTTTTCTTTACAATATCCCTAACTTCTAGAATAGTACCTGGCAAATAATGAATGCTCAGTCAATGTTGCATGAAAGAGGATATCAAAGGAACTGAAGGTTTAAGTATATTTGACTGGTGGAATAAAAAGAGTTATTGCAAGAAATTGAGGCTCTGGGAGAAAAGACAGTTAGTTCAGAGAGAGTTCACTTGAGTATGAGTGCAAGAGAAAGGCCTATAAGATTTAAGAATGTGGTATGGGGTCAGATGAGAAGTCATATAGGATGATAGAGCATTAAGAATTATCACAGAAGTAACACAAATTGAGCATCTCTTATTCAAAATGAGTGGGAATAAATTGTTTCAGATTTCAGATTTCTTTGAATTTTGAATATTTGCATTACACTTACCTAGTTGAGCATCCCACATGCAAAAATTTGAAATCTAAATGCTCAAATGAGCATTTTCTTTGAGAGTCACATTGGCACTCAAAACATTTCAGATTTTGGAGCATTTCAGATTTCTGAATTAGGGATATTCAATCTATAGTAGAAGCCCTTTGAGGGAAACCTGTGATTCTGCCACTACTGCCTGTCATTTGAATTCTGGTCATACTTCCCAATTTACAAAGTGTATTCACCTAAACCATTGAAAGAGAAATGGCTTTCAGAGTGGATGGACTCTCTGAAAGAAGACAGTGTGTATGGAGAAAAACATGGGGGTCAAGAACTGAAACTTGCTTCCAGTAACGGGGTAGGAAGTAGAGCCATCATCATGGGTAAAAGAGAAGTTGTTGTACTGAAAAAAATTAAGAGGATTATTGAAAAAGTGTGATTACAGAAGCCAAGGTAATAGAAAGGTCAGGAGGTAAATGAAGCAGTTGGTAATTTAAAGTTTAGAACAAAAATTAGGGACAATGATGAATAAGTTAGCTCTTAGGAAATTCCTGGTTACATGAGAGAGTGAAACTTCCATGTAGTGATAAGAATAGGGTCATATGGAAGTGGAGAATGAATGTAGAAGAAATAGAGGTAACAGCTATAAACTGGCTGCTTAAGAATTAACAGTGAAAGAATCTAGAAAAGCACGTGGCTCCTGGATGGGTTATTAGGGTCACATGAAAGGGATGGATTTTTTCCCCAGGTTAATGTTTTCCCTACCCCACCTTCCTGTTAATTATCTCCTATCCCTGTTCCAGAATTAACTTCATATGCAAGTAGTTAAAAAAAAAAACCCATAACTACTAACATAGTTACAGAAAGGGGTCTAAAACATACATATCGATTTTATACTCATTATTCCATTTATACATTTATGTAAATTTAGGAAGAGTCTCCTTTGAATTTAAACAGATGAGAGGAATCAATAAAATTAGAATATTCAATTTTATGAATAGTTTTAGCATAAAATATTTATGCAGATATGCTACTGTGTCTAATAATTTGAGACTCTTTCTTGAATAAATATGTATAAAGAAGTTATTTTAATACTTCAGAATAATACACTCTCTGTGTTTGGTTTGATTAATGAACCCGGCGGATTGGCAAGAGAGTGTCTCTCTCTTCTCTATATGGGGAGGATCTAGAGATATTTAATACTAGAGAGAGCGAGCTTGGTCCTTCCATATCAGCTGACATTCTCTCAATTTATGTTAAATTTCTTTGTGATAAGAACCTGAACTCTCCTGAGCAAACTAAGAGAATAACTGATATATTGGAAATGGGTATAAGAAAGGCTAGATAAATGTGTTTGTACAGGGTATTTACAGAATCAGATAGCTTTAATAATTTCTTTCTTAATTAAATTTTTAAGAAAATGAAATCTTTTTTTGTCAATCATGCCTTGTAGAAGAGATAATAATCTTGAATACATTTTAGAGTATGGTTTTAATTTTGGCTATCCACTATAATTCAATCATAAATACAAGGAAATATGACTGGGAATTTTATTATCAGCGGTTGAATAGGGAAAATATATATTTTAACTATTAAGCAACATTATGGCTGTATAAAAAAAATTACCCATATTCTTGCCTCCCCTAAGCAAATGTTAGAATTATTCCATGTTCCCTTATAGTTTGTATCCATGTATATTCAGAAGATTGAGAAGGGAAAGGGAAATTCTATTCTTATATTTCCACTTAGTTATAACACTCGTGGATAGACTTTAAATGACTATAATTTTCTATTGTATATCAGATTTATGTTTCCCATTTCTATTATTAAACGCTTAAGTGATTTCCAGATTTTTCTGTTCAAAGTAACACTGTATTGATTTTCATTGTTTCTATAGATTTTTCTTTATTTCCCTTAAGATAAACTCTCAGGAGTAGTTTTACTCAGTCAAAGGATGTAAATCATATATTAGTTGTTAGGAGCTATTATGTAACTTGCCCAAGGTGACACAGCTAGAAAGTGACAGAACTAGGATTAGAACCTAGCAGTCTGGGACCACGTTCTTAACCAATGTACTGCACTGCTGGCTCAAGAGATTCCCCAGTCCCATGTCACTGATCTAGGTCATGAAAGTTTAATATGCATCCAATTCATTTATCAAAATTATGGCATGAATTTGCTGTGTTTGTGACACTGTGTTGGGGATTCAAGAAAGAACAGAATATAGGCCCTGCCTTAAAAGCCTATAAACTATTTGGGAGAAGGGAACAGACAGGTAAAAAAGTATGATAAAATGTAATGAGTTATGTAATTGGGATGCTATATGAAGACAAAGAAAAGAGTGGCAAACTGAACTGGTGGGGGAGCCTAGTGTAAAGAGGCTTCTAAGTAGTGTTGGTTTGCTTAAGTGGCCTGAATCAGTTCCTGGGAAACCAAATTGAGCAAGTATTGAAGTGTACTGCCGGCATCAGAAGACCATAAAGGCTACATGGAGCTGTAGAGAAAATAAGCATGTAGAGAAAACCTGAGCAAACTGTACTAAAACTTGGAACCTGGACAAAAAATGAGCTTTGGAAATTAAATTATGGCTGAATAGAGGTTGAGGACTGCAGAGAGATTTACTGCCCGTGAGATATGTATTTACATTTGCAGGGAATGAGGAGTGGATGATCCTCGAGACCATGGAAGTATTCCTTAAGTTGTAAAACCGAGAGATGCTAGTCTTATCTTTCCCCTAGGAAAATTTGTTTTTGCTCAGGGATAGATTCTTCCTCCCACCCACCACCCCGCCCCAGGCCACCCCACCCTCTGGTCTCCAAGAGGGGAGGAGGTCTGTTAATACAAGCCTTCTTCTATAACATCCCAGATTGATATTTTTAGGGTTCCTTGCTGAGTTAATTTCCTGTTGCTGCTGTCACAAAGTGCCACAAATTAGTGGCTTAAAACAACACAAATCTTACAGTTCTGGAGTTCAGAAGACTATAATGGCTCCACTGAACTACTCTAGGTGTTGGCAGCACTGCATTCCTTTTGGAGGCTCCAGGGTAGAATCCCTTCCCTTGCCTTTTCTAGGTCAACTACTAATCCTGTGACTCATTTTAGGAGCTAGGCACAACTCTTAGATCTGGGTTTGGCAGTAGTAAAGGCAACTCACCTAGACCTATCTTTGAGATAAACACTCACCGTGGAATTAGATCTTAGTCTTCTAGATCTAACCACAACTCCCCTCAGAAAGTATTATACTATGTGCTGTGGTCTGAATGGGGCATTGGAGGGTAATTAGATCACGAGGTTGGAGTCCTCAGGAATGGGAGTAGTGCACAGAGACATGGTGGGAGTAGTTGCCCCTTCCACCATGTGAGAGAACACAAGAAGGCCTCTATGAGGAATGAGCCCTTACCAGACACTGAATCACCTGGCACCTTAATCTTGGACTTACCAGCGTCCACAACTGTGAGAAATAAGTGTTTCTTGTTTATAAACCATTCAGTTTATGATATTTTTATAATAGCTCAAGCAGATTAAGACATCGTGTAAATATATGCCTTATTATTTCAAAGGTTAGCTGATGACCTTGGTGGAGAAAATTTTCTCTGGATTTAGTCTCAGGCTTACATATTACTTTCTGTCCTTAAATTAGTTGCCACTAATATAGTAGTTGTTGTCACTATTAAATAACTATGTATGCAACAAATAGATCAGAGCAATAAAAGAAGAATTAAAAATTAGTGTGGAATGCTTAATACACCCTTAGGCATCTGTATAATTGACATTAATCTGTAAATTACCACTGTGTTTTCTTTTCCTGTCCATTCCTCACCTGTTATATTTCTCATCTTCCTTTTTTCTTCCTTTTCCCTTCCTTTCCCTCCCTTTTAATTAGCAAGTAGTATAAAGATATTTACATTTATTTTTCTTAGTATTGTTATTCTAGAATAGAGTTTTTTAAAACTAAGAATTAGTCATTCAAGCTGTTGTAAACCAGACCCTCAGTATAAATTGGATTATCAGCTTAGAAGTAGAGTTTATCTTTTAAAAGTGTTATCTTCAATGTATTTCAAGGTAGAAAATAAGTGATTTTCATCCTTTATTTTTCCCTTTCTTTCCATTTTAGGACTTTTCTTGGTAGAGATGGAAATCCAAATAAACGGAATGTGCACAATGAAACATCTATGCATTTGTTGTGTATGGGACCTCAAATTATGATATCTGAAGGAGCCCTTCATCCTCGCTTGGCACGCCCCACAGAAGATGATTTCAGAAGAGCAGATTGTCTGCAGATGATCTTAAAATGGAAAGGAGCAAAACTTGACCAGGGTGAATATGAGAGAGCAGCTATTGATGCTGTTGATAACAAAAAAAACACACCCTTGCACTATGCTGCTGCCTCAGGGATGAAAGCCTGTGTAGAGGTAAATTTTTTTTTTTTTTAATATTCTGCATTGTAAAATTTGTATCCAGGTGATATGTAACTGTCAGGTTTTTTTTTTTTTGATTGTCTTAGTAATTTGGTCATTTTTTTTCTCTTTTGTCTTCTAAAAGACCCTTTTAAATAAAGGGCCTCTTTTTTTTTTTTTTTTTTTTTTTTGAGACAGAGTCTTGCTCTGTTGCCAGGCTGGAGTGCAGTGGTGTGATCTTGGCTCACTACAACCTCTGCCTCCCAGGTTGAAGAGATTCTCCTGCCTCAGCCTCCCCAGTAGCTGGGACTACAGGCACGCGCCACAATTAGCCCAGCTAATTTTTGTATTTTTGTATAATTTAATTTCCAAAAATTTCCAAAATTAGCCCAGCTAATTTTTGTATTTTTAGTAGAGACGGGGTTTCACCATGTTGGCCAGGATGGTCTCCATCTCTTGACCTCGTGATCCACCCACCTCAGCCTCCCAAAGTGCTGGGATTACAGGCGGGAGTCACTGCGCCCAACCAACGGCCTCTTTTAAATAAAGTTATTTCATTGTTTTAGGGAGAGAGAAAGCCTCACAGGTGAACAATCACTTTTGTAGTAAAGTGGAGCCAAGAGCAATTAAAAATTTGTTGATATCTCTTAAGATATTGGTCATCAATTAAGCACTATCGTATTTAGAGTCATAGTTATAGTAGAGATATATTCTGCTTTTTTGCTGATTTTTTTGGTCACCAATTTATAAAATTTATACATGTTAAGTATAGCAAATTTTTGGCAAGTGGGACCTATAGTTTATGTAGAATTGATAAGCTCACTAAGCAATGGATAAATATTAACAAATACATTTATTGGAGTCTTTTTAAAATCACTTGGAATTTTAAAATGTGTATTTTTCTGTTTAATTTGCGTTAAAGTGCTCCTGAATACATACTGTATTATACTGTAATTTTTCCATATATATTTCATGTATAAATATATAGCATTATTTATATCTACAAAATATTTAACAACTAATTAGATAAAATCACGCATATAATATGAGATCTTAACTAAGTTAAGGAATCATTATATAGTATCGTCACTACTATACATACAACAGAATAGGTTTTTCTCAGCTACCAACATTCATATCCATCCTTACATATCTCATAGAAGTTCTTTTGCATAGATGTATTTAAGTATGTGTGAGGAGCATATTAGACTGGATTACAGAGTATCTTTATTACTAAAAGTATATACCTTTATTGGAAAAGCAATTATCATAATCAGATTAAAATATATACCTGAAAATTTCTTGTTTCCTTAATGTTGTTCATGTATACTTTAGACTTCTAAGTAGATCAATATACCAAAAATATGAATGTTCATTTTCTTATATTAAAAGATTACCATCACTTATATTATTTCTTCAGTATATCTGAAGTGTCAATTCTTTGATTTCTAATATGCTTGTGATCTTATCTTTTGTTTACTGCTAATGTTTGTGATACTTGCTAATCTTTTAGAGTCTTTGTCATTTCATTGAGTTTGTGTAACCTTTACCCATTAGTTAGTTAGTGATGGTCATTAACTTGAAACTATTTTTCAAGCAATACTTTCTTGTTTGTTTGTTGTTTTAAGAGACAAGATCTCTCTATGTTGTCCAGGCTGGTCTCAAACTCTTGGGTTTAAGCGATCTCCCTCCCTCATCTTCTGGAGTAGCTAGGACTACAGGCACACACATGCCACCAAGCCTGGCTCCAATGTTTTCTAACGTTGATTCACTGTGGTGGAAGAATCTCCTAGGATTTGGAGGGTAGGGGACTAATAGCAGAATTCCTGGGGCTTTTTACACAAGCTTCTCTGTACATTGTCCTGTGTTTACCTATTGTGGAAGAATTCCTGCTATAATGACTCACCATTATTGATGGGACTGCATCATATTTCTCAAATGGACTGGAGTAGAAAGTAGATTTTTCTGGATGGTAGCAATAGTGCTCTTAAATATTTTAAATAGGCCGGGCACGGTGGCTCACACCTGTAATCCCAGCACTTTGGGAGGCCGAGGCGGGCAGATCACAAGGTCAGGAGTTTGAGACCAGCCTGGCCAATATGGTGAAACCCCGTCTCTACTAAAAATACAAAAATTAGCCAGGCGTGGTGGCAGGCACCTGTAGTCCCAGCTGCTTGGGAGGCTGAGGCAGGAGAATCGCCTGAACATGGGAGGCAGAGGTTGCAGTGAGTCAAGATGGGGCCGCTGCACTCCAGCCTGGGCAACAGAGCGAGACTCCATCTAAAAAAAAAAAAAAAAAAAATATATATATATATATATATAAATTAAATGCTTTAATATCTTGCTTCCAACTTTTCTCTATAAGCATTGCTTTAGTAGTTGTTGATTTTGAAGTATGTTGACAATGACATACTTATTAAATTTTTCAAAAAATTGAGAGTGGTGTTTTACCAGCATTATTTTTTGCTCAGTGAAAGAAATTAGTGCCAGGTTTATACTGTACTATCTGGCAGGCCTGACAATTTGCTTGATACGTATGTGTGAGCATGTAAATGTGTGTGTGTGCTTTAACTGTTTGACCTATCAGCATATCACATCACATAAGTCACATCATTTGATGATTGTTTTCATTTTCTGTATTCAGAAGAGCTCTTTGACTTACTATTAAATATAAAACATTCTAAAAGGAGCCCTATAAATACCTTACATTTATTCTAGTTTTTTATAACATTTCAGCATATTTTATTCAGATAAAGCTTATCTTTGATCTGTTATATATACTTGAGTATATATACTCTTGTCCAACCTTAGGCCCTTAATGATTTTCTATTATGCATACTGCTAATTAAACCAGAAGAGTTTCTCAGGGAAGCATATATTAACTATCTCCAGAAGCCTTATTTTGTTTTCTTGTACAAGTGCATACAATAAATACAGTTGTCACTTGGTATCCAAGGGAGATTTGTTCCAGGACTCTCTGCAGATACGAAAATCCACAGATGCTCAAATCCCTTATAGAAAATGGCACAGTATTTGCATATAACCTACACACATCCTCCTTATACTTTAAATTGTCTCTAGATTGCGTATAATACCTAGTACAATGTAAGTGTCGTTAGGGAATAATGACAAGAAAAAAACGTGGATGTTCAATACAGACACAACCATCCATATTTGTTTTCCAAATATTTTTTACCTGCTGTTGGTTGAATCCAGGGATGTGGAATCTAAGGATGTGGAAACCACAGATAGAGAAGGCTGACTATACATTAAAATATGTGACCTGTTTAACTGTACAACTTAATTCTTAGTATGAGTCTCTAGTTATTTTCAGGTGGTATCATACTACTTTGATGAACGGGAAAGGCTTAGATGTCTCTTATAAAGTTTACTGTCATAGTTAATTTAAATATTTTTTTTCTAAACATTTCTTTGTATCATTGCTTTTAGTCTTTGGCTGTAAGAATAATAGTTATAATAACTAACATTTGTATAATGCTTTCTGATGTTTATAGTGCTCATTGGTACCAAGCATGATATAAAGGTTTGGGTTGAGTGAAAGTGTCGTCAGATATTTATTAATGTTTCATAAAACTAAGAGATTATAGTATGGTGGAGGGAGCATTGATTTTTAGTCTTGATCCTCAGAGTAACTATCCATGGAACCTTGCATGTGTCACTCAGCCACTGTAATAGTTTCCTCTTGGGTGGTTGGAATAGATGATCTCAAATTTATTTAGAAGATTCCTTTTAACACAAATTCTCTATTAGCCTGTTATTGCAGTAAAATTTATCCCATTTTTAGTGTCTAGCCTTTAAGATCAAAGAGATTATCTTTTTTCCCATTGTTAAGGCCAGCCTGTTTCTTGACTACATCTGTGGAAGTATATCTTCTCTAGCTGTCGAAAATGTTTTTCTCTCTGGTATATTTATTTAAGGATAGAGTTGATGAAGTCATCATTGGCATTTAATAATTTAAACAGTTTCTTATAGCTCATTATTTTGTACCATAGAAATAAAATATTTATTTTAAGACTTCACCATCTCCCTGTAATAATTATGTTCTGTAATAAGCGCCCCCCCCACACACACACACACAGAACATAAAATTAAAACCCCTTAATTATAGAGTTCTTCAGGCAACCTCCAGGTGTGAAGGTATCACATGGTATGTAGAGAGTTGCATTGGTTATCTGTGTCTCTGATGCCTATATCTGACTTCTCTGAACTTCATGCTATATTGTTGCCTGGTTGACTTCCTCGTATGGATATCCAACAATCTCTCAAATTCAGCGTTTTCAAAATTGTACTGTCTTCTTTTCTACCCAGTAGAGACTTCACTAGTGCTTGATTCTTGACTCTAGATTCTATTAATGATGCTACCATTATCTCCTTATCCAGTATTGATACCTGCACTTGCCTTGGATCTGCCTCTTTTTTTTAAATTGCATCAAACTCATACTACCCATGGCAGAGTAGACCTCTGTCTCTTTGGACCAGTTCCTCCATTTATTTCTGTGGCCACTTTCTAACACCAAGTGCTTTATGTTGAATCCTCATTTTGGCATATTTTTCAGAACTTCCTTACACAGAAAAACCTGAAGTTTCACAAATTAATTATTCTAAATTATTTGTGAGATAAAAATAATGCAAAGGAGTAGTCTACAATTGTTTGACAATTAGAAATGCTTATATGATAAACATTTGTTAAGGACAGACTATAACTAAAGCACCTGAAATTCTAATTTTATTTAATATTCCAAAAATTATTTACAGGTCAGCAAACTTTTCTGTGAAAGCCCAGATAGTAAATATTTTAGTCAACTCTGACATTTTACCCTGAAAGCAGCCACAGACAATACAGAAACAAAAGAGAATGGCAGTGTTCTAATAAATCTTTATTTATGGACATCACCATTTGAATTGCTTATAATTTTCGTATGTCATGAAATAATTCTATTTATTCTTTTCAATCATTTGAAAATGTAAAAACTGTTTTTAGCTTGTGGGCTATACAGAAACAGGCAGCAGGTTTGATTTGGCCTAAGATGACTCCATACTTGAAGCTTATTTTAAATATGTAAAATAACATTATCAATATGTAACAGGTCCTATAAGCTTCAGTTATACAAAGGACTTAAAAAGTACTATGTAATGGATACTCAGCACACAAAAATAAAGCTCCATTAAAACATAAGTCTGACAAAAATTTAATAAATAATATACTGTTCTTAGTTACTGAGAGTTTTTGTTTTCTACTTGGGAACAGGAATGGACTTGAGAGGGGTGGTGGGTTAGGTCTATTAGCATGGCTTAGTAAAACATCCAGTGATATTTCTTCCTTTGGTAGACTTCCATAGAGCAACCCTAGTCATTAGGCCTCATTATGTTTCCATTAGTGCTTAACCTGTAATAGTGATTCAGTAAATGGTGAATGTGACAGGGGTTGTTTTTGATAGTGCTTTACTCTTTGTGAAAAGCATTTTTTTAAATGAGTGTTATCTTAGATATTTCCTATTCAGCTGTGCCCTACTTGCTTATTCAGAGTTTTAAGTGTAGCTGCTTCATGTCAGATCAAATAGAGGTCACTATAAAACCAAAGGTGGTAAGTCACACTTTTCCTTTACAGCTACAGGGCCTATTTGACACTTTGGCAGCTATGGGAGCGTTTCACACTTCATTGAAAAGTCGTAAAAACCATTCACAGGTCAGACTGAAGAATATTACCTAATTATATTGTGTTTTTAGCACCTAGAGTTTTAAAACTGTGTAAAGAATACAGGAATTATATTTCCGGTTCAGTAGCTGAGTAACTTTGCCTGTCTGGGCCTCTGTTTTCTAATTTTTAATCAAGATACTTATGATCTCATTATTGTCCCTCAACTATTATGATGCTAAGGCCTATATTAACTATTTAGGCAGTGACTGTTACAGGTATTGAAGAGATAATTTTTTAATTTTACATATCCTGGAAGATTTCATGGGTAGTAGTAAGATTGGAGTGGGTAATATTTCAGTTTAAGTATTTGGAGGAGGCTATTCAAAATGTGGCTCTCAGACCTGCAGCATCAGTTCTGACAACTTGTTATAATAAACAAATTATTGGGCCAACCAGACCTTCACATTCTGAACGTTTATCTCTGGGAATAGATTCCAGAAATGTTTAGCAAGTTCTCCTGGTGATTATTTGCATGGCAGAGTTTGAGAAGCACTGTTCTAGGTCTCAGACATACGCAGATTGAAGTATTTTGTGGAAGAGTAATAAAACATTACTTTAAAGGAGGATAGAGGATGTACCAAGTAGAAAGTACTAAATGCCAAGGTTAAGAATTTGGGGTTTCTTTTAGAGAAAATTGAGCCATTGAAAATTTTTTGGCCAAGTGCAGTGGCTCACACCTGTAATCCCACTACTTTGGTTGGCCGAGGCGGGAGCGTATCTTGAGCCCAAAAGTTCAAGATCAGCCTGGGCAACATAGTGAGAGCTTGTTTCTACTAAAAATCAAAAAATTAGCCAGTCGTGGTGATGCACGCCTGTAGTCCCAGCTACTCAGGAGGCTGAGGTGGAAGGATCACTTGAGCCCAGGAGGTGGAGGCTACAGTGAGCCGTGATCATGCTACTGTACTCCAGCCTGGGTGACAGAGCGAGATGCTGTCTCCAAAAAAAAAAAAGAAAAAGAATTTTTAATCGGAGAGTGATATTATGAAAGCAAATATGATGAGATTAGCCTGATGGTTGTAATGTACAATAGATTTGAATGGGGTACTTCCAAAGCAGTGTTTCTTAAAAGCCTTGCTACTCAAAAGAATCGTCCTTAGACTGGCATTGACATCAGTCACCTGAGAACTTGTTGGAAATGCAGAATCTCAGCTCCATCCAAGACCAACCAAATTTGAATGTAGTTTAACAAAATCCCAAAGGGATTCTTATTTAAAGCTTGAGAACCCTAGCTTGGGGCATAATTTGTGGGCTACCTATATTGGAATCACCTGTAAAAAGTATACATACCTCTTACAGTCCCCTCTCCATATCTACCTAATATGACTATCAAGCTACCCAAATAATTCTTACACAGTTTGAAAACCTTTGTGCTAGAACAGTAGTTCTAAGCATGGCTGCACAGAAACCTCAGACCAATAAAATCTAAATTTGTGAGAGGGGACCCCAGACATTGGTAAGTTGAGTACCAATGTATTAGAAGGAGTGATAGGAGTTAGAAGATTAATGCGCTAATTCTATTGTGAACTGACAAAGCGTCTGGGTTTGTGTGGTGGTACTGGAGATGGAAAGAATGAGGCAGATGCCAGGGACATTGTGAAGAACTGTTAGCCTTTGGTGACTCAGTCAGTTGATAATAAGAAAGCAAGGGAAAGAAAGGTTAAAAAAAAAAAGGATGGAGGCTCTATAATGTTTAATATTGACAATAGTGAGCTCTCTCTTTTTGATTTGTGTACATTCTCTATACCTGCTATCACATCTATAATTAGAGTAAAATTAATTAACTTTATTTTTAAATAAGATGGGCATGATTTTGAGCCCAAGTGACTTCGAAGCCTGCTAACAATTAACAGACATTAGAAAGTAAGGTGAAATGGAGAAATTGGTTGAAAGGAAGAGAGAATATATTGAGTTTTCATTTAGAAGGCTAGATATTGACATCCTAGCTTATCCACATGAAATGGTAGGCAGGCTGTTGATAATTACAACTAAAGTGTTAGGGAATAAAGAATATAGACACTCATTTAGAATTTAGAATTGAGTGTTATCTACATAGAGTTGACAGCTAAAAGCAAGATAATGTATAGATGAGAGATGCAAGGAAAAGACTTTAGGTTATAGATAAAATAACAGAGTTAAAGTCACAGCATCAATTTGAAGAATGCCTGTGTTCAAAGAGATGAGAACAAGAAGTAGTGCCTATGAGGGAAACACAAAAAATAGAGAAATAAAAGAACCAAGATGATACAATGTCAAAGATGCAAGAGAAGAATTTCAAGGAGAGGAGCTGTTTAATCATGTAATGTGCTGCAGAAAGCTAAAGGAATTGGGGGGACTGAGAAACGCTGATAGATTTGAGAGTTAGGAGGTATTAATGACTTTCTGGAATATTGTTTCATTAAAATAGTCCAGGTAGAAGTCATATTCCTGGGCATAATTGAGTCATTTGCTGAGGAAATTGAGAGACAGTTGGTATCAATAACTAATTTGAGAAATGTGAAGGCCAAGAAAGATAGAAAATTTTTAGGAAAGTAACTAGAAGGATAGCAGGATTAAGTTATAATCCTGAGTAAGTCAATCCAGAGTCACCACCCATTTAGAGGGTGATCAAAGGGATGGGGTAGGGTTTGTCTTGAATAGTAGGGGTTACCTCTCTTAAAGCCCCCTACCCCTCTTCCTCTGGAATTGTGAAGGGAAAGAAAGGCAGAATAGAAGAACAGATGTGCTGCGATCATGATAATTTGGTTTCTTTTAAGGTAGAACATTTTATGTGCCACCAAGATAGGCTTAAAACCATATTTAAGTAAAATATTCAGTCCTCCTATTAAGCCCTCCTTAGCTAATTTGAGACTGGGAAAGCAGATACTTAGTTGAGATGCTTTGGTTGAAGCATTTAAAAAGTACTCTTCAGAACCAGACATAACTTTCTATTTTGTCAAAGTAAGACACCTAACTTTATTCCACAACACTTTAGCAGCTATCTCCCCTTAATGCATCTTTTACTTACTGGTGTTCCTGACTTTATGCCGTAAAGGTCAGCAAGCTGAAGTACTTTTTAACACATTCTTCTCAATGTCAGGCATTATTGCTGTCAGCTGTCTTCCATGCCAAAGATAACATGCAGGTGGATTTTCATAGCCAAGTCTAATGCTACAAACATGGATCCTTCCATTTCATAATTGATTATGAGTTTCTCTACAGGTGCCAAATGGCAGCAATGAGATACAGGTCTTTATGGTTCCCTCACCCCAACTGCAGTCAAACTCATTAGGGAGCACCTTGCAAAGATAGTTTACCAATCATTCTCACCCAGGTTCTAATAATGGTCAGCAGTTACCTTCAACGATGACTTCTCACACATCCCCTCTTCACACACATTTTTTTAACCCCCCAATGAATGAAGTCCACATTCTGGCATATCCTTTTAATAAGGTTCCCCTTACCAAGATTCTGTTAGGGTACAGCTTCTTAAATTTTGTTGTCTTTGCTTTTGTTAAGGAAGACTAGGGCATTAAGTTAAAGATGATTTGTCTTGTTTTCTAAAATTTAATATTTTTTGTGTGGTAATATCTGTTGCAAAGTAAACCAAATCCTGATTTTGAAAGTTATCCCAGCATGCATTTTAGAAATAATTTTCTGGGACTCTGAATAAAGAACTCAAGAATAAAGTCAGCTCTTTAGTTCTGCAGCAGTCAGGAGCAGATAGTCTATTTTGTGTTTAGGTGTTGGTAACCTGTGAAACAGAGAGGGTAGAAATAGTAATAGATCCTGCTATGGATATGATAAGTCTCTGGATTTACTATAAGTTCCCCGTATTGAATAAATTAGGTAATATAAATTTATCAGTTTCCACAGCCACATTGGTTGTACTTTAGGCTCATTGCTTCTCAAACATTTTTGTGCAAAAAGAATCTCTTGGAGATCAGAATGACATTTTGATTCAGAGGCCTGGGCTTGGAGGGGTTTGGGGATGAGGCTGAGATTCTTCATTTCTAACAAATTCCCAGGAGATACTACTGGTCCCCAGACCACACTTGCAGTAAAAAGGTTCTAGGTGGTAAATAGCAGCTGCTAAGACCTTGCCCTCGGAATCTAGAAGGTGGCTGCCAGAATGACAACTTAGAGCCATTCTTAGCAAACATTTTTCTGTAAAGGACCAGATAGTAAATATTTTAAGCATTGTGGCCATAGGTCTATATTTCATAGTCTTGTTTGATTTGCTTATTTTTACAACTTAAAAACCACCTTAGCTCTAAGGCATACCTCTGGCTAGAGCAAGAAGCTAAAGTCAAATCCAGTGGGCTTGTCAAGTTAGCCCATGGCTTCCAGATCTGGCATTGATATAAGCCCGTTGTTTTGTAAGCATTCTTAGGACTGTAGGAGAACCGTGAGGATTCCCGTTCCAAAGAACTTTATAGGAAGATTGTGTGTTTGTTGAGGAGAGAAAGAAGATAAAATTATTTGGAAGAAAATAAAAAGAAGCTACCATTTTGATCAACTCATGCGAAATGAAAATCTCTAAAAAGTGTTAACATTTAGATCATAAGTAAGAGTCTGGGCAGAACTTCAAGATGGACCCAGAATGCATTTCACTTCGATTTATATGATTAGTCTACCTACTTACGAGTCAGTATAGTGTCCAGTCATGGTTAAAAACTTGGTCAGACTTGTATCTGAATCCCAGTTCTACTGCTTACTAGCTGGGTAATTTTAGTTAATCAAGCTACTTAACTATTCTGAGATACAATAATACCCCTGTTTTATGGGGTTGTTAATATTAAATGAGAGTGTGTGCTTTAAAGTGTTTAGAAAACAATAAATAGTGACTGTTACTATATTATTATGAGTATGACTGAATCCTATAAAAGAATCCTGTGGCTGGGCGCGGTGGCTCACACCTTTAATCCTAGTATTTTGGGAGGCCAAGGCGGGTGGATCACCTGAAGTCAGGAGTTCAAGACTAGCCTAAGCAACATAGTGAAACCTCATCTCTACTAAAAATACAAAAATTAGCTGGGCGTGGTGGCGGGTGCCTGTAATCCCAGCTACTCGGGAGGCTGAGGCAGGAGAATCACTTGAACCCAGGTTGCAGTGAACCAGAATCATGCCATTGCACTCCAGTCTGGGTGACAGATCAAAACTCTGTCTCAAAAACAAAAACAAAAATAATCCTGTGACTGTCAGGCTGTCCATTAGAGTTGTCCTAGACATGGCTTTCCTGGCATTCATGCCCTTCTTAATATCTTTGCAGACATAATGGGAAACTTGAACCTACAGTCCTTAATAACAACATACTTAATTTCTGCAAAGCTAGCAGAAACCTCATTACTAAACAAGTCAAGCTACTATTCCATGTGTTTTTAAAGGTGGGATTTCTTTGGGTCAAAGAGAGATGGATAGACTTAGCTTCCCAATATGGCTATCAGTAGCTAGTCCCATTACTTATTTTGAAGAATATTGAAAACAGCTTTACCTCAGTGACTTGCTCATCCTAATTTCATTTCAGTGTTTCACTGGATAATGAATGAAACTTTTGTCTGCCATGCCAGGACATCCAGACTTTAGTAGTTAAATTAACAGTATCAGCAGTGTCCTTGTTTAAGAAAGATTTATAGAAATTATAAGAAATTTAAAAATTTAAAGTACTGAGTAACTATAAGCTTTTTCAAATTTTATTTTTGGACTACACAAAATGCTTAATTTCTGAAGTTTAAAAAATTGGTTTTGGGTTTTTTTAAATTATTTTTTAACAAGACGAAGTCATTCATTACTGAAAAACAAGAATTACTAATCTTAAAATCAGAAGCCACTGGTATCTAAATACCTTTTTTTTTTGTCATTTCAAATACATACTGTACATACTGTTGCATTTTTGTTGTGTTAATTTTATTATATTTTTAATGTTTTAAAAATAGCATGAAATAACTTATTTGAACCTGTAGTTGCAAGTTTTTGAAAAAAAACTTTTTTAGCTTTTAGTAAAACATGGAGGAGACTTGTTTGCTGAGAATGAAAATAAAGATACTCCTTGTGATTGTGCTGAAAAGCAACACCACAAAGATTTGGCCCTCAATCTGGAATCTCAAATGGTATTCTCACGGGATCCCGAGGCTGAAGAAATAGAAGCTGAATATGCTGCATTAGACAAACGAGAGGTCAGTTTATTTTTTCTTCTCAGTAAAAAAATTACATGTAATTTTAGATTTTATGTTGTTTTGTATTTTTCTTCTTTAAAACTCAGTTTGTGTGTTCTTCTTTACAGTATTCTAAATATCCTGTCATCTTCATAGCCATAAAGTATAAAAATACATCTAGGCCAACCACAGTGGCTCATGCCTGTAGTTCCAGTGCTTTGGGAGGCCAAGGCACCGGAGTTCTGAGACCAGCCTGGGCTATAGCAAGACTCTATCTACAAAAAATTTTAAAAATTTGCCAGGAATGGTGGCCCACACTCATTGTCCTAACTACTCAGGAGGCTGAGGCAAGAGGATCACTTGAGTCCAAGAGTTCAAGGCTGCCATGAGCTATGATCATGCCAGGACACTCCAGCCTGGCGACAAAGTGAGACCCTGTCTCTAACTTTAAAAATAAATAAATAATAACATCTAGGAAACCTGGAGCTATGGGTCTTTTGTCTATCATATATGAGTGTGTTTACTTACAAATAAATAAGGTGCTGATGTGAGATATGAATCCCATTTACTCCTCCTACTACAAGACTCCAGTCCTCCTGTTCATCAGTCTCACCTTCTCTTTTGGATTGATCATATCAACAAACATGCTTTGGTAGATCCCATCTTAAAAACAAAACAAAAAACATAAAAGCAGCCATTGACTCAACCCTTCCCTAGCCCTGTCTCTCTTCCCCTTTAGTTGTAGCCCCATATCATCTTCTTATGAGAGAACCACTTCCTCACTTTCCATTCACTCTTTAGCCCACTGCAGTATGACTTTCTTCCCTTCTACTCTGATGGAACTGCCCCCCGTCATGGAGTGACATGTTGCCAAATTTAGTAGGTACTTTTCTGCCCTCATCTTACTTGAATTCCTCAGTGGCACTTGATGCAATTGACCAATCCCTTCTTAATGAAACACTTTCCTCTTGGCTTTGGGGACAACATTCTCTTCTGATTTTCCTTTATGTCTTCCCGGTCTCAATAAATATTACCTCTGTCCACTGAGTTGCTCAAGCATAAATGGGGGAAGCATTCTTGATTCCTCACATTTTCTTAATCATCACATCCAAACAATTGGGGAATCCTGTCAATTTTACCTCCAAAAATACAACCTAAATTCATTTGTTCTTCCTAACCTGTACTCCTACCTCTCTAAGCCCTCACCACCTTCACTTCTTATCTGAGCTACTGTAATAGTTTCCTTACTGGTCTTCTTCCTTCTATTCTTGTATCTTTAGAATCCATATTGTACACAGGATTCAGAATGACATTTTAAATGTTATACATATCATTTAAATCATTTAATGATTTTTCGTTGTACTTAGAATAAAATCCAAACTGTTTGCTCAGTTGTAAGCCCTTATGTGATCTGACCACTACCTACCTTTCCAGCATTATCTCAGACCTTTTTTCCCCGGCACACTTTGCTCTAATTGTAATACCTAGACTACACCAAGGCATTTGCAGTTGTTCTTTCCTATGTCTGAAATCTCGCAGTTATTTTTTGCCGTTCTTTCTAAAATAGGTCTCCTCTCTTCCCGTTATTCTTTACTGTATGCCCTTTTTATTTTAATTTTTAAATTTTTTATTAATATTTTTGATTGAAAAATAATAATTGTATACATTTGGGAGTATAGTGTTGTGTTTTGATATGTATATACAATGTGGAATGATTAAATCAAGCTAATTAACATATCCATCCCTAACTCACCTATCATTTTTTAAAGATGAGACATTTGAAATGTACTCTTATTTTGAAATATACAATACATTATTATTGGCTAAAGTCACCATTGTGTAATAGATCTCAAAACCTATTCTTCCTGTCTTATCTGAAACTTTATACCCCCTGTTTATTTTTCATAGGACCTATCACATGCTATAATTATTTTATGTATTTTGTTTACTTGTTTATTGCCTTTCTCTCCTATTAGACTGTCAATTCCATGAAGGCTAGAGCCATATCTGCCTATTCAGCAGACTGTTTTCAGTGTTTGAAACACTACTTGCACAAAACAGGCATCCATAGATATTTCTTAAAGAAATTATAACACAGTAAATTTTTTCCTCCCAAAAGGATTCTGATTCCTCAGTGTTTAGTGCTAACTTGATTCTAAAAGGTATTATGTAACTACTGGTTTGTACATGTTTAGAAAAATAATCATACAATTGTGTTGTTTATTTTCCCCATGGATTCCCAACAATTTCGGAGCTTTATACTCTCCATATGGCCAAAAGAACTGAGTTTCTTGGGATTAAAATTTACTTTTTAAAAAATCTTTGTTTCTGTAGTTAGGTTATTTTATAGGCAAGCTTATTCAGATTAAGTACACATAGAAAGACAGAAGGCCTATGCCCTAAGCGTTTTGCTGGCCCTTCACATGGTTATTTAATCCACATGGGAACCTTGAATGACAGTTGTGCTCTCCTCCCCACCTTTTTTTAGTGAGGAAGTAAACTAGAAAATAACTGAATAACTTGCCAGAATCAAAGTGAGCTGAACTTGATTCTTCTGACTTCAGGTCCAAACAACTTCCGTTTGCCATATTGCCTCCTTTTTGACAATCCATTATCTTGCGTCAAACAGAAATTTTTACTGTAATAATTAGTGTAGTCATTTAGTCAGAAGACATTTAAGCAGTAATATTCCAGAAATAATATTGATGTAATTAAACTGCAAGACATTTAGTTTTTTCCCCAAAATACCATCTTATTTTAATTTATAATTGAATCAGGTAATAATAGTAGGCATTATCAGTAGATTTAATATCTAAAAGGACTTAATATAACTAATATTATGTTAAGAAAAAAGTTACAGAAAAGTTTGATGCTAATTCTATAGGAAAAACTACTATGTACAAGAAGAATATTGAAGTATACCAAAATGATCATTATGATTATAGGTAATCTCCTTTACAATTATTATTTTGTCTATTTTCATGCATTTCCTGACATTTATAATGAGTATTTATTGCTAAAAATGTAAAATAATTTCTTCATCCTGACTGTATCCCCGAGTGGTAACAGTTTCTTAAGTGTACTACCAGACTTAAGCAAACATATATGTATATTGAATTTTTAATGCAAAAGTAAGATCATGTCATATATTGTATTCTATATTTTTTCAACTTAACAATATATCATGAACATCTCTCCTAAGTCAGAACATACAATCTACATATTTTAAACATTTACCTATTGCTAAACTTCTAAGTAATTTATATATTTTTACCTTTAAAAACAAGGCTGCAGTGAATATTTGTCTGATATATATCTTCTTTATCCAATTGTGCCATTATTGTAGTTAAAAATACAGATTCTAGAGCCAGACTGAGTTCATATCTTTGCCTGATGGCTGACTTACTATGTGACCTTGAGCAGATTATTTAAACTCTCTGCCTCAGTCTCTTCTTAAAATGAAGTTAACAGTCCCTACCTCATAAGGTTATAGTGATCCTTAATGAGTTAATATATGTATAAGCTTTGACCAGTGCCTGGCTCATTTTCAACATTAGCTAATTGTCTGCTGCTATAATCATGATTATTACTTCGTAGTCGTCATTATTGCATTGTTTACACATTTTAAAAGTATAGTTCCTATATGTCTTTAGAAATTGATTTGATGGGCCATAAGATTTTAAACTTTGTCAGATGCTCTTAAGCTGTCCGGAAAGATTATATTGATTTACTTTTATTTCATTAGTATATTAGAGAATCTTTTTCTCCACATTCTTGCTAGCATTGAATATTATCAGTGTTATTATTTACCCAGTTTGGACAAATAAATGGTACCTTGTTTATTTCTCTGATTATCGTGTAAATTGACTGTTCAGTTGTGCATTTTCTATGAAGTTTGTTTTCTTAATGCTTTCTAAGAGAACTTTGTGTATTTTTCCATATCCTAAGTTTTTTACTTATATGGTATTCAGAGTTATAACTTTTTTTCCTTTTTGTCTTCTGAATTTGTGACTTGCTAATACTATGATCACATGTCCCTGTATTTTTCTAGTTTTGTAGATTTTTTCAACCCATATTGGATTTGTTTTGTCTACTATTTTCACAATGTAAAGAGTAATACTTTCATACTCAAGTAAATACCTATATTACCTGGATGTTTATAACAGTACTATTTGTAATAGCCAAAAGGTGAAAACAACTCAAACGTTTATCAACTAATGAATGGGTAAACAAGATGTGAGATATACACACAATAGAATATTACTCAGCCATAAAAAGGAATGAACTACTAATACACACTATATATAATATGGATCAACCTCAGAAACATTATGCTAAGTGCGAGAAGCCAGACACAAAAGGTCACATTTGAATGATTCCATTTATATGAAAGATCCAAAACAGATAAAAGCCATAGAAACAGAACTCATATGCTGGACATTGCCTTAGCTGGCTACCTGGTTAGCAGGTTTAACCTACTCTGTTCTGCAGGAGCTGCTGGCTTCCTGTGATGCTCAGGCAAGAACAGCTGAATAAGGAGCGAGAAAACTAAAATGCCAAGAACTAGGGGCAGGGAAGAGAAGGAGTGACTGCTTAATGTTTATAGGACTTTCTTTTGGAGTGATGGAAATGTTTTTAAACTAGATAAAGGTGGTGATTGTACAACACTGAAAATGTTCTAGATGCTGCTGAATTGTACACCTTAAAGTGGTTTATTTTATGTTATGAGTTTTACCTGAATTTTTTTAAAATTATTTTTTGAGACAGAGTCTCACTGTGTTGCCCAGGCTGTAGCACAGTAGTGCGATCTCAGCTCACTGGAGCCTCCACCTCCCAGGTTCAAGCCATTCTCCTGCCTGAGCCTCCCAAGTAGCTGGGATTACAGGCGCCCACTGCCACACCTGGCTAATTTTTGTATTTTTAGTAGAGACAGGGTTTCACCGTGTTGACCATGCTGGTCTTGAACTCGTGACCTCAAGTGATCCACCCACCTCGGCCTCCCAAAGTGCTGGGATTACAGGCGTGAGCCACCATGCCTGGCCCCCTTGAATTTTTAAAAACATCAATGCTTTCTTTAAAACTTATATTTGTACCTTCTACTTTGACCCTGGTTGACTTCTGGATTATTTTGCCTATGCTGGTGATTTTACATGGCCTGCTGTGTGATTATATTAAGTCATATGTTTAACTACTTTTAAAAATTTATGTTCTGAAGGTGAAATGTATATTTCAGCTGAGTTTTAATTTAGTTAATGATCTGGACAGTGTATATTTCTATAACTTCTTAATTTAGTCTTTTCCTTCAAATAATTAAACTATAAATGGGTAAAATCCACCTCTTATTTCCATCATTCAACAAAACTGAGTGACTGCTAGACACTGTTTTAGATGCTTGGAGGAACAAAGATAAGTGACTACACTCTAGGTGTTTACGTTCCAACAGGGAGAGAGAAACACACAAATAAGTTTAAAAGTAAGTGAACATGTAATTTTGGAGAGTGGGAACTGCTATAAAGAGATTTCTTAAATGAGGTATTTATGTGATGGCTAGGAAGAGTGTGTGTTCAATGTATTTAAACACCAAAGGGAGAACAGAAACATTAGCGAGTATTAGACCTAGGTTGGGGTCAGATTCTGTAGGAGCAGGACTGTGTGACTACATCTGAGTGTATGGAGGGAAAAGTGGGCAATATGCTGCTATGAAAGCCCATCTAAAGAATCATCCTTCCCTTCCCCACTCTTAGTCTATATAACTTAAAAAGGCTCAACGTTCTTTTTCTGGCAAGAAACTCATGCTGGACATTGCTGGCTACATTAGTTAGCAGGTTTAACCTGCTCTTCTCTGCAGAAGCTGCTGGGTTTCTGTTATTTCAGAGTACAGCTCAGGGTAGCCTAGGTCTTGATGCCCAGGCAAGAACTGCTGAATAAGGAGAGAGGAAGCTGAAATGAAGGGAAAGGTCAAAGAATCCTAAAAACTTTCCTGGCTATTTTTTCCACCCTCCCTCCCAAGCTAAGCTCATGGATCAGCTAATGAGAGATTGCTGTTAAAGGGAATTAGAAATATCCTTTCTCCCTGAACATCTAAACATCTTTTAAACTTTTAACAGTTACAGTTACTTTTGGGTAAATAAGTGCCTATTCTTTTTTTTTTTTCTTTTAACAATAAACATGTTTTACCAATAGGGAGGGGAGGCTATTTTCCTTGTGAAAAAAATAAAAACAAATACTTTCATAACTTCTTTATGTGACAGCCTTTCTGAAATAATTTTTGAAGAGAACTATTTTATGATAATATCAAGGTAGTGCAGTTTGTATAATAGGCTGTTTCACAATCTTTCAATGGTCTTTTGGTAGCAGTAGTATGCACTAATGCAAAAGAGGTAATTTTATTCACGTTTCTTTTTAATTTAGTTTTCTTTTTCTTTCTTTATGTCAGTACTGACTGCTTTGAAGGTTATTGCTGGTTTGTTTAGTCTGAAAATGGAAGCAGTTTATCTTTGCAACAGGAAAGAGAAAGGTACTTTCATTTTAATCTGTCTTGCAGAAGAAAAGTAGTGCCCACTTGGGACTGAGCAATGTGTTGAAATGCTTCACATGACCTAATTACAGTTCTGTTGTGAAGATTCAGAGTGGATATATGTTCATGAAGGCAGTATGTCTTTGTCCTTTAAGAATTATTTTTCTTCCACTGTTACCTATTGAAGTTTAAAACTGCGTGCATTTTAAAAAACTGGATCTATGCAGATTGTTTCATATTATCCCTTCTTTCTTAATTTACCTAAAATTAAATCTTCACATATATCATGTCAGAACTGCAAGCAAAGCTAATTTTCCCCTATAAGTTACTTGCACTGTCATTCTCTCGATAACACTAATCTGGAGAATCATGATTAAATTCACCATTTTCTCTCTCCCTATTTGGTTCAACGTAAATGAAGTCGAATGATGGATAACCTGAAAAAGAACATTTAGGATATAAGACCAGGAAATACACAGTTGCCACCATTAGAAATATCAAGAAATATTCACTGTCATTTCTGAGGCAAGGAGAGGTACCCAGAATCCCAAGTCTGGATTTGGAATACATTTTCTAGAAGCAATGTATGACTTCTGTACTAGAATGAGTAGTACTAATTTAACCATTAAAGAGTTTATTAGGTTTTTGTAGGAGAACTCATGTTTCATAAATTAGCTTAAAAGCAAATTGTATGTAATAGTTTGGGGCTTTTCTAAAGATAATTTGGATTAAATTGCAGTGCCTCTTTCTCTCTTATTTAATAGTATTCCTGTATAGAAAAGTTTTGGTTAACTTTCCTTTAAAAAAAAAAAATGAGGTCTTACTATGTTGCCCAGGCTAGACTGCAGTGGCTATTCACCGGCATGTTTATAGCACACTACAGCATCAAACTCCTGGGCTCAAGTGATCCTCCTACTTCTCAGCCTCCCTAGTAGCTGAGACTATGGGCATTCACCAAGTTCTGCTCCATTTCTTTTACATTGATAGAATACCCAAAACTGTGCCTAAATGAACATACATATTCATACCCAGTTGATTTGCAGAAAGAACAGACTGGACAATAATACCCAAGAACTTGAATAATGATTATTGCTTAATGGTGGAATTATAGGTTTTTATTTCTAATACTTTTTGTATAATCCAAAATTTTAAAACTGTAAGATAAGATGGTCTTGCCATTATACTATGATATTTTATTTTTAGAATGATAAGGTACATGAGTCCCAGTATCTGCTTTGCAGCATGAAAGAGACTTGTGAAAAGGCAGTTTGAAGTCCATGATAGTGGAGCATTAAAAAAGCCTTTTGAACTTTAATAACCAAATTTAAATAGGAAGATTTTAAATGATAATCATGTACAGTCATCCCTCAGTATCCTTGGGGATTGGTTTCAGGACCCTTGTGGATACCAAAACCCACAGATACTCAAGTCCCTTATGTAAAATGGGGTATAGTATTTGCATATAACCTATGCATATCCTCCCATATACTTTAAATCATCTCTAGGTTAGTTATTAACTAGTACAATGCAAATAATATGTAATTAGTTGTTATACTGTGTTATTTAAGGAATAATGACAAGAAGAAAAGTCTGTGCATGTTTAGTATAGACACAACCTTTTTTTTTTTCCCAAATGTTTTCAATCTACAGTTGATCCAATCCGTGGAATGTGGAACCGTGGATACATTGGACTGACTATATATTGTTTATAGGCATTTTGATAACTTCCTATGAGTATAATGCCCATTTAACTTTATTTTTTTTCTTTTCAAAGCCATATGAAGGATTAAGGCCTCAGGATCTTCGTAGACTAAAAGATATGCTTATTGTGGAAACTGCAGACATGCTTCAGGCTCCTCTCTTTACTGCTGAAGCTTTACTTCGAGCTCATGGTAATGAAAGAAATGTCTTATGCTTCTAAGAACATGAGTAACTTTTGAAACTTCTGAGTTTTTAAAAGGGCTATTTTTGTATTTGAATACAGAACAAAATGGTTTGTTAAAAAAGCCTAAGTTGTGTTTTGTGCAGTTGTTACTTCTATACTCAGTTCCTCATAACATCTTGTATTTTGAAGTATAAATTGGCATATATCTAAGAGGAGACACTGGAAAATTCTTTTTAGAAATTGAGCTACTAAAGCAAATTATAGAATGTCTAATTTTAGAAATATGTCTAATTTGAGTGAGATTGAGCATTGAAATCCATAGTCCTAGCCCTGGTTTTGACATTAATTTTTGCTGAAGTCATTCAAGTATAAAATTATGGTAGTTCAATTAAATACCTAAGAATTGTGCTATTAGTATTGTCAGTTGTATTTATTTTATATGGTAGCTATTTCTCCCCATGAAGTGCACAAAGTGAAGTTAAAGGGTCACCTTGGAAATATATTGTCCCTTTTAAGGGTGGTTTTCTTGTTTCTTTGTTTTGTTTTGTTTTTTAGACATAACTAACTTTATATAAGAAAATTTTCCTAAGTGCTCAGTTTAAGTTCCCTATAATCCTTATGACAGGCATTCTGGGAGCTCTCACATGCTGGATTGGATCTTCTCATTGCCCACATGATATATGACATTTTGGCTGGTTTCATAGAAAAGTATTTTCTGGTTTAAAAATATTCTTAAAAAGATAAAGGTAAATGCAGGATTTAAAAAATAAAAACTAAAAACACATTTAAAAAGAAAAGTAAATGGCTATTCTATTCCAGTCATTTTGAGGCCCTAGCTGGCTATTTTAACTATAAATCTTTATGATCTATACTAAAATAGAATGCCATCTTCCAAAATTTTTATATAATCTTTTGATCAGAAGAAAATGTAAAACTCCCTATTTTATCATTCATTGATCACCACTGTTAATAATGTGGTATACAACTCTCCAGAATCACTACCAAAAAAACATATATATGGAATATATATATTATATATAAAACATATAATATATATATACACACACACAAACACACTTTTTTTTTTTTTTTGGGACAGAGTCTTGCTCTGTTGCCCAGGCTGGAGTGCAGTGGTGTGATCTTGGCTCACTACAACCTCTGCCTTCCAGGTTCAAGCAATTCTCATGCCTCAGCCTCCTGAGTAGCTGGGATTACAGGTGCACACCACCACACCCGGCTAATTTTTGTATTTTTAGTAGAGACAAGGTTCCATCATGTTGGCCAGGCTGGTCTCTAACTCCCAATCTAGGTGATCCACCCCCTCGCCCTCCCAGAGTGCTGGGATTACAGGCGTGAGTCACCGCACCCAGCCTACCTTCAATATCGATGTTTCTGACAGTCTACAACTGCCATTCTTTTCCCACCTTATATACCTGTAGCTCTTAAATTTTAATATAAATAAGAATTGCCTGGGAAACTAAATGGAGATTCCTAGGAATAACCCCAGAGAATCTAAGTCATTAGGTCTAGTGTAAGGCCCAAAAATATGTGTTGTGAACAAGTCTACCAAGTGGACCATTCTCTGAGAAACATTGCTGTGCATATTTATCTCATAAAATCAGTAGCTTCAAAAACCACCTAAACAATAAAGATTATGTCTACATTCTGACTTTAATCAAGTATTCTACTGTATTTCTAAAAGCCTATTATTTCTCACAATCTATGGATGATCACAGCTGGACTCATCATTTCTCCCATTGTATTGATTAGTGGGCAGCAATATTCACCTAATTTTCCTAGCCAGAAACTTGAAAGTCATATTTTAGTCCTCTGTCTCTCTTATATTTGACCACAGTCCCATTATTTCTCTTTCTAATTATCTTTCAGCCTCCCTTCACTCTCCCTAGCTCTTTCAATTCCACTGCCACTGACTTAAGGCTGTCATTACTTTTCATCTAAATTGAAGTACCCAGAGTCCTAGTCTCCAGTTTTACCATTCTTCTTTCACCCAACTAATTTCTCATACTGCCACTATTGTGTTCTTTTAAAATGGAAACCTGAGCATGTCATTCCCCTGCTGAAAACCCTTCAGTGGCTTGCTACAGACTTAAAATCATCCAAAATTTTTGGTAGACTTTATGACATAATCTTTACCTAGACTGTCAGTCTTCCCATTTCTTTCCCTTTACCAATCCGAATTGTCCTTAGACATCATTTCTTCTAGGAAACCTTTCCTGAGTGTGTCTTCCGAAGTCTCAGTTGGGACCCATATAATGGGTCTATTCCTATTTTATTCCATGCATATATGTGTCATACACTTAGAATGGAATATTACAATATTGTAATTACAATCTCTTTATTTGCTTCTTTTCCTTTATATTAACCTTGAAGCTACTTGAAATGGCAGCTTTTAATTTTTATTGTTAGGTATTGTTTCCGTAATACCTAATATATATTAATCACTCAGAAAACAGTTTTGTAATGAATAGATAATAAGCCAAAAATGTTTTTTTATATTTTTTGAAAATCAATGTTTTTGTTGTAAAATTACATTTTTTATTGCCATGTTTATAAACTTCAAAGTAAATTCTATAGAAAAAAATTTAGACCTGAGTAAAAAAATTAAATTTAGAAATTCTGAATAGTTTTTAAAAACAAAATATTTTTGGCCGGGCGCAGTGGCTCATGCCTGTAATCACAGCACTTTGGGAGGCCGAGGTGGGCGGATCATGAGGTCAGGAGATCGAGACTATCCTGGCTAACATGCTGAAACCCCGTCTCTACTAAAAATACAAAAAATTAGCAGGGCGTGGTGGTGGGCGCCTGTAGTCCCAGCTACTTAGGAGGCTGAGGCAGGAGAATGGCGTGAACCCGGGAGGTGGAGCTTGCAGTGAGTGGAGATTGTGCTACTGCACTCCAGCCTGGACGACAGAGCGAGACTCTGTCTCAAAACAAAAACAAAAACAAAAAACAAAATATTTTCTTTTTAGCCCATAATAATGCTTAATAGTCATAATGTAAAAAACTTATACAGAAACACAAAATACTTTAAATTGTGTTTCATTATGTTAGGGTTCATAGCACCAGAAGGTATACTCTGTCCATTGCTTGAGATTTTTAAAATGCAAGGTCTGCATTTAAATATAATGTAGAGCTGGCAGAAAAGTAGAAGCTGTTCATCAGTGGGGAGCCACTGCGTCATAGTTGTACTGGTTAGGGTAGGCTGCTGCTGAACAAAAATGTAGGATTAAATACAGTAAACGTTTCTTAATCATGTAATAGTCCAAAGCATTTCCATTTAGATTAGGTAGGATGTGGACTCTGGTCAGGGACTGTGACTGACTGGAACATTGCCATCTTAAACAACATCACTTCTTTTTTTTTTTTTTTTTTGAGGCAGTCTAACTCTGTCAACCCAGGCTGGAGTGCAGTAGCACAATCTTGGCTTACTGCAACCTCTGCCTCCTGGGTTCAAGCGATTCTCTTGCCTCAGCCTCCCGAGTAGCTGGGATTACAGGTGCACACCACCATGCCTGGCTAATTTTTGTATTTTTAGTAGAGATGGGGTTTCACCAGATGGGGTTTGGCCAGGCTGGTCTGGAACTCCTGACCTCAAGTGATCCGCCTGCCTCGGCCTCCCAGAGTGTTGGGATTACAGGCATGAGCCACCATGCCTGGCCAACAACATCACTTCTGAGGTTGTCCTGGGGATTATCTAGGCCTACTAGTTACAGTAGCCAGCTAGTCAGAAAGAGAAAAGAGCCTGAAGGAACAATTGTGGAAAGTTTTATGAGCCACTCCTGTAAGTGGCATATGTCACTCCTGTACGTATTTCATTCATTGACCAGAATTCAGTCACATGGCCACACCTCACTGTCACGTGGCCATACCTAACTGCAAACAAAAAAAAGTGTCTACACTACAGCATTTTTGTGTACAGATAGCCATCTTTGCCAAAAGTCTCTACATTCAGCCAAATCATATAGTGTTCATAACTCTTAAGCTATAGTATCATATAGAATCTAACAACCTATAATTTCACCATAATTAAAAGAAACATTTTTATCCCTATTTTTTACACATCGTATCGTTAAATATTATTAAATGATCAACTCCGTTTTTACTCCATTGATATTTCCCTAAATTACTTGTTTTACAATAAGATGAAACCCAACTGAATTTTCGTGCTTGGCATTGATAACTTACTAAAAGCATTGTTCTGTATTTCATTCCCCTATTAGGGCATAAAATAGAGGATAATTCAGGTTTTTAAGTGAGCATCTCTTCTCTGTTGTTTAGGTGGTATCAATGACATTTGATAAGCAAATAAGATTTACAGAGATAAGTGATGCTTGTGAGTTAGTGCACATAACTACAGTTTACTATAATTGCTCTTAAAGCCAGGACAGGCTGTGTTTTAGAGCTATTAAACTGAACCATTAGGAAGATTTATAGATTGTATCCTTGAAAACATTCATTCATTTTTATACAGGAAAATAGTTTTGAGTATTATACTGTGTTATCAAATATAATCCCAAGGTAATGAAGTTGATGTAGATTAAGCAGACGGCATAAATATTTAGCAGTATTTATTAAATGGAGTTGAATTTTAAGAAGGACTATGTTAGGAATACAAAGGTCATTTTCTGAGTATTTCCCCAGTAATAAAAGTAACTTATGTAATTGAATATTACCTAATGAAAAAATGAATATAATTTACAAAATATGTGACAGGCTAATTTGCTTGTGCTTAGAATAAAATTATATTGAAGCATTATTTTTAACTCCTTTGGAGGTTCATCATCTTCCAAGCAATTAAACATTCCTGTTCCCACATCTTCTCTTCTCATTCTGTTCTCTTCCTGGGAAATGTTACCTTCTCCCAAGACTTTTGGAAATAATACATTTCTCCCCCCTGGACTAGACCTCTCTTCTGAGCTCCATATTTCATACTGTATGTAATTGCCTATGTGAAAATCCTTCCAGTCTATCTCAAAGCTACCTTAAACTCATCGTGTTTAAAACTAAGATCATGTTCTTGGAACTGAACCTGGTTCTCTGGTGTTCCCTAACTCCATAGATGGCAGCACCAGCCAACCAACTGGGTATTCGAGGCAGAAACCTGGAACACCAACTTCGACATTTCCTCTCCCATCCTGTCATCACTTAATTGTCAGTTTCACCTCCCCAATCTTAAACTTCTCCCTTTTTCTTCATTTCCACTAGCTGCTATCACCTCTCAACTACACTACAGAAGAAAGTCAGAATAATCTTATCAAATCTAATCATGACAACCTATTCTTCCTATCTCTAGTCCCGATTTTTCATTGACTGCCTATCACTCCTAAACTGAAAATGGAAGTGTTTATTTTTTTAAAATCCTGCATGACTGAGCCCCTGCCTGTTTCTCTAGCCTTATCTCATACAGTGCTTCCCCTCTAGTCCCATGCTATAGCTACACTGACCTTTTTAATTTCACAAGGGTGTTACCCTCCCTCCTGCCACAGGCCTTTGAACATGCTGTATTCTATCTTTCTAGAATGTCTTTCCCTTCCCCTTTTATCTGGTTAACTCCCACTCATCTTTAGATGTCCACTCCATGCCATTTCCCTAGGGATGCCCTCTCTGACCTCCCTGACTCCGGTTTTCTACCTCTCTTTATGGTGTTTCTGACAGTGGTGATTTTTTGGTGGTGTTTACGTGTTTATTTTACTCATGTCTTTCTCCTTACTAGACTGTAAGTTCCATGGAGACAGGAAAGGAATTATGTCTGGTTTTTCCTATCATTGTATGCCCGCTACCTGACATAGTGGATGGGACATAAAAGGTATTCAATAAATATTTGCTAAGGAGTCAGATGTGATAGAATCAAACAAATTTTGCTGAAAAATATGGTAGAAAAGACTAAAATGTAGCATATTTAATGTCTATCTGTCTTAGTTATATTAGTTGTTTTTACTTTTATTAAAAAGTAGCATAATGGAAATTTTTGAAAAATAATACTATCCTAAGAAAGTTGTTTTTACTTTATATGCCTCACATTTTTTATATGTGACACATTTTAACACAGTAACCAATTTATTCTTATTAAAGGTCTTCACATAACATGCTAAACATTTTTCAACAGTTATTATAATGACCACTTTTAATGACTATATGTAAGAAAATTGTTTGGATGTGCTAAGCTAAAGCAAATCTGGGAGATGGCACTCATTCTTGCATTCATTTGTGATTACTTTATTCCAAGGATAAATTTTTAAGAGGTAATAGTACTTAATGCTGTTATTATTGAATTCCTTATGTGTTGTAATGCATTACAGAGACTTAAAACAGTTAGAATCAAAATGGGTATAATTATCCTGTATTTTGCTCAGTTAAATAAGTAACATATAATTATCCTGTACTTTGCTCAGTTAAGTAACATCTGGAATTTGAATTCAAGAATTCCTGATTCCAAGGGATAATCTTTGTACTATGTCCCATTGCTAACATTTTGAATGGCAGCAATGAGAAAATTTGAGGAACCATATGGGACATGCATTCCAGATGTAGTATACTATCAGACAGATTCTAGAAAATTATCTTACAAAGAATTGTTTCCTGATTTAGGTATGAAGAAATATTTTTGAAAATAATTTTCAAATAGTAAAATAAATTAAGAGAAGAACAAAGTAAAATAAATAAAAATGAACTTTTCTGTAGTTGTCATTTTCAAACTAAAAATGGCTCTCATGATTTTTATATGACTCTAAAAGTAATAAATATCTATGTGAATGAAAATCCAATAGGGCACAGAGAAAACGTTTATAACAATAGTATGCTTAATCTACATATGATATTTTATAATATACTTTTAAAAATTAATGCATGATATAAAGCTTTTCATATCAATAGCTATATGACTACATAATCTCATTATATAAACATACCATACTCTGTTGCTGTTTGCACCATTTTTTTCTTTTTGCTGTTGTAAACAGTGCTGTGATTAGCATCCTTCAAATATGCCCTTGTGTGCCTATCCATTAATTTACTTAGGGTGAATTTTTAGCAGTAAAATTACAAGTTCAAACAATATGCTCTTAATTAAAACTGTACATTTCTTATTTAAAGTAAAGTCCAATGTATTTTCATGTTTCCTGGACATTTGTATTTCTTTTTGTGATTTGTCATTCATATCTTTTTTACTTTTTTTTCTATTGAGGCCAAAAGTTTGTATGTTGTATTTTCTTTATCATTCATTTTAAAATATTTTAAAATTTCTCTTTCTCCATTGCCTCATCTGTTATTTAGAATAATATAGTCTAATTTTCAAATATTTGAGATTTTTCTGGATGTTTTATTGTTTTCACTTCAGTTTTACTGGTTAAGATTTCAGTCTTTTGAAATTTGTTGAGGCTTGTTTAAGCATGTAGTCTGTCTTGATGACTATATCATGTGCATTTGACAAGGATGTAATTGTGAAGTTGTTCATCATAGTGTTCTATAAATGTTAATTAAGGTCAGTAGTGTTCTTTAAATTGTACTTGTTTTTACTAATAAAAATTAAAGACTAGTTCCATCAGTTGATGAGAGAGGGATGTTAAAATTTCTATTTATGAATGTGGATTTGTATATAGCTCCTCCTTAATGGTGTCAATTTGCTTAATCTATTTTGAAACTCTCATATTAGGCTCATATACATTTATAATTATGTCTTTCTGACTCTTTTCTCACCATGAAATGTCCCTTATCTTTTTTTACTATTTTTTCTTTATCTGATACTAATATAGCACTTTGGCTTTTTTATGCTATTTGAATATCTTGTAAATAGCATTTGGTTCAGTTCTTTATCCATTCTGATGGACTGTTTAGTCCATTTACATTTAATGTAATATTGTTGTGGTTGGATTTAGGTCTTCCATTTCACTGTTTGTTTGTTTTCTGTTTGTCTCTTTATTTTTTGTTCTCTGTTCCTCCTTCTCTGCTGTATTTTGAATTAGTTGAATAATCTTGGCATTTGGTTTTAATTATCTGTTGGGTTTTTAGCTAATTCTTCTTTGCATTTTATTCTTTAACATGCTGCTTTCTGGGCTGTTGTATATATTCTTATCATTTTATAGTCTATTTAGCATTAGTGTAGTACCACTTCCCATAAAATGTAAGAATCTTGCAACTATGTATGTACATTGCCCCATCCCTTATGCTATCATTATTATAGTACATAATCATAAATATCACAATGCAGTGTCATAATTTTTGCTTTAATCAGCCATATGTATTTTAAATAAACTATCTTTTTTCTCTGTTCTTCAGATTGGATCATTTCTGTCTCCAAGTTCACCAAATTTTCCCTCTGATCTCTTTTTTATCTCCTCTAAACTGCTGTTAAGCCAACACAGTAAAAATTTTTTTTTTTAGAATTGTTTTTCAGTTCTAGAATTTACACTCGGTTCTTTTTTATGGCTTTCATTTATTTACTTAGTTTTCCTGGCCTTTTGTACTTTACAAACTATTTTTCTTTATGTTCTTGATCATAAAGTTATTTAAATCCATGGTGATTACTAATTCCAATATATGGATTACCTCAAGGTTGGTGTCCACTGTTGCATTTTCTGACATTTTCCAGTTTTTCCACATGTCTAGTAATTTGGAATTGGATCTTAGACAATTAGAGTATATTGCTGTAGGCATTATATGTAGGCTTCAGTTTGAGATTTGGAGAGTCTATATCCAGAATCTGTGCTTCCTGTGGCTCTCTCCTTTCTAGGATATCCTCCCTCATGTCCAAAGTGCTCTGGTCACCCTGAATCTAATCTCAGGTTCTTAAGCTAGTAAAATTTCAAGTTTCTGTCGTTGTGCCAAATGTTGTCTGCCCACAGAGAAAAACTTGTACAAATAGAAACTCAAACAGTGCTTTTTCATTTTGTCAGACATTAACTCCCCTCCAATTTCTGCCTGCTTTTGGTTGCTCTCTAGTGTCCTCAGATAGTTGTGGTTTATATTTTGTCCAATATTTGTAGCTGTTATCTGTAGGAGAGTTGGTCTGATAGTAGCTACTTTACCTTTATCAGAAGTAGAACTCTGTTATATTCAGTTTCCCTTATGGTTTTCTTAAGATTACCAGGAGGGCTATCCTATCATTTGTAAATAATGATAATTGTTCCTGCAGCTTTCCCATATCTTTTATCTGGTTTAATTACATTGGCTAGCACTCCTATGTAACATTATAAGTGATGCTTATTATTTTCTTGGCTTAAGTGGAAATTCATTCAGTCACCAATTCGTCCTTTACTGTGTACTAAGCAGTAAACTTTGAGAATTCCAAATGGAGAAGTTGTCTAGAGCTCAGAATCATTTAAGCAGGAAATAGATTGTTGCAATGCATCAGTGAATAGATAATTGAAATTCTGAGAATGGCTTTTGTGTTTTAAATTAAGAATTAGGCTATTGGTTTGAAAGAGATTCTGTTTATCGTGTTAAAACAGTATCTTTTTCTTACTATTTAAGAGCTCTCTTTTTAAAAATTCAGGAGTAATTTTTTAGATTGTCTTACTTTTTCCAGATCTTTTTTAAAAATGATAATACTGATTTTCTTCTTTGATACATTGGTATTATAAATTTCTTTCCTAATGTTCAGCTGTTCTTATATTCCAGGAATAAGGCATACTTGGGCTTGGGGTATATGTTATGCATATTTCATTTCCTATTAATGACATTTTATGTATATTTTGACATTATAATACAGTAAATGCTGTCTTAACCCACATCAACTTAACTTTCAGGATTCTCTTTGTCAAACAGACTGAATGCTTCTGTCTAGGGGGCTCCTTTTCAGAATTGCCATGCACCTGGCTTGAATTACATGCCAATTAACAAACCTGATTATCTCAGTTGTACACCTTGTTGTAATTACATAATATAATGGAATGGTACTGATAAAATATGAGTAAATAGTTATTTATTGAAATCTAAGTTGGAGGCTTTGGAAAGCCTTGATAAAGGCAAGTTCATTTTAAAATTTTTCTGACTAAATTATGCGTGAGTGAAATAACTGAAAAAAAGGGAGGAGATCATAAAAATCTAGGCCTTTACATTCATATTGCTATCTGAATGTGTTTTAAATCTTAATCTAAGAAAATAACAATGAGAAATGGATAATGTTTTGTGGGTGTAGTTTAGGCAAGAAATAGGAAATAGAAGGAGAACGATAAGTCAAAGAAAAGGGCTTGGCCCTACATAAAAAAGATTATTAAGGCTAGGTGTAGTGGCTCAGGTCTGTAATTTTAGCACTTGGGGAGCCAAGGCGAGAAGATCACCTGAGCTCAGGAGTTCCAGACATACTTGGGCAACATAGTGAGACCTTGTCTCTACAAAAAAATTAAAAAAAAAAAAAAATCTGGGCATGGTGGCATATGCCTGTAAGTCCCAGCTACTCAGGAGGCTGAGGTAGGAGGATCACTTGAACCCAGGAAGCCAAGGCTGCAGTGAGCCATTGATCGCCCCACTGCACTCTAGGCTGGGTGACAGAGCTAGACTTTGCCTCAAAAAAAAATAAAAATTAAAAAAAGATTAGGAAATTAATATATATGTTTTATTAAATGTTTGAGTTATGTGTATATAATTGTTTTTAATAATTCTGCATTTTACATGTCCAGTTATTTGTGCTGATAATGTCAAGATTTGCTTTATAAATAAGGTTAGGTTTTGGCATTTCAGGTTTTTATAATAGCTTTTTAAAAATATCTATGTGACTTGGCCGGGTGTGGTGGCTCATGCCTGTAATCCCAGCACTTTGGGAGGCCAAGGCGGGCAGATAACCTGAGGTCAGGAGTTCAAGACCAGCCTGGCCAACATGGTGAAACCCCATCTCTACTAAAAATACAAAAATTAGCTGGGCGTGGTGGTGGGCGCCTGTAGTCCCAGCTACTTGGGAGGCTGAGGCAGGAGAATTGCTTGAACCTGGGAGGCAGAGGTTGCAGTGAGCTGAGATCGCACCACTGCACTCCAGCCTGGGCGACAGAGTGAGACTCCATCTCAAAAAAAAAAAAAAAAAAAAAAATATATATATATATATATATATATATATATATATATATTTATATGAATCTTCCTTTTTTCTTTATGCTTATGCAAGGACACAAGAATTAATTTCTACTTGAATTTTCTTTTTTTTTTTTTTTTTTTGAGACTGAGTCTTGCTCTGTCACCTAGGCTAGAGTGTAGTGGCACTATCTCTGCTCACTGCAAGCTCCATCTCCTGGGTTCATGCCATTCTCCTGCCTCAGCCTCCCGAGTAGCTGGGACAACAGGCACCTGCCACCACGCCTGGCTAATTTTTTTGTATTTTTAGTAGCGATGGGGTTTCACTGTGTTAGCCAGGATGGTCTTGATCTCCTGACCTGGTGATCCGCCCGCCTTGGCCTCCCAAAGTGCTGGGATTACAGGCGTGAGCCACCGCACCTGGCCAAAAATTTTTTAAAGTTTGCTTATGAAACCATGTGAACCCTATACTTTTTAAATAAATAATTACTGTATTCTTCAGTTTCTCCCAATGTTATTAGTCTGCTTAGAATTACTACCTTTTCATGAGTTCTTCAGCTGTAATCATTTACAATTTCCTGGAATATTATCTACTTCAGTTAGATTTAAATAATAGGAGCATGTGGTTTTATATTCATTTGTTCGTTCAACAGATTTCTATTGAATATACACTTTGAACTAGGCACTAGGCTGAGTAATGGAGATAAAATCGATTGCAATATAGGTACAAGCTCTGCCCTTAAATAAGTTTACAGTTTGAAAGACATTGCATTTTGTCACAGTTCTTTTAATTTTCTCTCTACATATAGCTGTATCTTATTTTCAATTTCAATGTGTATACGCTGAGTTTTCCCGATTGCCTTGGTTTTTATTTTTAGTTCTTAGATTTTTGTCTTTTTTTCTTGCAGTTTATAGGTTGTCTATCATTTTTTCTATCAATAGTTTCTAACATTTAATTTCTACTTTGCCTTTATCACCTTCTTCCTTTTCTTGAGTTTGGTTGGTTGTAGGGTTTTTTTTTTTAATGATGGCTCAATTACATGTATTATCTTAATCAGAAAATTCTAGTTTTTTTGGTAAGTGTTTTCTTTACTTTTCCTTTGAAGTGTTTTTTCTCCCTTGGCCTTAAAGAACATTAATTTGTGTCTCAAATGGGACCATTCTCTTTATTTGGCCACTGAATTTTTTTTTAAATGATGGCTTTGTTTGTCCCAAGAAATCTTTTGTGCTAATCCTGATTCTCTGTAATCCAGCTGTCTTTCTGCAGCTGTTTCTCTGAACTCTGAGCCCAACCTTGGGTCTAAGTAAGACTACCTGTTCAGCTCTTCCTCAGTTTCCTGAGGGTCACAGAGATCAGGTGTGCTCATTCAGTTCCAGTGAAAGGAATTAGCCTTACCAGAAAAGAGAACACGCTGTAAGCCACTGTAATTCAGTCAGCATGGCACTTGTTCAAATCTAGACAAATAGACCATTGAAACAGAATAGTAAATCCAATTTACAGTATTTGGGAATATAATTTATGTAAAGATGACATTATAGATCAGTGGGGAAAGGATATATAATTCATTAAATGGCCCTAATATGACTGGCCATTGGAATACCAAGAAAAAAAAAGGATGAGGGATATAAAGTCAATTCATCAATTTGTCTAGGAGACTTACATGTAAATCTAAGGACAGAGAAAAACCTCTGAGTTTCTAAGACAAGAAAGCTAAAGAAGAGATAGACATATTAAAGTATACTGGATTTTTAAATTTTTGTTGTAAGTATACCATAAACAAAGTCAGGAAACATAATTTTGATTTGGAAACAATATTAGCTAATGTTTATTGTATACAAAAGCCTTCTTTAAATTGACAAGAAATTGGTAAATACCCCAGTGCCAAAATGGTGAAAAGATATGGATAGGTAATTCATAGAAGAGCACGTCCAAATGGCCAACAAACACATCAAACAATGTTTGAATACATCCATTGTGAAGAAAATGCAAATTAAAATAACAGTGAACTATAAGTTTATAAATGTTTAAAAGAACTGTAACACCCATTGCTGTAGAAGAAACTGGTAAGGTTCCTCATTGCTGACAGAAGTAAAAACTGTTATAACCTGCCAGGCTTGGTGGCTCATGCCTGTAATCCCAGCACTTTGTGAGGCCGAGGTGGGCAGATCACTTGAGGTCGGGAGTTTGAGACCAGCCTGGGCAACATGGTGAAACCCTGTCTCTACTAAAAAATATGTATAAAACTTAGCCTGGAGTGGTGGCACATGCCTGTAGTCCCAGCTATTTGGGAGGCTGAGGCACGAGAATCTCTTGAACCCAGGAGGCAGAGGCTGCAGTGAGCCAAGATCATGCCGTTGCACTCCAGCCTGGGTGACAAAGCGAGACCCTGTCTCAAAAAAAAAAAAAAAAAAATTTGTCATAACCTTTTTGGAAAGCCATCTAGCATTTTCTTTTAAAAACACAATGGGCCTTAGACTCATTAGTCTCATTCCAGGGAATTTATACCAAGGAAATACCAATATAAACATGAATATATACTTATAACTGCACTGATGCAGATTGCAACCTCGTTGTGGCAAAAAAAAAAAAACTGTAAACAAAGTAGGGGGATATTTGAATAAATCATGATACACAAATTGTTTCACACAGTGGATTAATATGTAGTCATTAAAAAGAAGGAAATAATGTTAAATAAGTTTACTTGGAGAGATTTTCCAGTTGATTAAGTGGGAAAAGGAGATAAAGTTTATATGATATTCTACCTATGTAAAATAATCACCAGAAAAACTCTGTATATACACAGATAGTCCCTGACTTAGGATGGTTTGACTTACAATTTTTTGACTTATAATGGTGCTAACTCAATATGCATTCAGTAGAAACCATACTACTCTTGAGATGCTGGGCGACAGTAGTGAGCCATAGCTCCTAGTTAACCACACATTTTCAACTTATCATATTTTCAGTTTACAGTGGATTTATCAGGACTTAACCCCATCGTAAGTCAAGGAGCATCTATATTTATATACGTACTTGTTTATTTTCCCTACCTGGAAATATACTCCTTCTATTTTCATTGCATGTCAAAGTCATATTTATCCTGTTAAACTGCCAAATACATCGGCTTAATATAGTTGAAAAAAAAAAACCTCGTGTAGAAAATTTCCAGTTATTTGTATTTAAGCTATAAAATTTTATAGAATGTGCCTACAGTGAATAATTTACCCTTTAGTCTTCTCAGAAATAGTGTGTGATCATGGGACGAACACAGCCTTTGGAATCACAGAAATTGGTTTCAAATCTCTGTGTGAGCTTGGACAAGTTATATAACTTCCTTCAGTCTTGATTTCTTCGCCTAAATAATAATTGAAAAGTTTGCTGGGAGGAATAAATGAAATTATGTAAAACACCTAGCAAAGTAATTGAATGTATTAGTTTGTTGTTTTTAAAGGGTTAGGTTTTTATGGCTCTAGACATTATAGTATGTTTTACTTGGCAATTTTTAAAATGTTCACAGTAGGAAGATAATTTTTTTTAGTTAAGCCAGGTTCAAGATCACTTAATATAGAATTTATACCTAATTCACTAAAACTTTATTTATAACTCTAATTTCTTCGGAAGTTTCTTCTGCTTTCAAGCTGTTTATTAAATGATTTTTAGGACCTGTAATTGGCATTTTGACATATCTATAGTGAACTATGTAATCATTTTACAACTTGATGCCAGTGAGGACAGTTAAAAAATTATATATACTTTTGGAAAGAGTAAAGAAGCTAAATTAAACCTATGCCAGCGAAAATGTAGTGAATTCCAAGAGTGATTTGTGAGTGACCTGTTTTGATTGTTAGTAGAAAGTACTGGAAATTTTGACCATACTGCTAGATCTTGACATGGTTGTAAGCCATGATCAATTATGAAAGCTTAAATTTTGTGTAAAAACGCTAATAACAAGAACATACCTAGACATTCATTTGCAGTTACTACTTTTATATACTTTTTTCTTTAGATGACCAAAATTTGTAATTCTCATATTTTTGTTATTATATAGCTTTTATAACATTACCATATTTTCTTTTTTGAGAGCTATCCATTCCATTTTTCTTTAAGACTGGGACAGGGAGAAATTACTTGAAGCTTGGATGTCCAACCCGGAGAACTGCTGCCAACGATCAGGTGTTCAAATGCCAACTCCACCACCAAGTGGGTATAATGCCTGGGACACGCTCCCATCTCCAAGAACTCCAAGGACTACACGCTCTTCTGTCACCTCCCCAGATGAAATCAGCTTATCTCCTGGGGATTTAGACACCAGTTTGGTATGGTTTGGTATTCACTGTACTTCTCATAGCTTTGTTTATAGTCTTTTAACATTCAAATGATTTAATATTGTTCCATGGAGTGTCTGGTTGTGTTCTTGTAATTGAATCCTATCCCTTTCTTGAAAGGTTCGGTTATTTCCATGCTTCAGTAAATATTTATTATTACAGAATGTTTTTGTGATCTCTGAATTATAGATTGAAAAAAAAAGGTTTTCTTTCCTCATTTCCAAACAGAGAACTTAAAACAGTTTAGGGAAACCATCTATTTTATTTTCCCTTAAAACTTCAGTTGCTTAATGATTTAAATACAGGCCAGGCACAGTAAGTAGCTCATGCCTATAATCCTAGCACTTTGGGAGGCCAAGGTGGGTGGATTGCCTGAGCTCAGGAGTTCAAGACTAGCCTGGGCAACATAGCCAGACCCCATCTCAAAATACATACACACATATATACATCATATTGAAATATAAAAAGATAAGTTTGTGATGGGCACTGTAAACCGAAAATACAAAAACATTTTTTATAATTTCTTGAAAGGTAATTTTTAAGCATTTACAATATATTGATAGTTATGTATTTGTTTCAGTAAAGCTTCTGGAGTTTGTTATCTAGATGCATTTCCAAAATAAGTGTTTTATTATTTTATGAAACAGTACTGCCATTGTCAGCATTTTTAACTGGCATATCATTGGTGTGCTACTATAGGAGATTTTAATATTTCTTGAATGACTCAGCCACTCAAAATATGTGATAAATATGAAAGTGCTTCTCATTTTATCTGTGCCTTTTTGGAAAACAGAATCCTGTAATTTGCATATGTAACGTGATAAATTTTGCTTCTAGAGAGCTATTGTTTAGAAGATACTAGGTAGGCGCAAAAGTGATTGCAGCTTTTGCTATTAAAATGGCATAGTTTTAATACATAGGTGGGTTTTTTGTTGTTGTTTTGTGTTTTTGGTTTTTTTTTTTTTTTTTTTTTTTTTTTTGAGACGGAGTTTCACTCTTGTTGCCGAGGCTGGAGTGTAATGGCATGACCTCGGCTCCCTGCAACCTCCACCTCCCAGATTCAGGTGATTCTCCTGCCTCAGCCTCCTGAGTAGCTGGGATTACAGACATGCACCACCACACCCAGCTAATTTTTGTATTTTTGGTAGAGACAGGGTTTCACCATGTTGGTCAGGCTGGTCTTGAACTCCTGACCTCAAGTGATCTGCCCACCTCGGCCTCGCAAAGTGCTGGGATTACAGGTGTGAGCCACCGCGCCCGGCCTAATACTTAGTTTTATAGCAGGGTTCTCTCCCTGGAAAGTGTGGATATCTTGAGTTGCTGCATTAAAAATACAAAGTTACTCTGTTTTCATAGATTTTGAAGGGTAGGTGTAATGTGAAGGGCATGATACTGAAGTGGTTTTTTGCAACATGTAATTTGATGTTGGCCCAAATGATTTGTTTCTTGTACTTCGTTTTCCAAACGCACAGTTGCTGATTAATACATAAATTTGGAATTTAAGGGTTTGATTTTTGCATTAAAACATTTAAATCCCACTTTTATTTATAGTGAGGTAGTCATGGTATTTGTTACTGAAAGGCACACTAACTGTCCTTAAAACTTTGAAAGAGGTAACTTTCAAAAACTTTTAATTACTGTACTAGTATTTTTGCCTTTTAAAAAAGTAAACAAAATGTATTGTTCTCTTTCAGAAGTACATTTCTGTTTAAATCATTGTTCTTCTTCATCTCCAGTGTGACATTTGTATGTGCAGTATCTCTGTATTTGAAGACCCTGTGGATATGCCCTGTGGACATGACTTTTGTAGAGGATGTTGGGAGTCGTGAGTATATGAGCACCTTAGCATCTCTTACTGCATGATAGCACTCTGATTTGTTAATAAAATTGTTTGCTTTCAGTATTTAATGATGCAAATTGTTTATATTGACTTCTGAGTTACACAGAAATGAATTTAGACTTTACTAGTAAGGAAAAATATTTTTGTTTTTATTTTTACGTCTTCCCCAGCTATTTTAATTAATGCTATTTAGCTTAATGTAAGGTACCTTTAGAAACAAAGCAGGTATACAAATAATTTTTCTTAGTATTTTAGTTTATATTACATCTAATGTAAATTTCAGGCAAGAATCAGTTTGTCTTATATCCCAGGAATCTTAAGCATTTGGTTTTGTGCTGTCTCAATTTTTTGTGACAACCAAGTTGCCTTGAAAATCTTTAAGAATATAGATGTTTAAAATTTCTTTTTAGTGAATGCAGAGTTAAATGTTTCAGCGAGACATAGTTGGGTATATTTTACCAATGGAAAATTTGTTTTGCTTCTTGTGTTTATCTCTATTTACCCTTCCCGTTACCTTTCAAGATTTATACTTTTTCACCATCCATTAACTTTGCTCTCATGTTGCACTTTTCGAGAGAAGTTTCTAAACAAAGATTGCTATAATGAGCACTGTAATGTCATGTTATCTCTGGAGACACACAAAGCTATTGTTTGATGACCTAAGTGAGATATGTCATTGGTATTTAAGAAAATCTTAGAAATCAGAAGTTTTTAACCTTTTTTTTTTTTAAATAGAGTATCAGTTAGCAAGTGTAGGGAGCTAGAGAATACTATGTGGGTAAGAGCGAGAACCTGAGCAGATTTTCTGAGTTTTTCTTTTTAAACAGCTTTGTTGAGGTACAGTTGACATACATAAAGCCACACATTTAAAATAAATAATTTGATAAGCTTTGATATCTATATACAAGCTTGAAACCATCACCACAACCCTTAGAATCTGTCATTCCCAGGTTTCCTCATTTCCCATTGAATCCCTGCTACTCTTCTCTTTCTGCCTTCCTTTTATCACCCCCAATTTGTAGGCAACTGCTGAGCTGTCGTTCTGATTTTTTTTTTTCTTTTTTGAGACAGGGTCTCACTCTGTCACCCAGGCTGAAGTGCAGTGGTGTGATCTCGGCTCACTGCAACGTCTTCCTTCCCGGGTTCAAGCGATTCTCATTGCCTCTGCCTTCCCAGTAAGCTGGGACTATAGGCACACACCACCACGCTCTGCTAATTTTTGTGTTTTTAGTAGAGATGGGGTTTTGCCATGTTGGTCAATCTGGTCTCGAACTCCTGACCTCAAGTGATCCACCCACCTCAGTCCCCCAACGTGTCTGGTTTGATTTTGAGTACATTTCTTTATCTGTTTTCCAAATTGGAGTAAGAGGCAAGATTTCATTTGGAGGGGGAAAAAAATACTGCTTTTTAAGTCAGAATATCTGGTTGTTCCTTTTAAGACATAGACTAGATTCTACTCAGAGTCTACTTAGATAGGATCAGATCAGTATAGCTGTTACAGGTATACTAATTGACAAAGGTCAGAGCTCACAATCCAAAGCTATCCTTAACGCAGTTGTGGAGGCAGAAAATACTTCCCAGGTACAACTTTATCTTAGTTGTTAACTGTACTTAATTAGGAAGTACTACCTGAGCTCTACCAAGTTAGCTGTTGGTCTTGGTGTGTATATGAAAATTGAGTCCCCCAGGGGATTTTCTTGAATTTTTTTGAGCTTCATTGACCTTCCTCACCTGACTTGTATCACAGGAACTATCTCCCAAACTCATCACAAACTAGCCATAAGAAATGTATGGTAAGATTTAAATTTGAAAGATCTAATTATTGGTTTCCTTAGTACCTTCTAGCCTACCTAGGATTCTCCTTTCCACCCCTTCCAATTTTGTCAAATCAAGCACCAATAAAAGAAGTTCCATGTTGGGTGATTCATGTGTTGATGAAATCATTTTTTAATTATCACAGTGTTTTTATAGGCACATAGAAAAAGAAACTCCTAAAACCAAGGAAGCATTTTTAAAGGTCCTCAGATAGTTTGAAAGCCCCTCAATCTATCTTATTCTTCCCAAACTTTTTATTAGTACAGCTAGATGCTTTAGTGCAAGCTTATCCAACAGTGGCCCACAGGCTGCATGTGGCCCAGGACAGCTTTGAATGTGGCCCAACACAAATTCATAAACTTTCTTAGAACATTATGAGTTTTTTTTTGTTTTGTTTTTTGTTTTGCTATTTTTGTTTTAAGCTCATCAGCTGTCATTATTGTTAGTGTATTTTTTGTGTAGCCCAAGACAGTTCTTCTTCCAGTGTGGCCCAGAAAAGCCAAAACATTGGACACCCCCTGCTTTAAAGTATTGATGCCAAGGGCTGAAATAAAAGGGAATAGCCAGGCATAGTGGCACATGTCTGTAGTCCTAGCTACTTGGGCAGCTGAGGCAGAAGGATCACTTGAGCCCAGGGGTTCAGGAGTTCAAGACTACAGTGAGCTATGATCACACCACTGCACTCCAGCCTGGGCAACAGAAGAAGACCCTGTCGATTGATTGATCGATCAATCGACAGATTAGATAGAAATTATTATTTTCTAGCCAGACTAGAATTTCTTTGCTAATATTGAGGATAAGAGCTCAAGTTCTGGATACAATAGGTCACTGGGCTGTGAATTCCAACTCTGCTATTTATTAGTTGTTGATTTAGGTAATTGGTAGCCTGCCTGTTCCTCAGTTTCCTAATCTATAAAGTGGTGATAATAGTATGTGCTTCCTAGGATTATCATCAGTTTTTTAAATTTCTTAACGTATGTAAAGTGCTTAAAACAGGATCTTGCATATAGTAATCGTTCAATAAATATTACTTATTATCATATTCCTAAGCATTGTAATAAGCAGAGAGAGCCTACCTATGATATCATCTGTGAATTTTACCTGCAAGATAAAAATATAGGTAAGGTTTGCCCCAGATTTCTCTCTTTTAGTGACACTTATCAACTCCATGTTCTGCTCATAAATTTTTATTAAATTGTGTCTTGATGAGAAATAATAATATGGCCAACAGAACTGATCCTGTCTTCAATGAGGTCTTCTCAGTTCTGTAATTTAATTCCCCAGAGATGATTAAATCTTCTCTGATATATTTAAAATATGTAAAATTCAAAACATCATCATGTAGTAACTATGTCTAAGCAAACTGTGAACTTTGACAAGGGACTATACAACTTCCCAGGGAATCTCTTCATAGCTAAAAAGAGGAGAATCTTGTTATGTGAAAAAGGAACTCTACAGTTAACAGTTCTCTACTTTTAGTCTTTAAGACTTTTTTTTTTTTTTTTTTGAGTTGGAGTCTCGCTCCGTCACCCAGGCAGGAGTGCAGTGGCACCATCTCAGCTCACTGTGACCTCTGCCTCCCGGGTTCAAGTGATTCTCCTGCCTCAACCTCCTGAGGAGCTGGGATTACAGACACCCGGCACCATGCCAAGCTAATTTTTGTATTTTTAGTAGAGATGAGGTTTCACCACGTTGGTCAGGCTGGTCTTGAACCCCTGACCTTGTGATCCGCCTACCTCGGCCTCCCAAAGCGCTAGGATTATAGGCGTGAGCCACCGTGCCAGGCCACAATATACCTTATATACCTTGTATATCGCTGCTTAGCACAGGAGTGAAAATGGCACTTGTGAAAAAATGGATAAGGATCTACCAGAGGTTGAAGAATGCCAAGGGAAAAAAAAAGTTAATTCCTGGACGCCAAAGAGAATTTGAAAGAAGGAAATGTTCACAGTGTCTCATGCTCTAGAGAAATCAAGGAAGATAAAAACTGAATTCTTTAATAAGTTGGGCTAATGGGTAGTCATTGTGGCCCAGTGAAGAGGTGATAGCAGCCAGATGCTACAGATTGAGAAGTGAATGAGATGGGCTTGAGGAAGGAATAACAGATCATCATAAACTATTTTGTCAAGAAACTTTGATGTGAAAGAAAAAGAAAATGGAAGAGAGTCATGTGGTTAGTAAGGGTTTTTAAAATGGGAAAAACTTGAGCATGTTTATTGTGCCCAAGGTAAGAGCCATTAGAAAGTAAAAGAGAGAAAGGATAGGTTATTGGATAGTGCAAGTCCCAGAGCTGGCCAGAGGATTTGAGGATTAGCCTGGGGTTTAAAGAGAAAGCTCTCCCTTTCACAGAAGTGAGTGGGAAGAAAGGAAAGAATGCTAAAGATACTGCTAGGTTTGAGGTGTGGTAGAGAGCACTTGGAGTGAGAGAACTGACTGTTGGGGATTCTCTTTTCTATGAATTGCCCAGACGAGGATATGAAAGAGAAGATGGAGCAAAGGGAACGGGCCTGCCAAGGTCTCAGTAAGGTTGTCGTTGCTGCTGTTGTTGTTGTTAAGTGCAGTGGAATTAAGAGAATGAGAGAACTAAAGAAAAAAGATACTATAGTTAGTGAAATAATCAAAATGTTGATGGTGAGGACTAAGCAGTTAGATTTAATTGCCTGGTTTTCCATTTATTTTCTCTAGATTTAAGTGTTAAATTCAATATACAGTAATCTGTACTTCAAAAGTTTGTTTCTTGCTTTTCTAAGGGCAGTACTAAATAATAATAACAATAATAATCCTTGCTAAAATTTATGAATTCTTACTCTATGTCATGCACCATGTAGATTTTTCACATATATAATCTGTTTAACAACCCTGGGAAGTTCATATTATTATCTCCATTTTACATATGGTGAAACTGAGGCTTAGAGCAGTTAAATAAATTGCTTAAGATCATATGGCTTGTTGGTGGCAGATCTGGAATTTTCTAACTCAGAACCCTGCTTTTAGCTGGACATGGTAGTACATGCGTGTAATCCCAGCTACTCACTCAGGAGGCTGAGGTGGGAGGATCACTTAATCCCAGGAGTTTGAGACCAACCTAGGCAAAGAGAGACCCCATCTTAAAAAAAAAAAAAAGAAAGAAAAGGAAAGAAAAAAAAGAACCCTGCTTTTAATCTAACCTTGGGCTAGATTCTTGATACTTTTTTACAGGGCATTTTTTCCTCACTACTCAAGTATACCTAAGTAGGAAATAAAACTTATTTTAATATTCATCTAAGTGAAATATAAAAAGAAAACCTATAAACCTATTCTTCAAAAAACTATGCTATATTTTAATGCCATCCCAAAATATCTTGAATTATCTATGGCTCATTTCTATACCATTGCCCCCTTTTCTTTAAAGCTGTAGCATATTGAGAATTGAATATGACCTTTCTGAGCCACTCATTTCTGAATTTTTAATTTTAAATAAAAATACTTTTTCAGATTGTTTCAGATTTTTAGAGAGGGTAAAGCAAAATAGAAACATAAAATATGAAACATACGAGTGTATGTATATATGTGTATGCATATATATTGATATATAAAATGAATGCCTTAACAGATAATGTGCATTACAATTGCTGTTTCACACTTTTGTTGGTATTATTTTAATTACACTCTGACAAAAAGTTCAGCATAAAGGAAAATTGGCCAGACACAGTAGTTCACGCATATAACCCCAGGGCTTTGGGAGGCCAAGGCAGGAGAATCGCTTGAGACCAGGGGTTCGAGATCAGTCTGGACAACATAGCAAGACCCATCGCTAGCAAAAATTTAAAAATTAGCCCAGCATAGCAGCATATAGCTGTAGGCCTAGCTACTCAGAAGACCGAGGTGAGAGGATTGCTTCAGCCCAAGAGTATGAGGCTACAGTGATCTGTGATCGTGCCACTGCACTCCAACCTGAGTGATGGAATGAGACCCTGTCTCTAAAAAAAAAAGGAAAGAAAAAGGAAAATTCTTAGAATGTATGCACAACTTAATATCCTTGCTCGTTTGATGTGCATTGATCCATTTTAATAGGTTTTTGAATCTGAAAATTCAAGAAGGTGAAGCTCACAACATTTTTTGCCCTGCATATGATTGCTTCCAACTTGTACCTGTGGATATCATAGAAAGTGTAGTTTCAAAGGAGATGGACAAACGATACCTACAGTTTGATATTAAGGTAAGGTATACTGCCAATTATCTGTCCAATTTCCATAATTTTGATTTTATTAAACCTTTATAACATTATTTTTTCTTTTTGTTTTATTTTTGAAAACAAAATAATGGCTCTTTTGTTAGAAACACTTTATCAGAAAAGTTGCTTAAAGGAATGGTGATAAAGTTTGAAGCTAAAGCATTATTTTGTAATAATAAGAGGAAAGGGGAAAGGCTAAAGTACTGGTAATTTACAAAATTTAAAATAAAACTATTTATCAGAACTTTTTATTAATTTGCCCGTTGCACTTTAATAACTGATTGATCAAGATAATGTTCAAATTAGATTTTACCTACTTTAAGTTTTCCAAAAGACATTATCTTTCATGCTTCTAAATAAAATATTTGGAAATAAAGATTTCCAACTTGGAAGTTTATTATCATTTTTATTCCAAGTAATAGGTTTATATAATGAATTATAATGTTTATTTCATCTTTTTTTGTCTTCATTCTTTTTCAGAAGTTGTAAGTGTAGGCAAGTTACTTTCTTTTGCGTGTGTGATTTAAAAGTTACATTTTAACTGCTTTGTGCAGATTTTACTGAGTCTAATATGTGAACTTTTAAAAGACAAGTCCTCCTTTTTTTTTTTGTTTTTTTTTTTTTTTTTGGAGACGGAGTCTCATTCTGTCTCCCAGGCTGGAGTGCAGTGGTGTGGTCTCAGCTCACTGCAACCTCTGCGTCCAAGGTTCAAGCCTTTCTTGTGCCTCAGCCTTAAGAGTAGCTGGGATTACGGGCGCCCACTACCACTCCCGGCTAATTTTTGTATTTTTAGTAGAGATGGGGTTTCTCCATGTTGGCCAAGCTGTTCTCCAACTCCCAACCTTAGGTGATCCGCCTGCCTCAGCCTCCCAAAGTGCTAGGATTACAGGCGTGAGCCACTGTGCCCAACCCCCCTCTTTAACATAGAAAGTATAATATTGATTATTATGTATTATTTGGGTACCATTTAGAAATTTACTGTTCTAATACAGCTACATGCATGTTTCTACTTAAGAATTATATTCATCAAAAAGTGACACATTGTATGAGAAAACATTTTAAAATTACATATTTTCTGTGCAAACAATTACATTTTTGCTTTATCATCATTTACATGGTTTTTAGATTAAAGAAAACATAAATTTTAAAAATAATTTTGTTACTAAGTTAATTGCCACTTTCCCCTTAATAATTTTTTCAGTACTTTGCAGTACTATTTAAATTTCTTGAGACTGACAACTCCATGCATTTTATTTCACTCTTTTTCTTTCTTTGCTTTATAGTAAATTACCATAGAGGTACACTCTGTATTAGAATTTAGCATTAAAATATTTTCTTTTGTGTTTTGTTATTGCTGTTTAAACAGGCCTTTGTTGAAAATAATCCTGCCATTAAATGGTGTCCTACTCCAGGCTGTGACAGAGCAGTAAGACTAACGAAACAAGGGTCAAATACATCTGGATCTGATACACTCAGCTTCCCATTGCTGAGAGCTCCTGCTGTTGATTGTGGAAAAGGACACCTCTTCTGCTGGTTAGTATAAGACAAGTTGGAATCAGCCTAATCACCTTTCTTTCCAATAGTTATTAAAGACTTTGCACCTTGAGTCAGGCCTTTAAATTGTAGTATACTTGATAGTATTCTTCTTAATTTAAGAAATGTGTAAGAAGTAGTAATAGTTCATATTTGTTGTGTGCTTAGTGTGTGCCAGGCACTACACCAGCTATTTTTTACATATTGAATTCTCCCAACAATGCTGAGTTGAGTTGATGTTATTATGCCCATTTTACAGATAAACAAACTCAGGCACAGAGAAGTTCCCCAGGGGTATACAGCTAGGAATTGGCAGAAATGGGATTAGAACCCAGCTGTTTGATTTAAAGCCCATGTGCCTAAACTATAATACCAAATTGCTGACCATAGATTAGAAAATGTTTAGAGTTTAACGTTTCATTAAAAATATAAGCCTCTAGCAGTGATTCTTCACCAGGAGCTCCCAAAATTACCAAGGTCCCTTTTACAAAATTTTATCTTGGGCCCTAACAAGTAAGATTTTGATTTAGTAGGTTTTTGAGTGGGGCTCTAAAAAAAGAAAATTAAAAATTTCCCAGGAGATGCTAATGAACAGTTCTAGTCAGGAATCAATGACTGCAGGCTCGTTGTTTCTTGTGTTTTGCTTAGTTTCTAGTGCCTGATAGTACTCAATAAGTACAAACTGATGATAAATCAGTATTGGAAAGGATATGTAACTCTGAATACTCTTTTGACTATATATGTGTCAGCCATCAGCACTCTACTTATTCATAGAAGATTCAGTTAACTGTTTTAAGTAAATGATAAAAAAGAAAAAAGCTACAGTATTTATTCTGTTTTTTGCTCATTTCCAGAATTAGCACATATGCATGGATACACTTAGGTGGATATGAAATTTTAGTCTTTACTTTTATGCTTATCAGAAACCAGAAACTAAGTGTATCACTGCTGTATAGTAGGAAGGTATAGTTATGGAACTATCCCTACCCTGGTCTACTTCTTACCTTCGCCATCATCATTAGTTAAAAGTATTTATTGAACTGCAAACCCCTGACTCTAAGTCAAGGTTCAGCAAACTATTGTCTATACTTATTATTAAACATAACATTTTGCTGGAACACAGCCACACCATTTCATGTCACTTTATTTATGTATTGTCTGTGCCTGCTTTTGGGCAATGACAGCAGAATTGAGCAGCTGAGACAGAGACTTCATGGCCCACAAAACTGGAATCCTGGTTGAAAAAGGCTGATTTAGAGGATTAGTTGGAGAAGCTATGAAGAAGGAAAACATAAATTAGGAAAATGTCTAAAAGATAAAAAGATTAGCTTTTGCAGAGATCAGAGAAAAATTAAGTTTTGAAGGGAAAAGAAGAAACTTTGATTGGCATTGTCTTCTTAAGCACTGTGGTTTCTGTGATCTAGCTTTTACCAGTTTTCAGTGTAGTTTAGCTTTTAATTTCTTGAGTTTGTCCCCATTCTCTTTGTATGCTGCAAGTAATAATAAGTTTGGTTTGACTGAAGATAAGAAAGCTAATGGAAAAAACCTACCAATATAGGTCAGACTCTATAAACATAGATGATGCTATAAACTGTAAATTTCTAGAATAACATTTGGAGAAATACATCAGCTTACTTTTTCTCATACCCCAAAATATCAGGCTGGTTATACTCAAGATGCATTGGAGACTATATACCAAGATCACGGGCCCTACTTTGAGTTTTATCCCAGTTCAAGGGATAAACTCACATGTGAGTCCATGTGAATGGCCACATGGACTAAGGTCACACTTGGTAATTATTTACTCTTTCTCCTATTCATTAGGGTAGTAGAGAACCTAACAAAATCATCATTTTTTGGACATAGCACCAGAGAGGAAGAGACTTAAATGAAATAAAAATAAGTTTTAGTGAAGGACAAACTCAGATTTAAGTTCTTCAGCTTAATCTTTTGTCTTTCAGTTTTGGTATTTATTAAGTTATAGGATGGATTTTTTTTGCATTGCCTACTTGATGTCTCTAGGCATTAATTTACAGTTCCTGTTTTTTTGCATTCTTAGCTTTATACCCTTATTCATATAGTATAAAAGCTTTGTCTGTAATTTTAAAATCTAAGTGGAAATTGTCATATGCTTTCTGTTGCTCTTATCTCTTATTTCAATGAGAAGCAAAATCTGTTCACGCAAAAAGACGCTTTACAAGAGAGATCTTCACAAATTAAACGCAAATGATTCTGGTTTTGCTTCTCCTTCTTCAAAATCTCAGAAGTAATTTTCTAAAGATGACTACAAAAACAACAAACGACAATAATAATTTCTTCTTTTCAAGAACTATATATGACAGAAACAGTTGAGCCATACCCAGGAGATATCTGCATAGATATAACTAAATATATTCGTTGTTGGGAGACAAGTAGTATTAATAGGCATTCCCCTTCCCACCACAGGATACCCTTCTCTACCTGTTCACAAAGTTCCATGCCCTTTGTAACTGAAGCTAGCATGGTTTCTCCCCCTAGCCTTTATAATTACAATTTGTGTGATCTGGGAAAAATTATCTCAAGACAATATTCAAAACTTAGATGGGTTCTGACTTAAACCAATGACTTTTCCTCTTTTTTTTTCTTTTTAATTAAGTAAAATATGCTACTGTGTAACTTCTCTGTCTTCTGAACTGACACAAAGTGTCTCTCTTCTCTGAGACAACTCTTCACAGATTTGTTGTCAGAAATACTTCTTGGCCACCAAACTTAAGATGGTATGGTGGCCATTTCTTTCCTCTCTTTTTACTCTGGTCCCTTTTAATCACCAGTGTGAATTGAAAACTGAAAACCTTATTTGGAATTTCTCTTCTAAACACATAGACAGTCAAACATATTTTATTCGCTGAAATTGATTGGCAGGAAATATTCTAAATAATAATATGGTGCCAGGTGTGGTGGCTCACGCCTGTAATCCCAACACTTTGGGAGGCCGAGGCAGGGGGATCATGAGGTCAGGAGATCGAGACCATCCTGGGTAACACAGTGAAACCCTGTCTCTACTAAAAATACAAAAAATTAGCCAGGCGTGGTGGCATGCTCCTGTAGTTCCAGATATTCGGGAGGCTGAGGCAGGAGAATCGCTTGAACCTGGGAGGCAGAAGTTGCAGTGAGCCGAGATCAAGCCACTGCACTCCAGCCCAGGCAACGGAGCGAGACTCCGTCTCATAATAATAATAATAATAATAATAATAATAATAATAATAGTAATAGTAATAATAAGGTAGAGTTTATATTACCTAGCGGTTGAGCATTTATTTACTGAAACTGTGCAAAAAAGTCTTTAAAAGGAACAAATTTTTGAATCATAGTGATGTACAACTTGAGAAACCACAGTATCAGGTTTCTAGTCCACTTAAGTTTCCAGTGGATCAGAGTACAATGTACAGACTTTTCAAGTTTGGAGAAAAGTCTGAAAGTGAGTACTTTTTTCTCCAACATTCACAATAAGGGTTTTGATCAATACCTACTTCTTTATTCAGAGCAGTAGTTGCATGCATCATCTCCCTCTGCACAGACCTCACAGGCCAAGGGACTCTCCTGGAATCCTCTGGACAAAATAGATGAAGCAATCTGTATGTGTAGACCTAATAATTGTGTCTCATCTTTTCTTACAAAACCAGTTTTAAGCCCTTAGATTAACAGCTCTAGTTATGGAAAAATAGATTTTTCTAGATTGGCAGTATCTAGCTATTTAAGTATCAGACTCCTGCCAACTAGCAAAACATTTTCCAGCTCTTCACAGGCCCAGAAATAAAAACATGATACTACTTATTTGGCAGTTCAATCATAAGACCTTATTTAAATATCATGTGTACTCTCTGCAGAGTAGCACATCTGCATAAATAAATGCCACTTGAGGGTTCAATTTATCAAATTTCAACACAGTACAGAGTTATAATAATCTGGGAGATACAGGACCTGCCTGTGAGACAGCTCTGCCACTAACTAGCTCTGTGGCTTGGTGATAAACATCCTCTCCTAAAATAATATGATAAAATAAAGCCTTCCTATCTGATGCAGTCAACATACAGTGCAAGTTCCAGAACCAAAAACTATTTAGCTTCAAATTTTAGCTTATCCACTCTTTACTTGTATGGCCTTTGATAGGTTACTGAACCTCTCTGTGCATGTAAAATGGGGATAAATAGTACCAGTTACAAAGAGATGTTAAGAGAATTAAGTGAGTCAGTACATGTGAAGTATTTAGAACATTGCTTGGTATCCTAAAAAATGTTAGCTAAAGGGGAGAATCATAAAAATGAAGATTTCTACTTAATTCACTCAGAATTGCTTATTAATAAAAAGTTCTAAAATGGCATTGAACTGAAATTGCCAACTTCTGGATATGAATTTCTTCCATCAAGTAATAAATTTTAAAACTTCAGTGGAAGGTTTTTTCCTTTTCCAGAGCCCTTTAGAACCACTGTATAGTCATGCAGCCAGTTGTACATACTGGCACATTTTCAAGAAGAGAGCCATTCCTTGATCACTTGATGTTAGGTTAACCAATCATATTTGAGCTACGTGGAGGAGTTTAGATTAGGCAACTATTTTTTTTTTCTTTATAATCTTTTACCAGGGTACTTTTTTACCTGAATAAACCCACCCTATTGGTGTCTCTGGCTGAGATTCAGTATGCTGTGTCCTGAGATTCCCCTCCCCATACTCTTGTTTTACTGACATTTTGAGATGCAGTTTCAGCAACAGATACCAGGGACTTTAGAATACTTGTCAACAGTCATTGGTTAAAATTTTATTCAGGAATTTAGGCCGGGCTCACTGGCTTACGGGTATAATCCCAGCATTTTGCAGGGCTGAGATGGGCGGATCCCTTGAGCCCAGGAATTCGAAACCAGCCTGGGCAACATGGTGAAACCCTGTCTCTACAAAAAATACAAAAATTAGCTGGGCATGGTGGTGCATACCTATTGTCCTGGCTACTTGGGAGGCTGAGGCAGTAGGATGGCTTGAGCTCAGGAGGTGGAAGCTGCAGTGAGCCAAGATCACGCCACTGCACTCCAGCCTGGGTGCCAGAGCAAGACTCTCTCAAAAAAAAAAAAAAAAAGAAAAAGAAAAAAAAACTTTCTTTAGTAAGTTGGCATTCTAGCATCTTCACTACTTTTCTCAAAATAACCTCTCTTCCCTACGTTGATCATCTAGATTGTCAATTAGTATGTTTAGTGGCATTGTTATTACTATACTTTGGAGAATTCTGAGTTTATTTTTCCAGATGCCGTAGTTTTTAAATATATTTTATAGTATTAAATGGCAACCTCGGCCAGGTGCAGTGGCTCACGCCTGTAATCCCAGCACTTTGGGAGGCCGAGGCGGGCATATCACAAGGTCAGGAGTTCAAGATCAGCCTGGCCAACATGGTGAAACCCCGTCTCTACTAAAAATACAAAAAATTAGCTGGGCATGGTGTTGTGCACCTGTAATCCCATCTACTCGGGAGGCTGAGGCAGGAGAATCACTTGAACCGAGGAGGCGGAGGTTACAGTGAGCAGAGATCGTGCCATTGCACTCCAGCCTGGGCCATAGAGCAAGACTCCGCCTCAAAAAAAAATGTGGCAACCTCAACCTCTTTAATTCACAGTCCATGCTGTTACTTCTTTTTTTATTTATAAGCTGCTGCTTTTTTTTATATCCTTTCTTAGTATTGCATTGGAAACTGTACCAACCAGTTATAACACCCTGAAGTGGTCCTGCTGATTGGGCTCACAACCAAGGAAGCAGCAAGTCTGTGTCCTCCTGTGAGGTTCTGGAAAAGAAAACCTTCTTTTGCTATTTAATACAACACAGTCTTGGAGAGCCAAGCACATTGATAAGCAATTACGGCTTTTGAAGAAGTGGCTTTTTTTTTTTTTCAGACTTTATTTGAAAACACTGGGCTTTGTTCCCCCATGATTCTTTTTTTTTTTCCCAGAACATTTTCAGAAAATGTTCTGACAGCAAAACCAGTATTTACCAGCGTTGATTCTGCCAGGAAATGGATATTGAATATGCTGTTTAATCTCCAGGGGAAAAAAGTCTCCAGGGAAAAAAATCTTCATAGAAATAATTTATTTCATTGATTGCATTTGTTTGTTTTAGTTACTGCAGATATATAAGGGCTTTTTGTACTTCTGGGCTTTTTTTTCTAGCTTTATTGAGATGCAAATGACAAACAAGCTTTTTTAAAAAATGAGTCATGAGAAATGTAGATTCTGCATTCCCACCTGTGTTTGCAGGCACCATATGGAAACACTGTTCCTAGATCTATGGCATATTTCTTACTCTGATGTCTGCTAGCATGTGCGCCAAATTAAAATTAACAGTTATCACAGGTATCCCTTACATTTCTGGAAAGCAGAATTGATGTTAATATGCACTAAAGTGAATCTAACGTATCCAGTTTTTTTTTCGTACTTAAGTTCTGTTGTACATGTGCAGAACATGCAGTTTTGTTACATAGGCATACACATGCCATGGTGGTTTGCTGCACCTATCAACCTGTCACCTACATTAGGTATTTCTTCTAATGCTATCCCTCTCCTAGCCCCCCATCCCCCAACAGGCCCCAGTGTGTGATGTTCCCCACCCTGTGTCCATGTGTTCTCCTTGTTCAACTCCCATTTGTGAGTGAGAACATGCATTGTTTGGTTTTCTGTTCTTGTGATAGTTTGCTGAGAATGATGGTTTCCAGCTTCATCCACATCCCTGCAAAGGCCGTGAACTCATCCTTTTTTATGGCTGCATGGTATTCCATGGTGTATATGTGCCACATTTTCTTAATCCAGTCTATCATTCGTGGACTTTTGGGTTGGTTCCAAGTCTTTGCTATTGTGAATAGTGCTGCAATAAACATATGTGTGTGTGTGTCTTTATAGCAGCATGATTTATAATCCTTTGGGTATATACCCAGTAATGGGATTGCTGGGTCAAATGGTATTTCTAGTTCTAGATCCTTGAGGAATCACCACAGTCTTCCACAATGGTTGAACTAATTTACACTCCCACCAACAGTGTAAAAGCGTTCCTATTTTTCCACATCCTCTCCAGCATCTGTTGTTTCCTGACTTTATATATCCACTTTTTTAAAGAGATTAGGTCATGCTGTGTTGCACAGGCTAGAGTGCCGTGGCTATTCACAGAGTGGTAATAGCACACTATAGCCTCGAACTCCTGGGCTCCATTGATTCTTCTGCCTCAGCCTCCCGAGTAGCCATTGTGCCCAGCTCACTTCCATATTTTAATCAACCCAATATTTTTTGAATGTCTGTTAAGCTACCACTAAGTTGCTAGGAGCTCTGTAAAACCACAATTATGGAAAAGATTTCCCAAGTGCCAGATTAGATGATAAGTCAGGAGTGTAAGGAAAGTAAATTACCCTTTCAAGGCAATTGGTGCATTTTTTTTTACCATGTAACCATTTTTAAGTATGCAATTCAGTGACATTAATTGCATTCACAGTGCAACTATAACATTTCATAACCACTTTTCATTTTCAGAACTTTTTCATTATCCCAAGCAGAAACTATAACCATTAAGCAGTAACTCCCCATCCTCTCCTCCCCCAAGCTGGTAACAACCACTCTACTTTCTTTCTCTATGAATTTGCCTATTCTAAATATTTAATGTAAGTGGAATTCTAGAATATTTGTACTTTTGTGTCTGGCTTATTTCACTTAACAAAATGTTTTTAAGGCTCATTCATAGTGTAGCATGTATCCAAATATTATTCCTTCTTATGGCTGAATATTCAATTGTGTGAACGTGTGTGTGTGTTTGTGTGTGTGTATACTGCACAATTTGTTTATCCATTCATCTGTTGATAGACACTTGGGTTGTTTCCCCCTTTTAGCTGTTGTGAATAATACTGTGAATGTTGGTGTACAAGTTTGAATCCTTGCTTTCAGTTCTCTCATACCTTAGAATGAAATTGCTGAATCATATGGTAATTCTAAGTTTAACTTTATGAGGAGTCACCAAACTATTTTTCACAGCAACTGCATCAGCATTTACATTTCTATCAGCAGTGCACAAGGGTTCCCATCTTTGCACATCCACACCAACAATTTATGTTTTTTAATAATCACCATTTTAACAAATATGAAGTATAATCGATGCATTCTTAATTTCCTCTTAGTTTTTAAGACTAAATGAGTCAGTTGGTGTGTCTTCTTAACACACATAACTTTTTTTTATTTTTTTTCCTCGAAATGGGGTCTTGCTCTGTTGCCTAGGCTGGACTGCAGTGGCATGATGTCAGCTCACTGCAGCCTCCACCTCCCAGACTCAAGTGATCCTCCTACCTCAGCCTCCCAAGTAGCTGGGACTACAGGCACGAGCCACCACTCCCTGCCCAAGCCTAACCTTTGTAAATAAAATCTTTTAAAATAGCACTGATGGTGATGATATCACTTCCAGATTGGGTTGTTCCCTCCTCCGAATAATATTTTTTTATTTACTGGAATAATTACCTTTGTCCTATACAATATAGCATCATCTTGAATTAAAATGGCAGTTCATCAAGGCTTTAGGCTCGTTTTAGTGTTTGACTTCTTAAATAGCTATGGAAAGAATATAAAATAGAGTTACAAATGGTAAATTGATGTTTTTAATTATTTAAATCAAAATTTCCCAAATTCCAATAAAAGTAAATTGAGTTACCCTAGCTGTTACCTGGAGATGCAGAGGTAAAAGTAACTACAGTAATTCAACTTAAAACAGTGTTTTTCAAACTTTAAAATGAAGAAGGTTCATTTGGTAATTTTGATAAAATATAGATTCTAATCTGTAAATCACATGGGGCCTGTTCTTCTGCATGTCTAAAAAGCTGCTCAGTAATGGCCAGGAATACACCTTTGAATAACAAGAATTTAAAATATTAATGAGGATAAAACGTAATTGATTCAAATGTTTTAAAGCTCTGAAGGCTTGCAAATCTAAGTTATAAATATTAATCTATTTAGAACTTTTCAAGTATGTAAATGAATGTACTGATTTTTTTTTTAATAAAACTGGTCTAATGGTATCAAGCTTTGGAATCTCATTTTTAGTGCCTCCATTGAAATGCTCCATCTCTCATTAGTCACCGTGCCTTACTTTTTTCAACTTTAAAATTGGAAGAATACTTTCTACTTTTTTTGTTTTTTTTTTTTAAATGGAGTTTCACTCTTGTTCCCCAGGCTGGAGTGCAATGGTGCAATCTCGGCTCACTGCAACCTCCACCTCCCAGGTTCAAGCGTTTCTCCTGCGTCAGCCTCCTGAGTAGCTGGGATTATAGGCATGTGCCACCACGCCCGACTAATTTTTTGTATTTTTAGTAGAGACGGGGTTTCACCATATTGGCCAGGCTGGTCTCGAACTCCTGACCTCAGGTGATCCACCCGCCTTGGCCTCCCAAAGTGCTGGGATTACAGGCATGAGCCACCACGCCCGGCCTCTACACACTTTTTTTACCTTGATGTTGATGAAGAATATTTTAAAATTGTCTTTTCTGTGTTTATTTTCTTTAGGGAGTGCCTTGGTGAAGCACATGAGCCTTGTGACTGCCAAACATGGAAGAATTGGCTGCAAAAAATAACCGAAATGAAACCAGAAGAACGTAAGAGGAATTTTAGATAGCTTTGCTGCATATTTCCTGATAGCATTCAAAAGATAATGTGGTCATATCTTTTTTAGTCTTTATTTAAGAGGTTTTCAGATTTGTTAATGCAAGTGCTCTCCTGTTTAACATCACAATCCCTTTGACTAACTTCCTTTTGGAGATAATAGAGTTTTGGCAAGGAGGAATCATGGACAAGTTCCATGTTTCTAACAGACTTACTTTCCAGCTGAAGTTAAACAGGGTAAATGGGGGTCCCATTTAATCCTCCTCCTATAGCCCTTTTCTTTTATCCTAGGGTGAGCCAACCAATTGTTCTGTACTTTGTGGAAGTAGTATATGATCTGTAATGAGAGTGAGCTTCTCATATCCCTGAAAGCTTCCAATGAAGGATGCAGCAAGTTAATTTCTTGCTGTTATGTGGTTCTATAGATTTACTGATGTTAAATACCATATAGACAAGTATTGTCACTGAGACTTCTGTAAATACATTATCTCTGTTAATCATCACAGAAATGATATGAGGTTGATGTTAGTAATCCTGTTTTACAGAGGAAAACTAATGCTTAGATTGGGTTGAATGACACAGGGCATGTGCCTTGTGAACAGAATGGGTTTGAATCTCTGAGGGGACTCCTTTTTAAAGCCTTCCTAATAGCAGTTCCCACATTTAACAGAGAAATCTATCTGCTTTGCAATAATTTCCCATCTTCTAAAGTGTTTTATGACAACTGTTTTCTCTCAAAAAATATAAGTGAAAATTAATTAGTTCTGGTCTTTAAAAAAAAAAAAAGACTTAGATAATGGTGTTAGCTTGAGATGTCACAAGTCACCCAATAAATCTACACTTATAGGGGCCGGGCGCAGGGGCTCACACCTGTAATCCCAGCACTTTGGGAGGCTGAGAGGCAGGCGGATCATGAGGTCAAGAGATGGAGACCATCCTGGCCAACATGGTGAAACCCCATCTCTACTAAAAATAAAAAAATTAGCTGGGCGTGGTGGCACGTGCCTGTAGTCCCAGCTACTTGGGAGGCTGAGGCAGGAGAATTGCTTGAACCCAGGAGGTGGAGATTGCAGTGAGGCAAGATTGCGCCACTGCACTCCAGCCTTGTGACAGAGCGAGACTCCGTCTCAAAAAAAGAAAAAAAAAATCCACACTTACATGAGCAAAGCACATAATAAAGATGATGCCAGACTTCAGGGCATGCAGAGGCTAGAGGGAAGCAGTCGGACATTGCGGTATCATATGATAACTGATATAGTTGAGTAAAGATGAGAGTACAGAAACAATGACAAACTCAGGTTGGGGGAAGAAAGGGTGTCAAAGAATCTTCTTGAAGGCAGTGAGCTATGAACTGGAGTTTAGCATCTCTGCCTCGTAGTAGGTAATTACTGTCAGCAACTGAAGTGGCATTGAGAGAGATGGCCTGGCGGCCATGATACTTTACAGGCTTGTATTATATCAGGGGATTTACCACTGCCTGAGGGCTGGTCCTCAGCATTTTAGATCTACGAGGGTCATTTTGTCCACTGACTCAGGGTTATTCTGACCCACGGAGAAGAGACTACCATATAAACCAAAATGCCACTTATTAGTTGATAATGAAAGAGATTCCTTTCACTTGTTGCGAAGGCTTCATGTCCATTATCAGGAGCAAAGAGAAGTGGATAATCTTTGGATATTTTATAGTGAAGCCTGATTAAACATTCTTGTCCTGTTCATGCACCGTTTAGTCAACAGATTTTTTAAGCCAGGCACAATGGCTCACATCTGTAATCCTAGCACTTTGGGAGGCCGAGGCAGGTGGATCACTTGAGGTCTGGAGTTCAAGACCATCTTGGCCAACATGGTGAAACCCAATCTCTACTAAAAATACAAAAATTAAATTAGTCCGGCATGGTGGTGTGCGCCTGTAATCCCAGCTACTCAGGAGGCTAAGGCAGGAGAATCGCTTGAACCCAGGAGGTGGAGGTTGCATTGAGCTGAATTGCCCCACTGCACTCTAGCCTGGATGCCAGAGCAAGACTCCATCTAAAAAAAAAAAAAAAAAAAAAAAAAAAAAGCCTTTATAGATTGTGTTTGTTCCCCAGATTCATTGTACTAGCCATTGCTCTTCATACCCACCCATTTCCCCTATTCTGATATGTATGGGTGTGTATATGTGTTTGTCTTCCATAAATAGATTCATACCATTACCCTGCAGCACCTTTAGATGTGACAAAACAATTGGAATTTGCTTTATTTTCTTGCTTCTGGCAGCTAGAAATATTTATATTTCTGTTATGAATGGCTTGCTATTGGCCACCTACCTGCATTTCTTTATATATTTCTTTAGAACTTAAGGTTAAGGTCCATGGGAGAAACTTGCTAGAGATGAGGCTAGAAAGGTAGGTGTTGCCAGATTGTGAGTGTTATTGCCAAATTGTTTGAATTTATCCTCCTAATAGAATAAGCCATAAAGTGTGTTATTTTAGTAGAGAAGTTGCAGTATCAGAAAAGTTATTTTTATCAAGATAACTGATGAGTATGAAGGGTGAATTGAAGAAAAGATAGACTAAAGGTAGGACGGTGAATTTTTAGTTTGGGTCGGAGGGTAAATTATGCCATTAGTGAAACAGGAAACTCAGATAAGCAAGTGACTTTCCGGGGAAAATAATGAGTTTTGGTGGTAGACATTCTGAACTTGAAGTACTTACAGAACATATGTGTGGAGATGTCCAGTGGAATTTTATAAGTGTTCATCTGAAACTCAGAAAAGATGCTAAGAAACTTAGGAATAAATTGTTAATTTTAAATGTTATCTTCATTATTTAATTAACGTTTATTGAGTGCTGTTTTATGTTAGAATACAGAAGTAAATGCCCTCTATGCTCTTGAAGTTTATATTTTAGAGAGGCAACTGTATACAAAACTAAGGAAAAATGTGTTATGAATGTGAGAGAACATTGTTCATGTATGTGATAACTTTTAGGGGAGGGGAAGGACAAAGAAAGAGGAGGCCAATTATCTATGGGAGAGGGTTAGGAAACACTTTATAAAAGAATTGATGCTCAAGCTGCATGTTGAAAGCTGATAGATGTCCTTCACATGAACCAGAATAGGAAAGACATTCCAGGCATAGAGTGAAGTGGCAATATGAAGTAGCGTGGCATATTCAAAGACTGCAAATAATTCATACAATCACTTTAGTGATGCATTGAGAGATGAGACTGTGCAGACAGGAGTCCAAATCAAGCATTGGGCACAAAGAGGTGGTTATGCACAATGCTAGGAAATCCTAGACACTGAAAAGGGGTTTTAAGTAGGAGAGTGATGAATGAAGATGCTTACTTACAAAGATCACTCAGGCAGAAGTATGGATGATAAAATGGAGATTATTGAGAAACTAGGTAAGAATGTTAGTTCTGAGACAACTTCAGAATGACCAGGTGAGAGGATATGAAGGCTTAAGATGGGTAATTCAGGTGGGAGGGGGCATATACAGGAGAGTTATAAGATATATTAAATAATCTTTTTTTTTTTTTTTTTTTTTTTTTTTTGAGACAGTCTCGCTCTGTCGCCCGGGCTGGAGTGCAGTGGTGCGATCTCGGCTCACTGCAAGCTCCGCCTCCCGGGTTCACTCTGTTCTCCTGCCCCAGCCTCCCGAGTAGCTGGGCTACAGGCACCTGCCACCATGCCCGGCTAATTTTTTGTATTTTTAGTAGAGACGGGGTTTCACCATGTTAGCCAGGATGGTCTTGATCTGACCTCGTGATCCGCCTGCCTCAGCCTCCCAAAGTGCTGGGATTACAGATTAAATAATCTTAAGTAGTAAATCTTGTGTGCCTGCTAGTTGCCTAAAAGATTTAATACACCATAAGAAGTAATTAGTCTAGCATATTATTCAATTCTTGAGTTGAAAATGCCCAGCAATATTTGAAATATAAAGCAAGTATTTTTCTTTTATTTTCCCCCAAACCCCCACCCCAGCCTCTGAGGCAAGTTAGCATCTCCACAGCTGTCTAGATCCTGGGTCCTGGGAGCTCGAGGTGAATACTCATCTCCTTGTGTGCACTAAGTGATACACTGGCCCTCTCAAAGTGCTACTATCCTGTGGCATCAAATGGCTTTGTATATCACTTTCCCAGTCTTTTATCCCCAAATTTGATCTATTACCCTGAAAGAACTGTTCATCTTTAAAGGTTCCAACTGTAAGAACAGATCACTTACTAGGTGACTGCTGATCATTCACTCAAGCAGTCTTAAACTATGGGTATGATCTTTTAGGTTTATATAGTCCTTCTCTGGTAGAACAAATCTCAGGTGTCTTCAGTCTTTTGTCTCCTATCATGTTTTCAAACATTCTTCCATCTTTCCAAATCAAAACCCCCTTTGGGGTTTCTTCCCACAATTCTTCAAGTTCATTATAATCTTCTGTTTTGCCTGTGGTCTAATTAGAGTAATACATCTCCCTACTTGCCCTTAATTCACAAATTACCCCGATTTTACAGAGGGAGATACCAAGGCCAAGAGAAACAAAAATGTCCTGCCACACAGCATATCCATCTCACATCTGGTATCAGAATGCAGAAAAACTCTTTAAAGCAAGTATTTTTAAATAGATGGCTATTTTTAGTTATCCCTTACCATATTAAAATTGGATGAATCATTCCATACCCACAGATAAGATTTTGCTAGGGAAGGGGAAGAAGAATGGCCTGGCTAGTGAGAACAGATTATGGGCGGGACTGTGAAAAAATGTCCTTCCTCATGATAATGATCCTGATACTAAGAGGAGGAAAGAAATAGAAAAGCTAGAAAATGGTATAGATGGTATATACATGGTTACTTCTAGGGAGATCCCAAAGGGGGTTTTGATTTGGAAAGATGGAAGAATGTTTGAAAACATGATAGGAGACAAAAGGCTGAAGACACCTGAGATTTGTTCTACCAGAGAAGGAACCAAGCCAAGGCTGCAGAGAAAGTCCCAGTTATTGTTAAGAAAAGCCTAGGAGTTTTCTCACTCTACTGATTTGTGTCCTCCACACTGAAAGATAGTGACCAGTAATGGCCACTTATGTTTATGAAATTTAGGGCGAGGATTAAAGTGAACAATAATTGGCCAACTATAATACTAAAGTAGAACCCCATCATTAAATATACAAAAATGATATTTCAAAAAGGAAAAGTGTGATTAGGTACTATTTTAGCTTCATGTATTTGGATCATAGCATTTTTACTTTGCATTTTATGCAAAAAAAAATGGCATAAGCATGTTTAACCAAATTTGTGTTTTCATGAAATAATTTTCTTCTTTATGCCCAGTTTTCCGAAGTCTTTGAATTATGAGACTCAGGATGAGAAAATCTAATTAATGAGAAAAAAGTATTAGAAAATATGCTGAAATCAATTCAAGGAATTAATTTCATATAAAGATTTAAATAGTGTTCGTTAAGCACTGAAATAGCCTCTGTTGTGTCTAATTAGAGCAAGAAGCAGGAATGGTTATATTTTTTATGAAATGATGGTTAATTTATAAATTTTTCAGACCAGTATTTTTCATGGGACATACTCAATAAACTGAGTTCAAATTGTATTATTTAAAAATTCAGTCTTTGACTAGGTGCAGTGGTTTACGCCTGTAATCCCAGCACTTTGGGAGGCCAAGGCAAGAGGATCACTTGACGCTCAGAGTTCAAGACAAGCCTGGGCAACACAGTGAGATCCCACCTCTCCAAAAAATAAAAAACTTAGCTAGGCATTGTGGCACATGCCTGTAGTCCTAGCTACTTGGGAAGCTGAGGTAGGAGGATCTCTTGAGCCCAGAAGTTGAAGGCTACAGTGAGCTATGATTGCACCACTGCATTCCAGTCTGGATAATAGAGTGAATCTCTATTTCTAAAAAAAATTAAAAATAAAAATTCAGTTTTTAAAAGCAACTGTTCACATGCATACATGTTGATTCTGTTAATAGATCTTGGATTTTCTGATACTCTAATACTTTATTATGAAGTTAATACGTTTTAGAAAGAGACCTAAGCACACTAGATTATTAAGAAAGAATAAGAGCTGTAACTGAAGTGAAGAGAAGAGTTTGAAAGTCAGTAGAGGTGAAAAAATCTCACCAGATAGATTGAAGGGAGATACGGTGTTGTTGGTGTTAAGAACAGTATGTATAAGCTGGATGCAGTGACTCATGCCTGTAATCCCAGTACTTGGAGAGGCCAACGCAGGCAGATCACTTCAGGTCAGGAGTTTGAGACCAGCCAAGTCAACATGGTGAAACCCCGTCTCTACTAAAAATACAAAAAAAAATTAGCCAGGTGTGGTGGCGGGCACCTGTAGTCCCAACTACTTGGGAGGTTGAGGCATGAGAATCACTTGAACCCAGGAGGCAGAGTTTGCAGTGAGCTGAGATCATGCCATTGCACTCCAGCCTGGGCGACAGTGCGAGACTCCGTCTCAAAAAAAAAAAAAATGTATGTATAAGGGACAGACGTATAGAATAAGCATGTTCAGAGAATAGGAAATAAAGGTATTTTTTCAAGCATGAGTTTTTATCATAGTAATAGTTGGTTATTCCCTGAACATGATTTACTTCATGCAGTTCACTAAAATGCAGTTAGGAGATCACATTCTCTCCAAGGGTGGAAGAAAAAACTGTTATGTTGCAGGCCACACTGCTGCTTTGTTTTAATGGCTTTGTGCTTTATTTATTATAACAATGGACAATAAGAGTCATAAGAATATGTTAGTGCCTCTGAGCTAACAATAATGTTGATGCTGAAAGAAGAAGAAAGGCCACTACTTTTAATAAAAATTAAATGTTTAAATGTGAAGTGTACTTAAATGATTAGGTATTATAGCAATACCCTTTGTAAGTGGAATTGCCTCCACAGCTTGGCCTTATTAGCCCTAAGTATACTAAGTTCCTTCTGAAACTCCTGTCACCCACCAAATTATCTGAGAATTCTTTCCACCAACACCTTAATCAAACCATCTTCTACCAAGTGTGTTCAGAACTGGAGTAAAGTCTGATCAGTTCATTACCGCTGTTTCTCTTTGCTGTGTGGAATTAAAAACCAATGCTTTTACAGTCCAACAGTAGCTGCTGTTCTGTTGTTAATATAAACTTAAGTAGGCAAGCACTTGGGGTTCCTTGCAGCAAGACAGCTCTACTTCTGTGCTGCTAGGCTCCAACAGAGGACTGCTTCTCTGCTTCTGGTGCTCAGCCCTTCCAATCCATACACAGAGCCACTTCCCAGGGGTCAGTGAGCCCAAACCTTTGTCCCCCTTACTTCCCCAGGGGCTTATATCTAGGGGTTGGGTAACTTTTCTTTTTGAATTTCAAACTGCAAGGGGTCTGATTTCTCTCCTGCTTTGACAGTAGAGCCAACCATTTACCCCACCACCCTTCTGAAAGTGACTGCATGTAAACAAAGCTTTGATTAGATGGGCCACTTTCAGTGATTCTAAAATGATTTTCTGGCATCTCTTTGAGTAAAGAAAATGTAGGCCTTCTCAGTGCACTTAGAGTTAAAAAAGAAAATAAAACAAAACCAACTTGATTGCTGACATTCTTGCAGGAAAAAAATTTTTAATCATGCATCTGGAACTCTCTAGCCCCTAACTCTGTCCATGGAAGGGAGAGGGAAGTTTATAAAATGTAAAATTTAGAATCTTTAAAAACCATGGCATTCCTTAAGATTGCAGATCTCAAATTATAGTAAAATAAGTTGAGTTTAAGAAAATGAAGAGTATAAGTTTGATTAGGGATGGAGGGTGAGAGGAGCTTGCCAGATGGGCCATATCATAATAGGCTTTATATTCTTTGCAAAAGCAATTGGATTTTATCTTGTAGTCAATGGGGAGCAAATTAAAAGATTTTAAGTGGTGTGTATTCTAAAAAGATCACTGTGGGATGGGTGGCTGGCAGGGGATGGGAGGATGAAGAAAAGTTGGGTAATGGGGGCCGGGCACGGTGGCTCACTCCTGTAATCCCAGCACTTTGGGAGGCCGAGGCGGGCGGATCACGAGGTCAGGAGATCGAGACCATCCTGGCTAACATGGTGAAACCCCATGTCTACTAAAAATACAAAAAATTAGCCAGGCGTGGTGGCAGGCGCCTATAGTCCCAGCTACTCGGGAGGCTGAGGCAGGAGAATGGCATGAACCCGGGAGGTGGAGCTTGCAGTGAGCCGAGATCGAGCCACTGCACTCCAGCCTGGGTGACAGAGCAAGACTCTTGTCTCAAAAAAAAAAAAAAAAAAAAAAAAAAAAAAAAGTTGGTTAATGGGGACAAACATAGAGTTAGATAGAGGACAATATTTCTTATATTTCAAAACAACTAGAAGGGAGGACTTGAAATGATACCAACACATAGAAATGATAATTACTCAAGGTGGTGGGTACTTCAGATGTCCTGACTTATTACACATTCTATGCACATTACAGTCACATCTACCCATAAATATGTAAAATATTTTGTGTCAATAAAAGAAAAACATGGAGAGATTTTTAAAAAATCACTGTGCCAGCAGTGTAGTTGGAGGTGGGCCCTTGAAGGAACTGGGGAGATAAGTTGGTTTTCTATGCTTTAATTGTCTAGGCAAGAGGTATGAAGGACCCTAGCTTAAAGCAATAAGAACTGGGAATGGAGAGGAACCAGATATGATAGAGAAAGAGGGTGTAATAAATGAGATGCTTAGTTTTAGATATGTCACATTGAATTAATTTTAAGCTTATCCAGAATAATCATGGATAAAAAAGATGTTGATATTTTTTGCTTTTTACTATGGTAAAGAGTTTCTGATCATTATATTTGCATCTGGCCTGTTAAGTAAATTATTTTCTAAAGTAATTGTTCTTTCTGTAATTTTCTGTGATACAATAGTTATTTTAAATGGAGTAATATGTTGCTTTTTTTTTTTTAAATTTTTTTGTGTATATTGTTTTTGATCCCAGTTTATTTGGGCACAAGTTTATGGAGAAATCGCCCTTAAACCAGGTTTCACGAATAGGTCTTTTGGAATAGAGTTCCTTATCTTAGGCTATTCAAAATGAAGCAGTTTAAAAGTGTTGCCACAGACCCTGATCAGAAAATAAATATTTTATTAAAATTGAGAGACAGCCTGCAAAGAAAAGTGTGGAGGGTTTTTTTTTCCCCCAGAAGTTGTACACTAAATCATTTATTTTTGTGATTGTGTTTAATATCCCAAAGTTGTGGGAGTTAGTGAAGCCTACGAGGATGCCGCCAATTGTCTCTGGTTATTAACTAACTCCAAGCCTTGTGCCAACTGTAAGTCTCCAATACAGAAGAATGAAGGCTGCAATCACATGCAGTGTGCTAAGGTAAGAAGTTAAAGAGGATTTTGCATGCTTTGCATTTGGAATCTTAATTTAGTTTGATTGTCAATCCAAAGGATAAATTATTTGAGGGGGCCTGGTGCAGTGGCTCTTGCCTATAATCCCAGCACTTCAGGAGGTTGAGGCAGGAGGATCACTTGAGGCCAGGGGTTCAAGACCAGCCTGGGCAAAACACCAAAACCCCATCTCTACAGAAATAAAAACAAAAACAAAAAGGTAAGTGTAAGAACCTATGGTATTCAACCAGAAGATCAGAAATTCATGAATCCTTCCTTGCTAGTCACCTTCCCCGCTAGTCACCTTCCCCAGTGAGAGTCTTGAGAGAGGGGTGTGTGTGTGTGTGTGTGTGTGTGTGTGTGTGTGTGTGTGTGTGTGTGTGTGTGTGTGTGTATCAAATGATTAACAAAGTGCTGCCTTATATAGATCTTTTGCAAAGCTGGTTTTGGAGCGTACGGCTTAGACTCAAGGCCCAAACTAGGCCCAAATCCAGTCCATATACTGTCTCCATACAATTGGCTCTCTGTATCCATGGGTTTCATAGTGTTGGGTTCTGCATTCATGGATTCAGCCAACCACAGATCAAAAATACTTAGGGAAAAAAATTGCATCTGTATCGAACATGTACAGATTTTTTTTTGTAATTATTCCCTAAACAATGCAGTATAACAACTATTTACATAGCATGTACATTGTAAGATACTATAAGTAATCTAGAGATTATGTAAAGTATACTAGAGGATGTGCATAGGTTAGTATGCAAATAATACACCATTTTTTGTCGGGGACTTGATTATTCTCAGATTTTGGTGTTTGCAGGAGGTCTTGGAACCAATCCTCCATGGATACCAGGGAACACCTATATATAGATGTCTGTATAATACAAGAACCCAAAGCAGTGGCCAGACTTTAGGTCTGCTAATAAAACCTTCAATTAAATAAGTAACTGTTTATTATATTGAAAATGAAAATGCCAACCAAGATTCACTTGGCTGAAAAATACTTAATATAAATGATTAATGTTAGAGGTCAAAAAGGCTAGATAGAATAAATACCCTCTTTACTTACTTGTACAGGAAGAAACAGCAGTGTGTTTAAAACAAATATGCTGGTATGTTATTAATAACATTTTATTAATCCCTACCTACCTACATTTATGAACCTTTTTTGGTTTAAAATTATAATGATATTCTGATTTTTTTTGCTTTATCATTAGAAATGTCATCTATGTATAAAATGATTATTTAAAGTTATTGAGAGGAAAGTGTATTTTTTTTTCTAGTTTAGGACATGAAGGAAATTTAAATGGTTAAGATTCCAGTAAAATATAATAATATCTTCTAGGTATTACTTGATTTTTAACTTTGAGGCTTAATGATTATTACTATACTTGCAAAAGAATGGCAGTTACAAAATAATTTTTATAAGTCTGTATTACTGTAAAATTAATATAAATGAATTGGCTTAGTGAGGCAGTAATAATGATTCTCTAAGAGGCAGAAAGAAAAACCTAGGGCAGTGTTGTGAGCAAAATATTCAAAAGTGTTATTTATTGTTCAGCTAAGGATCCAGCCAAAATTATTTCATCTATTTGTGATCTTATCTCCAATGTCCATATCTTTTTTATTCCTCTTGGAAAATCTGATATAGACTACATAGATGTATAAAGAACTATCAAATGACAATAAAAATTTATAGTTGGCTGCTGAGACAGACTCCAATATTATCTTTATTTCCTGCATAACACCTACTGGTAGTAAATACTTGATAAATATGTATTGCATTCATGAATGTTTTCATGAATTAATCTGGCTGCTAATATAAGGTAATCCAACTTAAACAGACTTTGCTTAAGCTTCTGTTGCATTGAAAAGAAACATTTACTTATAAGCTATGTAAATGTAGTAGTTGTATTTATTATACCATCTGAAGTGTTTGCATTGAACAATAAAAGCTGACAAGTAGCATTCTTACTGTGACACAGAAGACTTATGTAAAAGTATCACATTACTGCAGCAAAATCATATATACTATATTTTAAATGTGTAGGTGTAACAACATGGTCATGTGTAATTGAATCCATGCACTGACATAATTGGTAAATCGTAACATACCTTTACTAATGCCTCAGCATTGATTATGTATGATTCAGTAGGCAGTTTTTACTTTTGAACTCAAATGTGTTTTTAAAGAATGAGAAATTTCTTCCCCTAAAAATAAGCTTGTTTATTTTAAAAACACTTTTTAAAATTTCCCTTTAGATAATTTAAATTGTGCATTCTTAAATATTTTAAATCATGTATAGTATCTGATTCTGTATAACTGTATGCTATAACGTTTTTTCCATTATAAAATGTAGAAGATTTAAATGCCATAATTACTAAGGTATATCTGTTCATTATATATTCAAACTGCATACTGAAACTGTGGACTGTGCCATCTTTTTAAGTACTCATGGAGCACTCACAAAAAAATTAACCATTGATTATAAAAGAAAAACCCCAATAACATTCCAAAAAATAGAAAATAGTACAAATAATATTCTCCGATCATAAGGGAGTAAAATAGAGATTAAGGCCAGGCATGGTGGCTCACGCCTGTAATCCCAGCACTTTGGGAGGCTGAGGCAGGCAGATCACCTGAGGACAGGAGTTTGAGACCATCCTGGCCAACATAGTGAAGCCTCATCTCTACTAAAAATACAAAAAATTGTCTGGGTATGGTGACGGGCACCTGTAATCCCAGCTACTAGGGAGGCTAAGGTAGGAGTGTCACTTGAACCTGGGAGGCGGAGGTTGCAGTGAGCTGAGATTGTGCCATTGCACTCCAGCGTGGGCAACAAGAGCAAAACTCCATATCAAAAAAAGAAAGAAAGAAATTAATAGTAAAGTTACAAGATGTCTTTTAGAAATTTTAAATAGCAACTCTTGAGTAAAAAAGGAAATAAAAATGGACTTTCAAGAATTTTAAAACAAGGGTAATGAAAATACTACTTAACAGAACTTGAGGGCCATAGCTAAAGCAATGCTGAGAAATGTGCATCACCTTATTTAAACTAATACAGAATAAGGAATTAATTAAGGATATGACTCAAAAATTTAGAAAAAAAATAAACTTGAAGAAAACCAGGAGAAAGGTTCTGGTTTTTTTAATGCAGAAATCAGTGACTTTAAAACTGAAAACGCGACTAATAAATAAATCCAAAAAGTGATTTTAACAAAAAATAAGATAGATAAACCACTAAGCTAACATAATCAAGAAAAAAAAAATGAAGGTGAGGGAGTTCAAAGACACAATATGAAGAATAAGGGAGATACAGCCATATCTCAGAGATGCTGTGGTCCAGTTCCAGACCACTGCAGTGAAGCAGATATCACAGTCAAGTAAATCACAATTTTTTTGTTTTCCACTGCATATAAAAGTTTAACTGTAAATTCACACTGTCTGTTAAGTGTAATAGCATAATGCATTTTTTAAAGTACATACCTTAATTTAAAAATACTTTGTTACTAAAAAATGCTAACTATTATCTGAACCTTCAGTGAGTCATAGTCTATTTGCTGATGGAGAGCCTTGCCTCAGTGTTGATGCTGCTAACTGAACAGGGTGGTGGTTGCTGAAGGTTGAGTTGGCTGTGGCAGTTTCTTAAAATAAGACAACAATGAAATTTGCTGCTTCTGTTGACTGCCTTTCACAATATAATACTGTATTATAGAATTTGACCTCTGATAGAACTTTTAAAGTTAAAGTCAGTTCTCTCAAATCCTGTCACTGCTTTGTCAGCTGTTTATGTAATATTCTAGTCTTTGTTGTCATTTCAACAATGTTTACAGAGTCTTTACCAGGAGCCTATTCTGTCTCAAGAAACCAGTTTCTTTGCTTATCCGTAAGAAACAACTTCTCCCCAATTCAAGTTTTATCATGAGATTATAGCAATTCAGTCACATCTTCAGGCTGCACTTCCAGTTCTTTTGCTATTTCTACCACATCTGAGGTTATTTTTTCTACTGAAGTTTTGAACTCTTCAAAGTCATCCATGAGGATAGGAATCAACTTTTTCCAAACTCCTGTTCATGTTGATATTTTTACTTCCTCCCATGAATCACAAATGTTCTTAATTGCATCTAGAATGGTGAATCCTTTCCAGAAGATTTTCCATTTACTCTGCCTAGATCTGTCAGAGGAATCACTATCTGTGGCAGCTTTAGCCTTACAAAATACATTTCTTAAATAATAAGACTTGAAAGTCAAAATGACCGCTTAATCCATAGGCTGCAGAACGGATGTTGTGTTAGCAGACATTAAAACAACATTCATTTCCTTGTACATCTCCATCAGAGCTCTTGGATGACCATGTGCATTGCCAATGAGCAGTAATATTTTAAAAGGAATCTTTTTTTCTGAGTAATAGCTCTCAACAGTGGGCTTATAATATTCAGTAAACCATGCCATAAACAGATGGGCTGCCATCCAGGCTTCATTGATCCATGTATAGAGCACAGGCAGAGTAGATTTAGCATAGTTCTTAAACACCCTATGATTTTCAGAATGGTAAATGAGCATTGGCTTCAACTTAAAGTAACTGGCTGCATTATCCCGTAACAAGAGTCAGCCCATTCTTCGAAGCTTTGGAGCCAGACATTGACTTTTCTGTAGCTATGAAAATCCTAGATGGCACTGTCTCCTACTAGAAAGCAGTTTCATCTACATTGGAAATCTGTTGTTTAATGTAGCCACTTTCATCAATGATCTTAGCTAGATCTTCTGGATAATTTGCCACAGCTTCTACATCAGCACTTTCTGCTTTACCTTGCACTTTTTTTTTATTTTTTATTTTTTTTTTTTTTGAGACAAAGTCTCGCTCTTGTCCCCCAGGCTGGTGTGCAATGGTGGATCTCAGCTCACTGCAACCTCCGCCTCCCAGGTTCAAGCGATTCTCCTGTCTTGGTCCCCCGAGTAGCTAGGATTACAGGCGCCTGCTACCACACGTGGCTAATTTTTGTATTTTTAGTAGAGAAGGGGTTTCACCATGTTTGCTAGGCTGGTCTAGAATTCCTGACCTCAGGTAATCCACCCTCCTAGGCCTTCCAGAGTGCTAGGATTACAGGCGTGAGCCACCGTGCCCGGCCTACCTTGCACTTTTATATTATGAAGATGGCATCTTTCCTTAAACCTCATGAACCAATGTTGGCTAACTTTAAATTTTTCTTCTGCAGCTTCCTTACCTGTCTCTGTCTTCATAGAACTGAAAAGAGCTAGGGCCTTGCTCTGGATTAGGATTTGGCTTAAGGGAATTTCATGGCTCATTTGATCCTCCATCCAGACCACTCAAATTTTCAACATATCAACAATAAGCATGTTTCATTTTCTTATCATTCATGTGTTCACTGAAATAGCACTTTTACTTTCCTTCAAGAACTTTTCCTTTGCATTCCCAATTTGGCTAACTGACACAAGAAGCCTAGCTTTCAGCTTATCTTGGCTTTTCAACATGCCTTCCTTACTAAGCTTAATCATCTAGCATTTGATTTAAAGGGAGAGATGTAAGGCTCTTCCTTTCACTTGAACACTTAGAGGTCCTTATAGGGTTCTTAATTGAACTACTTTTAATATTGTTGTGTCTTAGGAAATAGGGAAGCCCAAGGAGAGGGAGACAGACAGAGACAGGAGAATGACTAGTTAGTGAGGTGGTCAGAACACATACAACATATATATATTAAGTTTGCCATCTTATATGGGCATGGTTCATGGTGTCCCCCAGATATTACAATAGTAACATCAAATATCATTGATCGTAGATCACAACAGATAAAATAATAATTTAAAAGTTTGAAACATTATGAGAATTACCAAAATGTGACACAGACGAGCAGTGAGCACATGCTGTTGGAAAAATGACCAGTAGACCTTCTTCATGGAGGGTTGCCACAAACTTCAGTTTGTTTAAAAAACAAAAACAAAATGCAAATCTGCAATGCACAATACAGCAAAGTGCAATGAAACAAGGTATGCCTGTAATCAAAAAAACAAAGCAAACTAAAATAATAAGGACTATAACTTCATTCAACTCTTCCAGATATTTTGAACTTGGATTTGAAGTGGATTGGCTTTCTAAGAAAGTATTATTTATTAAAACTGATCCTAGAAGAGATAGAGTATCCCCAAAAAAACCCATTCCCATAGAAGGGGAAAAAAGTTTTTCAAAAATCTCCCACACCTTACATTAACACTTAAAGCAATGGGCCCTGATAGTTTCACGATAGAATTTTACCAAACCTTTAAGGGGCCGGTAATTCTAATTTTATTTAAACTGTTCTTGAGAGTTAAAAAAAAAAAAACTTAAAACTTTCAAAGTATTTTTATAAAGTGAGTAGAACCTTGATATCTGCTTCACAAGATTATAAAACTTAAAAGTGTGGATTATTCTTACTTGTAAAAGTGCAGTAGTCCTAAATATTACAGGGATAAAACTCTACAGATATTAGCAAACATAATCCAGCAGAGCACATTCATGAGTAATTAACCAAGTAGAGTTTATTCCAGGAAGACAGGTTAATTTTAAGGATTGCTGATCTGGAATGCTTGGAACTGGAAGTGTTAAGGATTTCAGATTTTTTTTTCATTTGGAATATTTGCAGTATACCAATTGAGCACCCCTAATCCACAAATTCACAATCCATGTCAGTGCTGAAAAAGTTTTGGATTTTGGAGTATTTAGGATTTCTGATTTTTAGATTAGGGATGCTTCCACCTATATAAGAATGGTTCAGTATTAGGAAAGTTGATGTTGTACCTCGTGTTATTGGTATATCCAAGGGGAAAAATTACATATTTTCTATAGCTGCTGAAAAGCTATTTGACAAAAAAAAAAAAAAAAATCAACAATCATTCTTTATAAAACAGTCAAAGAAATAGAATGGATTCTTTCTTAGTATGATAAAAATAAATTGACCTCATTTCAAAAGCTAGCATATTTAATGAGGAAACTAGAGTCACTCCCACTAAATTCAAGAACAAGATGAAGATATTTTTCATCACTAGTATTATTAACATTAGATTGAAGATACCAGTCAACATAATTAGACAACAGAAAGAGATTAGTGATATAAAAATCAGAAATGAGATAAAATTATCACTTTTTGCAGATGACGTGATTGTATACCTAGAAAATTCACAAAAATCGACTGAAAAACTGCTACAAACAAAAATTCAGTTAAGTAGCAGAGTACACAATTACTATGCAGAGTAATAACCTTCGTGTGTATCAACAACAGTCAACAACCTTCATGTGTATCAACAACAATACTGAAAGGCCTCATTTATCTGGAAACAAATTTAACAAGAAATATGCAAGACTTATGGGGAAAAAATGTAAACCCACTGTAGGTCACAAAAGATGACAAACTAATTGAAAGACAATGAAGTTCTTAGAAAGATTCCATCAGAAATAGCAACAGGTTTTGTTTCGGAATCTAAGTAAACTAATTTAGGCTGGGCGCGGTGGCTCACGCCAGTAATTCCAGCACTTTGGGAGGCCGAGACAGGCAGATCACAAGGTCAGGAGATCGAGACCATCCTGGCTAACAGGGTGAAACCCCATCTCTACTAAAAATACAAAAAAATTTAGCTGGGCATGGTGGCGGGTGTCTGTAGTCCTAGCTACTCGGGAGGCTGAGGCAGGAGAATGGTGTGAACCTGGGAGGCAGAGCTTGCAGTGAGCCGAGTTACTGCCACTGCACTCCAGCCTAGGTGACAGAGCGAGACTCCATCTAAAAAAAACTAATTCAGAAGTTATACGGCGGGATTAAGGGGAAGCAAGAATAGGAAGTCTGAAAAGGAGCAGTGAAGGGGAACTAGCCTTGTCAAATAGCCATATTATGAAACCTCAGTAATTCAAACAGTGTAGTGCTGGCACATGAAACAGGATAAAAAGAAAGCCTACAATATAGACAAAGATACGTGGGAATCTAGTATATGGTAAATGTGGCATCTACAACCAGTGGAGAAACATGAGTTATTTAAATGGTATAAGGACTACTGGGCAGTTGTGTGAGAAAGAATAAAGTTGAATTCATACTGTATCCTATATAGTCAGATAAATGCCAAATGACTCAAAGATTTAAAGTTTCTTTAAAAAATAAAATAAACCAGGAGGTCTTTTCCAAGATGGCCAAATAGGAACAGCCCCAGTCTGTAGCTCCAATGATCGACACAGAAGACAGGTGATTTCTGCATTTCCAGCTGAGGTACCTGGTTCATCTCATTGGGACTGGTCGGGAAGTGGGTGCAGCACACGAAGGGCAAGCCGAAGCAGGGCAGGGCATCACCTCACCTTGGAAGCATAAAGGGTTGGGGGATTTCCCTTTCCTAGCCAAGAGAAGCCATGACAGGCTGTACCGGGAAAATCGGGACACTGCCACATAAACACTGCTCTTTTCCAACAGTCTTAGCAAATGGCAACACCAGGAGATTATATCCCACACCTGGCTCAGCAGGTCCCACACCCACAGAGCCTTGCTCACTGCTATTCCGAGATCTAACTGCGAGGCGGCAAGCCATGCTGGGGGAGGGGCATCTGCCATTGCTGAGTAGGTAAACAAAACGGCTGGGAAGCTCAAACTGGGTGGAGCCCACCACAGCTCAACAAGGCCCCCCTGCTTCTGTAGACTCCACCTCTGGGGGCAGGGCATAGCTGAACAAAAGGCCACAGAAACTTCTGCAGACTTTGATGTCCCTGTCCGACAGCTCTGAAGAGAGCAGTGGTTCTCCCAGCATGGTGTTTGAGCTCTGAGAACGGACAGACCACCTCCTCAAGTGGGTGCCTGACCCCCATGTAGCCTAACTTGGAGACACCTCCCATTAGGGGCCGACTGACACCTCATACAGCCAGGTGCCCCTCTGAGACGAAGATTCCAGAGGAAGGACCAGGCAGCAATATTTGCTGTTCTGCAATATTTGCTGTTCTGCAGCCTCCGCTGGTGACACCCAGGCAAATAGGGTCTGGAGTGGACCTCAAGCAAACTCCAACAGACCTGCAGCTGAGGGTCCTGTTAGAAGGAAAACTAACAAGCAGAAAGGAATAGTATCAACATCAACAAAAAAGGACATCCACACCAAAACCCCATCTGTAGGTCACCATCATCAAAGACCAAAGGTAGATAACACCACAAAGATGGGGAGAAGCCAGAGCAAAAAAGCTGAAAATTCTAAAAACCAGAGCGCCCCATCTCCTCCAGAGGATTGCAGCTCCTCGCCAGCAACGGAACAAAGCAGGATGGAGAATGACTTTGACAGTTGACAGAAGTAGGCTTCAGAAAGTTGGTAATAACAAACTTCTCCCAGCTGAAGGAGGAAGTTCGAACCCATCACAAGGAAGGTAAAAACCTTGAAAAAAGATTAGATGAATGGCTAACTAGAATAAACAGTGTAGAGAAGACCTTAAATGACTTGATGGAGCTGAAAACCATGGCACGAGAACTATGTGACGCATGCATAAGCTTCAAGTGGAAGAAAAGGTATCAGTGATTGAAGATCAAATTAATGAAATGACGCAAGTAGGGAAGTTGGGAGAAAAAAGAGTAAAAAGAAATGAACGAAGCCTCCAAGAAATAAGAGACTGTGTGAAAACACCAAATATACGTACAATTGGTGTACCTGAAAGTGACGGGGAGAATGGAACCAAGCTGGAAAACACTCTTCAGGATATTATCCAGGAGACCTTCCCCAACCTAGCAAGTCAAGCTAACATTCAAGTTCAGGAAACACAGAGAACACCACAAAGATACTCCTCAAGAAGAGCAACCCCAAGGCACATAATTGTCAGATTCACCAATGTTGAAATGGAGGAAAAAATGCTAAGGGCAGCCAGAGAGAAAGGTCAGGTTACCCACAAAGGAAAGCCCATCAGACTAACAGCGGATCTCTTGGCAGAAACCCTACAAGCCAGAAGAGAGTGGGGGCTAATATTCAACATTCTTAAAGAAAAGAATTTTCAACCCAGAATTTCATATCCAGCCAAACTAAGCTTCATAAGTGAAGGAGAAATGAAATCCTTTACAGACAAGCAAATGCTGACAGATTTTGTCACCACCAGACCTGCCTTATAAGAGCTCCTAAAGGAAGTACTAAACATGGAAAGGAACAACTGGTACCAGCCACTGCCAAAACATGCCAAATTGTAAAGACCATCGATGCTAGGAAGAAACTGCATCAACTAACGGGCAAAATAACCAGCTAACATCATAATGACAAGATCAAATTCACACATAACAATATTAACCTTAAATGTAAATGGGCTCAATGCTCCAATTAAAAGACACAGACTGGCAAATTGGATAAAGAGTCAAGACTTATCAATGTGCTGTATTCAGGAGACCCATCTCATGTGCAGAGACATACATAGGCTCAAAATAAAGGGATGGAGAAAGATCTACCAAGCAAATGGAAAGCAAAAAAAAAAAGCAGGGGTTGCAATCCTAGGCTCTGATAAAACAGACTAAACCAACAAAGATCAAAAGAGACAAGGCCATTACATAATGGTAAAGGGATCAATTCAACAAGAAGAGCTAACTATCCTAAATATATATGCACCCAATACAGGAGCACCCAGATTCATAAAAAAAGTCCTGAGAGACCTAAAAAGAGACTTAGCCTCCCACACAATAATAATGGGAGACTTTAACACCCCACTGTCAATATTAGACAGATAAACGAGACAGAAGGTCAACAAGGATATCCAGGACTTGAACTCAGCTCTGCACTAGGCAGACCTAATAGACATCTACAGAACTCTCTACCCCAAATCAACAGAATATACATTCTTCTCAGCACCACATCGCACTTGTTCCAAAATTGACCACGTAGTTGGAAGTAAAGCACTCCTCAGCTAATGTAAAAGAACAGAAATCACAACAAACTGTCTCTCAGACCACAGTGCAATCAAATTAGAACTCAGGATTAAGAAACCCACTCAAAACCGCACAACTACATGGAAACTGAACAACCTGCTCCTGAATGACTACTGGGTACATAATGAAATGAAGGCAGAAATAAAGATGTTCTTTGAAACCAATGAGAACAAAGACACAACATACCAGAATCTCTGGGACACATTTAAAGCAGTGTGCAGAGGGAAATTTATAGCACTAAATGCCCACAAGAGAAAGCAGGAAAGATCTAAAATTGACACCCTAACATCACAATTAAAAGAACTAGAGAAGCAAGAGCAAACACATTCAAAAGCTAGCAGAAGGCAAGAAATAACTAAGGTCAGAGCAGAACTGAAGGAGATGGAGACATAAAAACCCCTTTAAAAAAATCAATGAGTCCAGGAGCTGGTTTTTTGAAAAGATCAACAAAATTGATAGACCGCTAGCAAGACTAATAAAGAAGAAAAGAGAGAAGAATCCAATAGATGCAATAAAAAATGATAAAGGGGATATCACCACTAATCCCACAGAAATACAAACTACCATCAGAGAATAACATAAACACCTCTACTCAAATAAACTAGAAAATCTAGAAGAAATGGATAAATTCCTGGACACATACACCCTCCCAAGACTAAACCAGGAAGAAGTTGAATCTCTGAATAGACCAATAATAGGCTCTGAAATTGAGGCAATAATTAATAGCCTACCAACCAAAAAGAGTCCAGGACCAGATGGATTCACAGCCAAATTGTACCAGAGCTGCCAAGAGGAGATGGCACCATTCCTTCTGAAACTATTCCAATCAATAGAAAAAGAGGGAATCCTCCCTAACTCATTTTATGAGGCCAGCAGCATCCTCATACCAAAGCCTGGCAGAGGCACAACAAAAAAAGAGAATTTTAGACTGATATCCCTGATGAACATTGATGCAAAAATCCTCAATAAATACTGGCAAACCAAATCCAGCAGCACATCAAAAAGCTTATCCACCAAGATCAAGTTGGCTTCATCCCTGGGATGCAAGACTGGTTCAACATACACAAATCAATAAACGTAATCCATCACATAAACAGAACCAAAGACAAAAACCACATGATCATCTCAATAGATGCAGAAAAGTCCTTTGACAAAATTCAACAGCCCTTTGTGCTAAAAGCTCTCAATAGTCTAGGTATTGATGGAACAGATCTCAAAATAATAAGAGCTATTTATGACAAACCCACAGCCAGTATGATACTGAACGGGCAAAAACTGGAAGCATTCCCTTTGAAAACTGGCACAAGACAGGGATGCCCTCTCTCACCACTCCTATTCAACATAGTGTTGGAAGTTCTGGCCAGGGCAATCAGGCAAGAGAAAGAAATAGAGTATTCAATTAGGAAAAGAGGAAGTCAGATTGTCCCTGTTTGCAGATGACATGATTGTATATTTAGAAAACCCCATCATCTCAGCCCAAAATCTGCTTAAGCTGATAGGCAACTTCAGCAAAGTCTCAAGATACAAAATCAATGTGCAAAACTCACAAGCATTCTTAAACACCAATAACAGACAAACAGCCAAATCATGAGTGAACTCCCATTCACAATTGCTACAAAGAGAATAAAATACCTAGGAATCCAATTTACAAGGGATGTGAAGGACCTCTTCAAGGAGAGCTACAAACCACTGTTCAATGAAATAAAAGAGGACACAGACAAATGGAAGAACATTCCATGCTCATGGATAGGAAGAATCAATATTGTAAAAATGTCCATACTGCCCAAGGTAATTTATAAATTCAGTGCCATCCCCATCAAGCTACCAATGACTTTCTTTACAGAATTGGAAAAAACTACTTTAAAGTTCATAGGGAACCAAAAAAGATCCCACATTGCCAAGACAATCCTAAGCAAAAAGAACAAAGCTTGAGGCATCACACTACCTGACTTCAAACTATAGTACAAGGCTACAGTAACCAAAACAGCATGGTACTGGTACCAAAACAGAGATATAGACCAATGGAACAGAACAGAGGCCTCAGAAATAACACCATGCATCCACAGCCATCTGATCTTTGACAAACCTGACAAAAACAAGAAATGGGGAAAGGATTCCCTGTTTAATAAATGGTGCTGGGAAAACTGGCTACCCATATGTAGAAAGCTGAAACTGGATCCCTTCCTTACACCTTATACAAAAATTAATTCACGATGCATTAAAGACTTAACTATTAGACCTAAAACCATAAAAACCGTAGAAGAAAAGCTAGGCAATACCATTCAGGACATAGGCATGGACAAGGACTTCATGACTAAAACACCAAAAGCAATGGCAACAAAAGCCAAAATAGAAACATGGGATCTGATTAAACTAAAGAGTTTCTGCATAGCAAAAGAAACTACCATCAGAGTGAACAGGCAAACCTCAGCATGGGAGAAAATTTTTGCAATTACCCATCTGACAAGGGGCTAGTATCTAGAACCTACAAAGAACTTAAACCAATTTACAAGAAAAAAACAACCCCATCAAAAAGTGGGCAAAGGATATGAACAGACACTTTTCAAAAGGAGACATTTATGCAGCCAACAGGCATGAAAAAATGCTCATCATCACTGGCCATCAGAGAAATGCAAATCAAAACCACAATGAGATACCATCTCACACCAGTTAGAATGGCGATCATTAAAAAGTCAGGAAACAACAGGTTGCTGGAGAGGATGTGGAAAAATAGGAACGCTTTTACACTGTTAGTGGGAGTGTAAACTAGTTCAACCATTATGGAAGACAGTGTGGCGATTTCTCAAGTATCTAGAACTAGAAATACCATTTGATCCAGCGATCCCATTACTGGGTATATACCCAAAGGATTATAAATCATGCTACTGTAAAGACACATGCACATATATGTTTATTGCAGCACTATTCACAATAGCAAAAACTTGGAACCAACCCAAATGTCCATCAATGATAGACTGGATTAAGAAAATGTGGTACATATACACCATGGAATACTATGTAGCCATAAAAAAAGATGAGTTCATGTCCTTTGTAGCCACATGGATGAAGCTGGAAACCATTATTCTGAGCAAACTATCACAAGGACAGAAAAACGAACACCACATGTTTTCACTCATAGGTGGGAATTGAACAATGAGAACACTTGGACACAGGGCAGGGAACATCACATACTGGGGCCTGTCGTGGTGTGGGAGGATGGGGGAAGGATAGCATTAGGAGAAATACCTAATGTAAATGACAAGTTAGTGGGTGCAGCAAACCAACACGGGACATGTATACATATGTGACAAGCCTGCACCTTGTGCACATGTACCCTAGAACTTAATGTATAATAAAAATAAAATAAAAAATAAATAAACCATTAAGAGTACCTGAAGACAACATAGAATGGGAAGATCTTTTTAACTGACTCAAAATCCTAAGCATAAGAAAGGATGTATTTTCATACTGAATGCTCATATTTTTGGCACTGTCTGATAATTATGGTAATTAAGTTGGAATTTACATTAAAATGGGAAACCGTTTTTATATCAGCTGTTCCACTTAGAGGTCTTTTAAGCGTAGTTCTAGTTTCAAAACCAATTTGTCAATATTGCCAGAAGTTTTTCAGATAGACTGGTGGAGCTTTATATACAAATGTCAGATTAGAATGCACTTAAAAATGAAACACTTTCCAAAGATATTATTTGGAAAGAATGGTTCCTTGTGATTACTTCATAATATTATGCTTTACATTTTAATATATCCCTATAAACAATAATTTTAAACTACCCCCACATCTTTCCATAATGCAGATAAGGTCTCCAGAGGACACATGAGAAATAGGGCATGTCTTTGAGAAGATTTATTACTGGTCACACAAGCACAATTATTTAATCTTTACAGATTGGTTGGCTATAAAGCAGAAAATAATTTGCATATTAATATGGGGAGATGTTTTCATCTGTGTTTTCTTTTGAAGTGCAAGTATGACTTTTGCTGGATTTGCCTTGAAGAGTGGAAAAAACATAGTTCGTCCACTGGAGGTTATTACAGATGTACTCGCTATGAAGTCATTCAACACGTGGAGGAGCAATCCAAGGAAATGACTGTGGAGGTAAAGAGAACCAATTAAGCCAAGACATCTCTCTAAACCGCTCACTGCCACTGGAATTATTTTGTATTTCTTTTTCTATTTTCATCTTAATAAAGTATTAAATTGAATATACTTTATTATAGCCTTTAATTTCAACAAAACAGCTCTGTAAACTTGAGAGCTTTTTCCCTTTTACATTTTCCTTTTTTTAATTTTGGTGGAGATCTGTATGAAAAGTCTGATATATCCCAGCCTACCTCTGTAAATACTTAAAAACAATTTTAACATTAATATCAACAATGCAGTATTACATTATACTGTACAGGAAGTGTCTTAGTCTGCTCAGCTGCCATAGAAAATACATAGACTGGGTGGCTTACCAGAAATTTATTTTTCACAGTTGTAGAGGTTGTGAAGTCCAAAGTCAAGGTGCTGGCCAATTTGGTTCTTGATGAGGGTTCTCTTGGTTTGCAGACAGCCACCCTCTCACTATGTCCTTAGGTGGCCAGAAAAGACAGAGAGACCTCTGGTGCCCCTTCCTCTTCTTTTAAGAGTACCAACCCTATCAGAATAGGGCCCCACCCTGATGACCTTATTTAACCTTTATCACCTTCTCACAGGTCCTGTCTTCAAATACAGTCACATAGAGGGTAGGGCTTCAAAATATTAATTTTAGGGGGAATACCATTAGTCCATAGCAAAAAGCCATGTAATAAAACATTGAAGGCCTTGGCCTTCAATGTGGCTCATGCTTTTAATCCCAGCACTTTTGGGAGGCCGAGGCAGGCAGATCACTTGAGGTCAGGAGTTCAAGACCAGCCTGGCCAACATGGTAAAACCCCATCTCTACTAAAAATACAAAAATTACCCAGGCATGGTGGTGGGCTCCTGTAATCCCAGCTACTCAGGAGGCTGAGACAGGAAAATCAGTTGAACCTGGGAGGCGGAGGTTTGTGTGAGCTCAGATTGCACCACTGCACTCCAGCCTGGGAGACACAGCGAGACTCCGTCTCAAAAAAAAAAAAACAAGTATTGTTTTTCTGTCAAGAAAATAATTCGCAAATCTGAATGCACTACTACCTATCACTAATAAAACTTTTAAATGATTCCCCCAAAAAACTATTTTAGTAGCTACTAGTTTTTATAAAAGTCATTTGTGGACTTTTGTTTTCTAGGCTGAGAAAAAACACAAACGATTTCAGGAACTTGACAGATTTATGCACTATTATACAAGATTTAAAAACCATGAGCATAGTTATCAGGTATGTCCCAAATCATTTCAAATGAGCTGACCTATACTGTTGTGAATAAATAAAGAGAATGGTTTAAATTCTTTATTTCTATTCCTTTAGCTAGAACAACGCCTTCTTAAAACAGCCAAAGAAAAGATGGAGCAATTGAGCAGAGCTCTCAAAGAAAGTAAGTTATAAGTTGTATGTGTGATAATTAATATAAAATATCTTTCCATGCTTGTCATTTCACTAGTAGGTTAGGCCCTGAAAGGAATACATTATGTTCATTAGCTTGTTCTGGTACTGTTTTGAGTTCTTTGAAGCCCTGAGTGCAGCTTAGCAGATGAGGCCTCTGTGATTGGATTTTCTACCCAGCACCTAGCCTCCTCCTCTTGATGCAGCCTGTGGTGTTATGAGATAAAAACACTTCATGATTTTGCTTACTCTGTGTCACTGCTGATGCTCTACAATGTTGGGAAAAGTGGATGGGTACTAAAGGACATCACTGACTTAGTCAGAGGAGCAAGATACACGTGCTACCCAATTGTCATGTAACTGAATACCCAAAAATTATTGAGAAAATTTAACAGAGTGCCTAAGGGCGTGGAAGTCAATAACAGTTTGGGAAGAAATCATTTCACTGGTAAATAATGAACATTGGGGTCAAAAAGCGAAGCCATGAGGTGGAGCTAACGTATAGGTCCTAAATTATAAGTTAGAATATTCCAAAATATGGATTGAGTATTGACAACATCATTAGAATATAATAACCCACAACGACCACACAGAGTGCAGGTTCTGGTATGTTTGTTTTAAAAAGTCACCTTTTAAAAATAATAGCTCACATATGAAAAGTACATTTTAAGGTGAAAAATGTGATGTTATACTTGGGTTGCTCCAGTTTATCAAAATAATGAATATTAAAATCCTTTTCATTAGGATAATTCCCTAGTCAAGACAATACCATAAGTTAAATGGAGTGGGGGAGAATATGTCAATAGCAGTATAGCCTGCTTGTTAATTATTAGTTCTTAGACTTCATTAATGATATAACTATATTAGGCAATATCAAACTCTTGAAGTATTGTCCACAGTATAAATTGAGAGGAAAAAAGTCCTCACAAGTCGTACAGCTCTTCAGCAGGGATTTTTGTCTGGTCACTAATACATCCCTAGTGCTTCCAGCTGTGCCTGACCCTTAACAACATTCAATATTTGTAGATGTGAATTATTGCTTCTATTCAACATTCTGGAGGTTCCAGGCAGCATAATAAATTAGGGGAAAAAAACAAAAAGATACAGCAATTGCAAAGGAAGAAGCAAAACTTCACACATTTCTCACATAAGTCAGAAATCTCAGGGTCGTCTGTCAGTTTGTGTACACATACTGAATTTCTTTCTACAGGTATCCAAAATAATCTGAGTTTCTGCAGTATTTGCAAAGTTAGATTCTCATGCTTAATTTCTGGTTTTTTTCTGGTTTTGTTTTTTTTTTGGCAGTTAAGTGAAAACCTAGACTGTTATAATGATGTTCTTAAAACAAAGAGTCTCAGATATTAAGGCAATTTAGTCTTCCATCTTCCTCATTCTTCCTCCCCTTCTTTCTTTGGATTTTTTATTAACTAGGATTAGTTATCTAGTTGTTTGCCAGAATGTTGTATCTTTTTCCTTACGGTATTGGTTTTGCATAATTAGGCTCTTTTTATAAGCAACTTAGAAAAGGCATTTGTTCTCATTCTTAACCAGGGAAATTCTGCTAGGGATAATCTGAAAAAGTAAAGCCTAGAACCTTTTGGTTGACCTAAAGCTAGATTTGCTTACCAATGGAGTGAGACCAGAATCCAAGATGAGTATGTGCATTCCTTTATGACTACCATCAGTGTTCCTGGGCTGCTGGGGCATATGCTTCTTTTATAAACACATACATGTCACACATGAGTATTTTATGTAGGTTTTTAGTTTGGTTCAAATAAGTATTTTCATACAGTTACTTAAAACAGTTTTTGTCCTAATGATCCTTCTTTTTCCTTTTTTGAGAAAAAAAATCATTGTTTAATTAATATTATAAATGGCATATTTGCAAAAACAAATTCACTGTGCCTCAATTACTTTTTAGCTGAAGGAGGCTGTCCAGATACCACTTTCATTGAAGATGCAGTTCATGTGCTCTTAAAAACTCGGCGCATTCTCAAGTGTTCTTATCCATATGGATTTTTCTTGGAACCTAAAAGCACAAAGAAAGAAATTTTTGAACTAATGCAAGTAAGATTTTTTTAATTACATTTAAATGGCAGCAGTTATTATGAAATACAGAATTTTTCATTTTTGAAACCACTTGTTTTATTTAATGTGGACATGATTACTAAAACAATTTTCTTTTCATTTTTTAAATGGTTTTTAAATAAAGGAAAAGTTACCAGTAACAAATTGAAATTTTCTTTTTGTTTAAATTTGTCACTCTGCAGGTCTGAATGAGTTATGAGTGGTGCAAACATTTCCTGTAGCATTTATGTCTTTGTTTTAAACTGGTTGAAGTTTGAAATCAGGCATATTTCTGATTATATAATTAAGGATTTTATCATGAAAGATGAAAACAACCCACATTACCTATAAGATGAGAAAGTTGCTGTTTACCAGTTTATTTTTGAAATACAACTGAAAAAGTTACAGTATTTAAAAAACAAAAACACCTAAGCCAATTGGCATCACTATAGCCAAATAACTTCATTGTGCATTTCTTTTCTTTTGAAGCCACTAAACTTTCTCCTGTTACAGTTTTCATGTCATCCCTTGAACTGTCCTCTGCTAATTTATATCCTACATTTCTGTCAAGGATCAGTATTCATTTTCTCCGTAAAGCCTTCCACACTTGACCCCAATCACTGTCGTCTTGCCTTAATTCAAATTCCTTCAGCACTTTTATATAGTCTGCACTATGGCATCATGCATTTGCTTGTATGGTGCATTGAAATGTATTAGTTTTTTTCACATAGACAAATTATAAATTCCTTGTAAACAGCTGCTATACTCACTACTTCTTTGTAATCTATACCAATTTCATTTCTATAAATGCCTATCAAATGAGCGCTTTTTTAAAAATTCACATGATTTTATATACAGTCCTTTCTCTTTCATAATCTAGAAAACATGTACAAAATAGAAAATATATTACATAGGAAGTTATTTCAAAATTTTAACTAGTTTCTTACTTCAAAAGAGTTAGATTTAACTGAGAAACCACATAGACCCTGGATTTGCTATTGATTAACCTATGAAGCCTGTGATTTTTTTTTTTTCTCTGCTTACTATAGACAGACCTAGAAATGGTCACTGAAGACCTTGCCCAGAAAGTCAATAGGCCTTACCTTCGCACACCCCGCCACAAGATCATCAAAGCAGCATGCCTTGTACAGCAGAAGAGGCAAGAATTCCTGGCATCTGTGGCTCGGGGAGTAGCTCCTGCAGACTCACCAGAAGCTCCAAGGCGCAGGTAAAAAGGACGTACACTGTGGAAATCATCCTAGCTCCAGCCACAAATACCAGCAGTTTTGTTTTTTATCCAACTAGGGTTCATATTCCTGGAAATTATTTACACCTAAAATATGGATAGCTCATAAAAGTATGTTGACTTTTTTTGGTGATTTTTTTTTTCCTCCATGCTATTTCTGTTTTTCTTGTTATTTTTTGTTTATTTATCATTGTGTAGCTCCTTAGACTAAATTAACCTAGGTTAATTTCACATTTCAGGTGAACTCATAAATAAGAGTATTCTAATGTATCATTTCAAATATGTAATATATATAGTGATTTGATAGTTATAAACATCTTACGATGTAGAATTTGGAAACTTTGCCAGCTTGTTATGGTCATATTTGTATTTTTGTATTAAGAAGTTGTGAAGGAAAGAGAAATTTGATATTTGTAGTTATTTAAGTGATAAACCCATCCACTAAAGATCAGTTGAGTTGTAGTTGTTTTATTTTACATACTCATACTACTTCTGTAAATTGAAGCATACTTTCCTATTTATAATAACTATAAGCATTAAACATTCCTTTGGCACTATTTTACATAAATTCCTTTGATCCTATTTTTACATAATATTTATGAGTAAATATTTACTTGTAAAATACAAATAGAAGCATTATAAAATACTTTGTTATAACATGGTAATTTTTATTTTTTGATCATTTTACACAAACATAAAAACTTAGAATTTGGAAGAAAGGAAAATTATCATTTTAATTCTGTTTTAATAGTTGATCTACTTTAGTTAAGCAAGTTCCAACAGAGGAATTCAAAGTAATGTTCAAAGGGCAAGGATCTGATTGTATATACTTTGTAGTATTGATATTAAATCAAATGGTATGTCTAATTTCTTTGTAGCTTTGCTGGTGGAACATGGGATTGGGAATATTTAGGATTTGCATCACCAGAGGTAATTGTTTTATGGGGTTTTTGTTTTTGTATTTTTTCTTAGTGCAGTCGTGCTTGCATTTGCATCCTTATCTATTCTAAATCCTTCTGAGATTATCAGCAGTGCTGTCTCTTTCTTTTGTAACAAAAATGCCTTGACAGAGCCTACATTTAGCTATTTATGTGGTATTGCTATATCGTCACATTGTTAAATGCATTACTCTTTTATTGTTTTTAATTACTGAATAGTCAGAATTAAGGCAAATTTACAATATACATTTTTGGAAAATATCTTCTAATTTGTTAATAGAGAGAATTTATTAGAAATGCATTTCTAGTCATAATATTGTTTTAATCTGAAACTATTAAAAATATAAAAGAACAATCCATTTTTTAAGGTTAATGCAACAACCTGAGGGAACTGATTTATAATCAGTTGCTAAGGTGGAAAACTTGACTTTAATAATGTATATGCAGAAAGAAATGCTTTGCTTAGTTGCTTTCTGCTTATCTTTAAGACTTTCACACTCTTCTTGTTTTTTTGTTGTCATTATTAATATACCGTTTTGAAATACAGAAGGTCTAAATTACTAACACTACAGATAGCAGTTGTGGCAAATAAAAATAAGACAGAGTGAAACTCTTAATCACATAGCTGTTTTCTGAGATTTAAATTGCCACTGTCACTGTTGAGTCTGATTTTAAAATGGTTTCAGCAGTTCTCTCTACTTCTCTCTTTCCATCCTTGCTCTTTATTAAACAGTATTTGATGCCTATAATATGATAACCCTTCAACTTAATTTTTGGAAGGGTACAGAACAAATGAGGAAATCTTTGTTTGTAATGTATAACCCATTTGTTACCTGCAACTGAAAGACAATGAAATTGATTATTATCCAGGCATGACTGTGGCTTATTTAAATCAGATACTTTCTCTTTTCAGCTGCTGAAGATACTTGCAATCACCTGTGGCTTTTGTATTGGTAGATACATCCAAGAAAATATTGACTTGAAAAAAATTGTGCTTAGAGCCCTGATCTGGACATTTTAAATTCACTTAAATTGTTTTAAAAATTGTGATATATTAATGAAATTTTTATTTTAAAACTAATTATGAACCTTTATCTGATCCTGTATTTATTATTTCAATGTTATAATACATTTACAACTTCGGGGATATTGTGGTAAACTTCCACCTAAAAGGAAGAATAAGCAAACTGAAATTATAAAAGAAAAAAAAATACTAATGATTTCCGTGTTTTAAGGTAGAAACACAGTTTAGCAAAAATAAATAAAACCTTTGTCAGTGTATTCACAAGCATGTATGTGTATCATCTTGCAGCTTCTGGCTCTGACAGAAACTTTAGGAATCCTGAAATATTTGTCCTTGAATATTGAGGGCCTACTAATATGAGTGTCACTTTGTTTTTTATGAATTGATAATTTTTTAGAAATTACTTACTTTTAGTTTTCTTTAGTCTTTGACACATTGAAACACTAGGCTTTTACGTAAACCTTATTGCAGATATAAAGAATTACTGCACATTGTGAGACTTTCAAATTCTGCATGTGTATGACTATCGAGTAACTGCCAAAGTTATATTTTTGAAAAATAGCTCTTTGCCTTAATAGTGAGGGAAAAAACAAGGTTACCAACTCCAGTAGACTTAGATTGAACTTATATTTTTTTCAGTGAAGTTAATTTCATCTTACTCTTTTTAATGTAAATTGAGTCTGGCAAGCATAAAGGTTTGTTTTATGCTACTTTAAAGGCAGTGCAGCTCAGTGGAAATAGCATAAAGTCTGAGGAACACCTGAATTCAAGTTCTAAGTGTAACTTACTAGATCCTAGGCTATGTTCTTTCTTAATTTCTCATCTTTACAATGTGGATGGTGATACCCCATGGAAGTTCTAGAAGGATTAAAGCATCTCATTTAGCCACTGACAAAATTGTTGGAATTATTACTTAAAACAGCTCCTTATAGCTTTTCCCTCTGTAAATCCTAGAACTTTTTAGTCTTTTCTGTATCCTTAACATTCTCAAACCATTTGGAGTATACTGACTAAACCCTTTTCATATACATTCTTGAAGATCTTAGGAATCCTTGGAAATTTTCAAATAAATTTTATGAGAACAATATATTTAAGCCTGTTGCATCATGAGAGAATGCCATCTGAGAGTTTTCTGTCAGACGATTAGATATACAAGTTTCTTTTGCAGTTGCTTTTAAACGGTTTCATTTTCTTAAATTGGAAATATGTATAGTCTATGGTCAGTAATAGTTTAATTCATAACTTTGTACCATTATCAAGTTTACAAAGTAAGCAAATTATCCCTAATATAAAACTTGAATTGAGATAAAATTTTCACACCATCTTTGTCTAAGAAATCTAGTTGGTGTTCCTCACTGGTCTGTTGAGCCTTGACGACACTTAAGTCATCAGTTTGAGGTCATGGGCCTCTAGGAGAAGAGGAAATGATGTCCCACCTCAGCAAGGCATTTTAAAGAACCAGTATAAACCCTCAGGGCACTTGGAGTATCTTTCATTTATTAGTTTCTAACCTAACAGGATGCCTCCCACTTCTTAAGAGTCCAACTGCTTATATAAATAAAGGAGTTTAAATAAATGTCACCAGAGTGGTATGATGTGAAAGTTTTATTTGTGATCCAAAATTTGTCTTCACCTACTTCTAGTACTTTCACAATATAAGCATATTGAATATTCTAGGGTAACCAGGATAATCATAAAGTTGAATATCTTAGTGTTTATCATGGAAAGACACCATAATGATTCTCTAAATTAGCCTTTTTATGTTGGTATCATGTACCCTGGCCTCCTCTCTTCTCTTCCCTTCTCTTTTATTCTCTTCTCTTCTGTCACATTTATACCCAGGTAATAGCGATGGTCCCAGGTTGTACCCTCTGGTGATAACAAACTAACTTTAAACATTGTCACAAATGTGGAATAGGCTGAGGACATCTGCCTAAGTCTGTGTTCATCCCATATGCTAAATAGAAAACATTTCCCCTGCTTGTGTTGTAAATAGCACCACATATTGGCTTATATAGAAAAGAAGCTAAATAATCATCTTATTTTAAAGCTAACCTAACATTTGTCTTTTAATCTAGTCATTTGATTTGTGAATATGATATGTAGTAGTCCCAAAGAATAGAAAATCCAACAATCTGGCAAGTACTTAACAGTGTGTGTTATTTTTTACTGTTGTTCCTTTTTTTCTTTTTCTGTTACATATATCCCAGTCACTTTTTTTTTTTTTTTTTTTTTTGAGATGGAGTCTTGCTGTTGTTGCCCAGGCTGCAGTGGCACAATCTCGGATCACTGCAACCTCCACCTCCTGGGTTCAAGTGATTCTCCTGCCTCAGCCTCTCGAGTAGCTGGGATTACAGGTGCCACCACCACGCCCGGCTAATTTTTTGTATTTTTAGTAGAGATGGGGTTTCACCATGTTGGCCAGGCTGGTCTCAAATTCCTGACCTCAGGTGATCTGCCTGCTTCGGCCTCCCAAAGTACTGGGATTACAGGCGTGAGCCACAGCACCCACCCCTGGTCACGTTTTTAAAGCCACTTTCATATCCAGTTTCAATGGCTCACACCTGTAATCCCAGCTACTTAGGAGGCCGAGCAGTAGGGATTGCTTGAGGCCAGAAGTTCAAGACCAGCCTAAGCAACATAGCAAGACTCTGACTCTAAAAATAAAAAAATAAAAAATAAAAAACCTCCCTTCAAGGAAAGCCTTACTTAAATGAGTAATATGGTTGTAGTATTAATTAGATAACAAGATCCTTGAAATCATCAGGCATATAAAATAGGGCTGTTCTAATGTAGCACTGGGGCTTGCAAGTATTCCTAATTTATCTAGGCAATTGTAATGACTGTTGAAAACTTTCTTTTTCCATTTTACCTTTTGTGTTTCCTTGGCATGGCAAAACCTGATGTTTCAGCCAAGTGATTTTATAAGATGTGTATAAAATCACAAACTTTTTCCCCTGGAAAAAAGTGTGTACTTTGTTTTATTTGCATTTTAAAAATTGCATGCTCTCTTGTATTTTATAACCTTTGGTTTATGCAGGAATATGCTGAATTTCAGTATCGGAGGAGGCACAGACAACGTCGTCGAGGAGATGTTCACAGTCTACTCAGTAATCCTCCAGACCCTGATGAGCCAAGTGAAAGCACTTTAGGTAAGTCCTTGCATTGAGTATGGTTTAATCTCATAGCTCCCCTGAATTTATCCTTCAAACTGGCTGATGTAAATTTTTGTGAACGAGTTTGTCATTTAGATATACAATAAATATGCAGATGTTTCTGTTGTGACAGGACACAGAAAATCAGAGGAGTTAGGAGCATGGTCTGTGGAGTTAGGCAAACTTGGATTCATGACCCCATCTCTGCTGCATATTAGCTGTGTAACCTAGTCAGGTCACAACCTCTCTAAGGTTGTTTCCATATTCTAAAGACACAATAATAATAGTGCCACCTTATAGGCTCATTGTGAGTATTAAATTAGATAATGCATCTAAAACACTTAAGCACCTAGTGAAGCACTCAGTTAATTGTAGTATTGATTGATACTGTTTTGTGTTCATGGAATATTTGTCTCCTAGCCTTAGTTGTCCTGTAGACATTATTTAAAAGAGAGAGAATTTCTGGCATTAGAGATAAATTATTTTAATTATTCAACTTTTAAATGTTAAATTATTAAGTGAAAATCTTCTGACTATAATGTCAGGATCAATGGGACTAAAGATTTGCTCTTCAGACTATTGTAATTCCCAAATTATTTAATTTTAAGAAATCTAAAAATGAAAAACGTTTATTAGTTATTGCTTAACAAAAAAAGAGAAATGGATAGTAGCACTTGCATTTATGAATAGAACTATATAGACTGCAAGCAAAAGTGTAAAAAAGTCAGCCAGGCACGGTGGCTCATGCCTGTCATCCCAGCACTTTGGGAGGCCAAGGTGTGCGGATCACAATGTCAGGAGATGGAGACCATCCTGACCAACATGGTGAAACCCTATCTCTACTGAAAATGCAAAAATTAGCCAGGCATGGTGGTGCACATCTGTAGTCCCAACCACTCGAGAGGCTGAGGCAGGAGAATCGCTTGAACCCAGGAGGCAGAGGTTGCAGTGAGCCAAGATTGCGCCACTGCACTCCAGCTAGGTCGACAAAGCAAGACTCCATCTCAAAAAAAAAAAAAAGTAAAAAGTTACGGATTTGAAGTGATAGTATCATATATATATTATTCTTCATGGTAAGACAAATATGGATGAGAAATCCCAGAAAGATTAAGTGAACATGTCAACACAGGTTTTCCCCAGCACTGAAAGAGAAATTGCCCATCTAAACAACCAGATGTATGAAAAAAATAAATAAGTCTTATTTGTCACTAAATTGTCTTTGGTACCAATTGCTTTGAAACAGATATTCCAGAAGGCGGCAGCAGCAGCCGCAGGCCTGGCACATCCGTGGTAAGTTCTGCATCTATGAGTGTGCTGCACAGCTCTTCCCTGCGTGACTACACCCCTGCCAGTCGCTCTGAAAACCAGGACTCTCTTCAGGTAGCCTTTCTGAACAGCCTCATTGCCTGTGCTTTTACTCTTTCTCTGCTGAGTGTGGTTTCCTGTTGTTACTTTCATCGCTTTCCTATTTCTTCCTTCCATTCTAAAATCTTTGTTTTAAAGATGTGCTGCAGGAAAAGATATTCCTATATTTTAGATTTATTTTAAGGTATGTTTTTTTTTTCCTTTAGCATGGGCATGGAGAAAAATACAAGATTTTAGTAGATAAAATAATTTTTCTGTATAAATAAAATTAATAATCTGTTGGTAAAGGAAGAATGGTAAACCTGATTGAGTTAAATCAGTTTTTTTCAGTCAAATTTTAAAGTGGTTTTGCTTTCTGTTGCTTCAGGCTCTGAGTTCCTTGGATGAAGACGATCCCAATATACTTCTTGCAATACAGTTATCACTGCAAGAGTCTGGGCTGGCCCTCGATGAAGAAACTAGAGACTTCCTCAGTAATGAAGCATCCTTAGGTGCGATAGGCACTTCTTTACCTTCCAGGCTGGACTCTGTCCCCAGAAATACAGATAGCCCTCGGGCTGCATTGAGCAGCTCTGAGCTTTTGGAACTTGGTGACAGCCTCATGAGACTAGGAGCAGAGAATGACCCATTTTCAACTGACACCCTGAGCTCACACCCTCTCAGTGAGGCAAGAAGTGATTTCTGTCCCTCATCTAGTGATCCTGACTCAGCTGGCCAGGACCCCAACATCAATGACAATCTTCTCGGCAACATCATGGCTTGGTTTCATGACATGAACCCTCAGAGTATTGCCCTGATTCCTCCAGCAACTACAGAAATCAGTGCAGATTCCCAGCTCCCCTGTATCAAAGATGGGTCAGAAGGTGTGAAGGATGTGGAACTGGTGCTGCCAGAAGATTCAATGTTTGAAGATGCCAGTGTCAGTGAAGGTAGAGGAACCCAGATAGAAGAAAATCCTTTGGAAGAAAATATTCTGGCGGGGGAAGCAGCATCTCAAGCTGGTGACAGTGGTAACGAGGCAGCCAACAGAGGAGATGGTTCAGATGTTTCAAGTCAAACACCTCAAACCTCAAGTGACTGGCTTGAACAAGTACATTTAGTGTGAACTGCACACATCTGGGCTCTAAATGAATTACAGGTACAGATGGTATGCTAGGTGGAGTATGCTTGATAGAGACTTTGATTCACTTAATTCCAACTCAGTGATAAACCACTGACATTAGGGTTGAATACAGAGAAGTTCCCTTGAATGGTAGCTTCATTTTTTATTTTAACCTTACAGGGAATTTCCTTTGTACTTAATTGAATAGCTTTTCCCCTTTTTGCTGACAAAAAGAAGAGCAAGAGAAAGAGAAACAAAAATGAAATAAATAAGTTGTATTCCACACTCTAAGAAAATGCAGTCCTCTATTTAGCCTAGGCTTGACAATACTTAAATTGAACATTTAAACTAAAGGCTTACTCCCTAATCTTTGGGTGGCTTTCCTTTAAAAAAAAAAAAAAAGTTTTCTTCATTCTAGAAATTTATTTTGGATAAATCCGATAACATATATGTCCTCAATCTCTTTGTGCTCTTCCATAACTTACTTCCTTTTTGTCTGAGCAATGTGAATTGAAGTCTCTTTAGTACCACATCTACCATAGTGTAATTAGTTTTAATTTTCACATGAATCAAAGGTTTCCTTTCATGTCTATTTACAGTCCAATTGTGCCAAACTCTTACTTGTGTGCTGACTAACAAGGCATTTAGGTGTGCAGCATCCTAGAGTGCTCCAGGGCAGTGTCAGCGTTCTCGGGAGTAAAAGGTGCCACTTGGTAGCAATGATATTCCAGAATTAAATGGGTTTTTGTTGCCATGGAGACTGCATTTATATAAATGTAGCCTGTAGCTTAAGTTAACTAAACCTAATGCTGCTGTTAAAAACAGTTTATTTTAATATTAAAATACAGTTGATTAGCAACAGCGGTGCTGTATTTTAAGAGACACTTTATTGGAAGTGCAATCATAGTTATTTGTTTTCACAATTTTACAGTGCATTCTAATTACTGATGGGTGCAATTACTTTTAATCGTGTTTTATAAAATAGAAAAAAAGTGGAGTTTTCATGAGTTATAGTAAATCCCACGATTATTAAGAAATTCAGTAAAACATCCTGCGCAACATGTTACCGTGCCTTTGCCTAACCTAAATGGATAGTTGCCAGTTAAATAAGTGAGTAATTCAAATTTCAATGTCTCTTCTGAAGTAACTATGCTATGAATTGCAAAGACCTCCATAAAACCACCCATGGCCTTGCTTTTACACTAACTATAACAACTAAATGTTCAATCAGTTTGTTTGCCTAACTAGCAAATGCTGACATGTGTTTGTTCTACTGCGCAATACTCATTTGCTGTGTGATTACTGTTTAGTGTTGAAAAAAATCAACTTCCTAGTTATCAGTGTCTTACTGTGAAGAAAATACTGGTCTTAGTTGTAATTAGGATACAATGGTACAGTGTGTAATTAAAACTAGAGTAAACTGTTGGAATGGCTGTTTTACTTAAATATTATCAAAACTAGCATAACATAAGCAAAATAGATAAGTACAACACTCCATTTAGTGTTTTGCCAGATTGTTACCAGAAGTCTACAGATACCAAACTTTCAGTTCTGAGTTTGTACAGGCAAGTCCTGGGCTGGGTAAAAAGTTATATTAATATTGTTATCCACAAGAGATGTGATTATGGGTTTTGATTACTTTTTTTTTTTCCAAACCCTGCTTTTGAAATATCCTTGTACTTAAAATTCATATTGCTAAGACACTGTATTAGAATATTTAATATTCCCCAGATCCTCTTAGGATAAACTGTGGGAATCCTCCTATGCCATGGATATCAAAGGTCCACATTAGTTTTTATTTCTCCAGTGATCAGAAACATTGATATCAATCCCTATTAAATTAGTGGGGGGAATATTAACTTTATCTACAGTGTATTACTGTATATTAAACTGAAATAGTCCATTAAAGGATTTTTTTATAAATTTATTTTGGATTAAAAATATCAACACCAATAAGTTTTTAGACCAAGTTGTAATTTTTCCAATATAGAGTCTTTGCATCACACTGAGGCATCTTGCACAGCTGCAGTTAAGGTGAGAAAGAATGCTCTGTGTGAAGACAGTGTACACAATGGGTTCCGGTTTCCTTGCACCTTGTGCAGTATCCTTTATTTCTGTGCTGTTCTCTCCTGAGCATGAAAAATGATCATTATCCAATTTGTATTTCCTTGGTACATATTTTAAAAACAACACAGTCATTGACTTTACAATTCAGTAATGAAGTTTGGCAAAGCCTATTTTGTAAACAAGTTAATTTTATAATGTAAAAAAAAAAAGTTAATCTAACCTTGACTTGTTATTTGCACTTTCATAGTCTATACTTGATACATTCCCACTTTATATACAGTAGGATTCTACAAACGTGTAGATGTTTGGCCAAATGAATGCTGTTAATAATATGTAAAATTCTTTGATTAAACATTTATTACTTAAACTACTTCCATTTTGTCTCATTACATTGTAGACTTTGTTTTAACCAAGTCAGAAAGCTGATTTTCTTCAAATTAAATCCCTCCAATGTGATGGGATCAATTTGGTTCTTACATGTAATTGATTAGTGCCTAATATTTTTACACTAGCCACTTACTGAGCATTTTATATCCCAGTTATAAATATGAAAACACTGCATGACAATGTGTTAAAACATTATGACATCAGTGCTCATTTTATTGACATCACTGTAGCTTTCAGGAGAAAAATGTTATTTTTTCTTGAACTCTAATAGAAATACATAGAAAAATAACTTTAAGATATGTTTTGTGAAATTGCTTAGGAAAGAAAAAAATTTTATGCCATGTGAATAAAAATGCCTGCTTCTCTTTCACTTTATTATTGTGTCCCTTATGAGTTACCAAAATAACCCATGACATTTGACCATGCCCCAGCTGGTGCTTCATGGGGTCTGCTGGTGATAATCATTTAAAGTGGCGTCATCTTATTTATGCCTTTCATTATGTGGATCTGAAGCTTAACTACCAATGTTCATAGGCTGAATTATTCCTTAATTGTTGTTCATTACAGCCACTGATCTCATTTTTTATCTCCTTTGAGTCCTCAAATATTTATCATTTACGTGTTATGAATTAAAATCTGGAATTTATTAAAGTTTGATCATAATTTAAAAGCAGTGATAGTATATCTCTGAAGAGTAAAACCTTGGAATCTAAATATTAAGTGATAATACAAACTTTGGGGGTGTTTTAAGGCTGAAATAACTCCAAAGGAAAAAATTTTTCATGCAGTCAGCTCTTGGACTGAGTAGTAGGTTTTTTTTTGTTTGTTTTCTTTGTTTTCTCTTCTGAGAAAAACAAAGGATCTTACTCTGTCGCCCAGGCTGGAGTGCAGTGATGTGATCATAGCTCACTGCAGCCTCAACCTCCCGGGCTCAGGTGATTTTCCTACCTCAGCCTCCCAAGTAGCTGGGACTACAGGCACATGCCACCATGCTCGCTAATTTTTGTATTTTTTGTAGAGACGGGGTTTCACCATGTTGCCCAGGCTAGTCTTGAACTCCTGGGCTTAAGAAATTCGCCCATCTGGGCCTCCCAAAGTGCTGGGATTACAGGTGAGAGCCACTGTGCCTGGCCCAGAAGTTGTTTCATCTCAGCATTGTGCTACAGGCATAATTACTGGGTCTTCTCCTTGGCAACATTATATTGTCTTGTCAGTTGTTACAGCCTTCTCACCGGAATGAAAGATTTCTTTCTAGAAAGATAGAAGTGGCTTCTTCTAGACTGTATTATGTGACAGTACTTTAGGAACTGGCAGTAGACTTATTTCTTAAAGATGAATCAGAAAAGTTTCCTTTAGACCTCAGTTCCACTTAGGACTCACAGGTAGCTGACAGACTTAGTGGTGGCCAAACTTCTGAAGGAATTATTCTTCTTCACTCTTTGAAACTGCAATTTGACAATATTCTTAATCAAGCTGTCTTCATGTCTTAGCCAGCTGTCCCATTAAGTATTTATTGCATAAGTGCCTAGCCTGTGTGAGCCATCAGTACATAACAGGTTGAGACAAACACATGAGAGTGAACAAAGCCAAAGTACAAAAAGGATAATTGTTGGAGGATTCAGTCAGGCCTCTTATCTTACTAGGTGTGCCAAGACTGCAAGGCCCTGTTGGCAATTTTGCCTGAGCCATCTCAGGATTTATGTAACTAGTAACTTGAGATCAAGGAGCAGGCTTAACTGCTTAAGAAGTGGATTCCTCACACCCAGTGTTCAGCTGAACTACAACATGAACCCCACCGTGTGCTTGCTGTCCATCCAGGTCCTTTGCATTGCCCCCTTGAAACTGGAGACAAGGGGAACTGATGCAAATATGCTGAGGTTCATTCTGAGTGCTGTGCCATGAGTGATAAAGTCCTTTGCCTCTGACTCAAGAGTCTCATGTCTTCTGTCAGCATTCTTGAGATTGTAACAGGCTAACTTACTCGTTTGTCAGTAGGGTAAAGTGAAATCCTGGAACTGAGAGTTTTGGCAACAAGGATGGGATGCTGACAAAGACATGATATTCTGAAAAAGGAACCATGGGCCAGGTTCTGGAATGTAAGACTCCCTGAGATCTGGTAGTGAATTCTCTAACCCTAATGATGGATATAGGGCGAGGGTTGGTGGAGATTAAGGGTTCCCACTGTCCTACCTATTCATGAACAGGAGACAATGTTTAGAGGCTTAGCAACAAGAGGTGAGATTGAAACAAACAGTGCAAACGGTGCTTTGTTACTCCTGCAGGCAGGCAGAGGAAGGGATGTTTTCAAGGTAAGGAGTCAGCAACTCCTGTTACAATGTAAAATAAATGGTGTTATCAATAAGAACCTTGCTTTTCGATTGAGAGCCTTGGATAGACTGAAAACAGAAGGTTATTTGATTGAGCTGCAAGCAGTTGCAACACTGTTCAAATGCCGAAGTGAAGGCAATGCCATGCCTAAAAGTGCAGAGCAGGCCACAGCTGATTCAGCCAGTAATGAGGGCAAGGTGCTGGGTGCAGGAGTGACAGAAGGTGCCGAAGACTTCGGGGTAAAACGTGGTGGTGTGCATGGGAGAAAATAGAAGCCCGGGGCCCCAGTTCTTTCTGGATGCTGTAGGGGCTCACCACTGCCACAGGAGAGGTAGTTGTCAGTGTTCGGGCACTGATCCTGAAACAAGAGGCTAAAGGAGAAAAAAGGCTGAAAATTAAGTTTGTTCCCCACAGACAGCCTCTTTTGCAACCCTCCTGGTTAGGGGTAATGTGACCGGGCACTCATTTGCCGCGTGTAGCCCCTGACTTGCACACATTTTCAACTCGTTGGTCTGTGGTCTGTGTTCCTGTGGTGTAAAAGGCTTTTTAACATGTTCTGTGGTGAGGAAGGGAAGCTAATAGGGCCTTGTGGGCGGGGCCTTTTTGGTGATTCAATGTAAAGTGGCTTCTAAATCTAAATGTACAATGGAATTGATGTGTTGTATGCCCACACTTACCTGTCTGATGATTGTCAGTGGGATTCTCCCTTTCAAGGGCTCCCACATGTACAGAGGTAATAATGGACTGTGTAAATTGCTCCCCAACGTGTCTCTGACCCCTCCTGGTGGTCCTCCAGACACAATACAAAATCCCAGGAGGAGAAAGGGAAATTGCTGACTGACTTAATTGCACTCAGAGCACTCAAGCCTTTTCCAACCCAGTGTGGCCACCTACCTGACGCAACCACCAAACAGCATCCACTTTGAAAAACAGGCAGCTATTAATGTGCATCTCTCGAAACTGAATACCTAACCCATGGAAACCTTGGGACTTCCTGGTCTGACATCTTGACTTTAGGGTGGGTCAACTCTTAATTGGAGAATTAACCAGATGGAAAGTCTCCAGCAGGCCTTGCTAGTCACATAGAAATGATAGATTTGAGAGGGCAGTAGCCTGGCCCTAGCAGTATCTCAATTTTACTTGAAAAATTATAGCTGTGCCTTTGGGGGAAATTTTGTGCCCAACTTAACTGCCCATAGCACAGCCACAAGCTGATATCAGAATGGCTGGACTTAGTTCAATTGCTGGGCAACAATTTGTGCCAAATCTCAGTGATATGTTTTGTAGCTATGGATAATTCTAAAATGTATATGGAAAGGCAAAAGAGCTAGAGTAGCTAAAACAATTTTGAAAAAGAAAACTAAAATAGAGGAACCATGCTACCCTTTTTCAAGACAGTGCAATACTGGTGAATGGATAAACACGTAGATCAATAGAATAGGACAGAGAACCAGAAATAGCCTCACACTAATATTGTCAACTGGTTTTAACAAAGGCGCAAAAGGAGAAAGGATAGCATTTTCAACAAATGGCACCAGAACAATTGGTATGATATAAGGCAGGCAAAACTTAAGAACCTCTACTTAAAACTCACACTTTATATATAAAACTTAAAGTTGATCATAGATTTCAATGTAAAATGTGAAACTTTTAGAAAAGAACATAAAGTCTTCTAAGATCTAGGCTAAGCAAAGAATTTTTAGACTTGCCACCAAAAGCATGATTCATAAAAGAAAAAAATGATAAACTGGACTTCATCAAAATGTAAAACTTTTGCTCTACAAAAGATCTGATAAAGAAGATGAAAAGACAAACCTGGGAGAAAATATTTGCAAACCACATATCTGACAACTCATAGAATGTATAAGGAAGTCTCAAAACTAAACAGCAAAAAGACAATCCAATATAAAATGGACAAAAGAGATGAAAAATTTCACCAAAGAAGATAAATAACTAACACATGGAATTTGTTCAACATCACTGTCCATCTGGGAAATGCAAATTAAGATCACAGTAAGACACTACACACCTATCAGAATGGCTAACATAAATATTAGTGTCAACACCAAATGCTGGTAAGGATGTGGAGAAATGAATATTCATACATTGCTGATGGGAATATAAAATGGTACAACCATCCTGGAAAATAATTTGGTAGTTTCTTTAAAAACTTAAGCATATACTTATCATATGACCCAACACTTGCACTTCTGGGCATTTGTCACAGAGAAATGAAAACTTATCTCCACACAAAAACCTGTACACATTTGTTCATAGCAACTATCTGTAATAGCCAAACCTGAAATCCACCAAAATGTCCTCTCGTAGATGGTTAACAGTAGTACATCTATGCAGTGGAATCCTACTCAGCAATAAAAAGGAACAAACTATTGATTCAACCACTTGGATGAATCTCAAGGGCCTTATGCTGAGTAAAAAGAAAGGCAGTCTGAAAAAATCACATGCTATATTATTCCACTTATATAACATTATTGAAATGACAAAATAATAAGAGTTGGAAGCAAATTAGTGTTGGCCAGCGGTTAGGGATGGTGGGGGGCAGGTAGGTGTGTGTGTGACTATGAAGGAGTGACACAAGGGACATCTTTGTGATGATGGCATAGTCTGTATCGGTGGTGGCCACGTGAATCTACATGTGATAAAATCATATAGAAATATACATAGACATTTACCAGTGTCAGTTTCCTGGTTTTGATATTGCACATTATGTGAAAGGTACTCATTGGAGGAAACTGGGTAAAGCATACACAGGGCCTCTCTATAATAGCAACTTCCTATGAACCTGTTTGAATTATTGAATTATTTCTATTAAATTACTGAATTATTTTAAAATTTAAAAAAAACAGATGGCAAGCTGAAGTTGGCAAATAGGTTATGGTTTGCTGACCCCTGCTTTAGAGCAACAATTCAATAAATCAAATGTTATCTTAATGCATTATGAGCTGTCAATATTACTACAACTTGGGAGCCATTGAAGATATCTTGAACAACTAATTCATTTGTTTCAGAAACTTGGATTAAGCAAATATACTTAATCCAAGTATCTTTGGATTAAGGTACTACCAATGTTGGTAAGAAACTACTAACATTCATTCTTGACAGTAATGTCTAATATATTCCACAACATTTTAGCCACTGACGTTATTTGAGCCTATGAGTGCCAAGTGGCATACTGATTTTTAAAAGAACATGGCTAACTGCACTAGTCTTTAACATGAGTAGTTTCACCAAGGTCCAGTTGTGTACACATAGATGTGCTCATCCAACTATGCCTAGAGCTAGATAAGGGAATACTCATTTGGAATAATATAAAAAATAACAATTAAAAGTAAATTCTAGGTAGTCCCTACATTTGTGTGCATTATAGAAAGTGTAGCCGGAAGCCAGAAGAATGGATTCCCCTCTCTCTTTTCATGGCCAGTAATCTGTCATTACCCTTTTATGTTCATCTTGGGTTGACTTATAAATGTGCTACCCATTGTTGGATTTTGGGCCACTCCTGACAGATTTTCAAATTATTGGCTCTCTTTTCAAACAAAACTTAAAATATTGAGAACAAATCAATCTACTCATTGGATAGACTGACCCTAAGAGGTGTATTTTGCTCAGAGCCTTTACTAAATGCAGAAATCAAAATATTGTCATAGAAGTGTAAGGACTTTTAATCAAGTCATAACCACTACGTAATGGCATGTACAATAAGCTCACACAATAGGCTGCATGTGGTTAGGAACATTGCTGAGACAACAAAAATGCCTAATGCCGTACTGGGAAAGGGAAAACTTCAGAAAGCAAGGGGGCTGTCACGTGTCCCTATTACTATGTGCATGGAGGTTTTGATGCCAAGGAGAATATGAAAAACCTTAAGCTTCCCAGCTGAATTTACTTTTTTGTATGGAATTAATTCACTGTGTCTTCACTTTGGTAGGTGTATACACAGTAATGTTTGTTAAAATATCCAGACCCAGGAGCTTTAGGGGGCCCTCCTGGAGTTTCTGCTGAGTGAGTTTAAAGACCCTTTTTCTTCTGCATGCTCACATTGCAGAGGTTAAGCCCATCTTCCAGGACTTTGTTAGTAGTAGTAAGAGATTATAAACACAATATGAAACTCTGCTGAAATAAAGTCCCCTTCTGAGAGCTACCATAACCAGAAAGTAATGGAGATAGAGCAAATTCGTAACAATAGGCAATCAAAAAGTCAGATGTCTGGGACTGCGTATAGTGTCTGTACTTACATTCAAATGTCTTCCTTGAGATTTGTAAATTCCACTAAATTGCCATGTCCAATACTTTTGATAACAGAAGAAGGAGTTATCAGTCTTCTCTGGCTGACTCCCTCATGCACAGCCCGGGGCAGCTCAATTAAACCTCCTCCAGTGTTCTCTAAGCCCTAATCCCCCCAGCACGGGCTCTGCAGAACCCTTTTCCCTGCTTCCTCTATTCAGTCTTCTTACCTCCATCTCAAAAGAGACTGCCACAGGTGATGGGCCAGTCCTGCCCTTCAGTTTTGGAAGAAAAGGGCCCTTGGCCTGACTAAGGCCATCCTCACTCCTGTCCCTACTCACTGGTTTTTATACCTTCACTTCCTTCTGCCTCCAAATATGTCCAAATTTACCCCTATCCTAGAAAGTGAAAAAACAGGAAAAGCACAACCTTTGCCAGCCCCTGCTGTTTCTCCTCTTCCTTTAGGTAAACCTGGCAGACCTCTTGCAGGGGCTGTCCTTTCCTTCCACAACAACCATTCCTGCCTCACTGAAGTGTAGATTCACTCCTCCCTGCCCCTAAGAGTCGGTGATCTGGTCCTTGTCAAATCTACTGGCCTTGTTCCTAGTTTTATTGTGCCTTGACCTTTTGGAGTAGGTTAAGTGAAACAACCTCGTGTGTTCTCAAGGACCGGGACACCATAGCCCTACATCAGTTGTAGCTGAGCTTCACTAACATAGTCCCGAAAGTCTCTGATAGCCTCCATAACATCACGCTTTCATCATTCTCATATGTTGGCGACCAATGCCCTTTTTCTTTCATCTAGTCATGGGCATTCCCAGAGTTTGACTATTGGGCTGTCCTTCCTTTTCTCTCATTTCTGGCAGTTTCATCTGTTCTCACAGCCTCAATTCTCACCAAATTGTGATGGTCCCCAATTCTTTCTAGCTCTGAGCTCCAGTGCCCAAAAAACTGCCAAATTAGCATTTGCTCTGCTTCCATATACGGAAAATATCTAAACCTACATTATCACCTTGTCTCACAGCTCCCCAAGCCATTTCCTTCTTTCTTAAGATGGCCTTTCTCTTTTTTTTTCTTTTTTTTTTTTCTTTTGAGATGGAGTTTCACTCTTGTCGCCCAGGCTGTAGTACAATGGCGCGACCTCTGCTCACTGCAACCTCTGCCTCCTGGATTCAAGCGATCCTCATGCCTCATCCTCCCAAGTAGCTGGGATTACAGATGCTCACCACCACACCCGGCTAATTTTTGTATTTTAAGTAGAGACGGGGTTTCGCCATGTTGGCCAGGCTAGTCTTGAACTCCTGACCTCAGTGGATCCGCCCGCCTCGGCCTCCCAAAGTGCTGGGATTACAGACGTGAGCCACTGCGCCCAGCCAAGATGGCCTTATTTTATAAGTGACAATTACCCACAGTAAACCCTGGGACATCCCCAACTTCCCCATGCTATACAGATCCATCCAATTAGATGTCAACTCCCACTAACCCCTTTGTCCATTATCTTGATCATATATGATTGGTTCATTCCACCCCATATATCACCCTAGTTCTGTCCTTTAGCGCCTTAAGCCTAGGTTATTGCATCACCCCTTGCATGGGCCCTTTCTCTCTCCAGTATCTCTCTTTTCCACCCTCAACCACCCACCATGACCAGACCAATTACCCTAAAGCAGTGCCTTCATCATGATACTGCAATCAAAACTTGACACCTACAAGATAAAGCTTGAAACCCTGTACCTGATATTTTAGGTCCTCCATCATCTGACACAACTATTCCTCTACATAAATCTTTCTGTCTCTCTCCCCAGACCACCTTAAGCATACCAGGAACATGCCAGCTTAGCGTCTTTGTTCATACTGCAGCCATGACATATTCTTCCTGCTAGGGCAAGCACCAAAGACTAGCTGGCCTAGGACTTGGAATTAGAAATAGGTGAGGTGGCAATGAGATACCATCTCACACCATTTGAATGGTGATCATTAAAAAGTCAGGAAACAACAGGTATTGGAGAGGATGTGGAGAAACAGGAACACTTTTACACTGTTGGTGGGAGTGTAAACTAGTTCAACCAGTGTGGAAGACAGTGTGGCAATTCCTCAAGAAATTATAATCCTTTGGGTATATACCCAGTAATGGGATCACTGGGTCAAAAGAACCTAGAACTAGAAATACCATTTGACCCAGCAATCCCATTACTGGGTATATACCCAAAGGATTATAAATCATGCTACTATAAAGACACGTGCACACGTATGTTTATTGCGGCACTATTCACAATAGCAAAGACTTGGAACCAACCCAAATGCCCATCAATGATAGACTGGATTAAGAAAATGTGGCATATATACACCATGGAATACTATGCAGCCATAAAAAAGGATGAGTCCATGTCCTTTCTAGCGACATGGATGAAGCTGGAAACCATCATTCTGAGCAAACTATCACAAGGACAGAAAACAAAACACCACATGTTCTCACTCATAGGTGGGAATTGAACAATGAGAACATTTGGACATGGGGTGGGGAATATCACACACCGGGGCCTGTCGTGCAGTGGGGGAATGGGGGAAGGATAGCATTAGGAGAAATACCTAATGTAAATGATGAGTTAATGGGTGCAGCAAACCAACACAGCACATGTATACATATGTAACAATCCTGCACATTGTGCACATGTACCCTAGAACTTAAAGTATAATAATAATAAAAAAAAGAAATAGGTGAGGGGGGAATGTAGACACAGGTTTCTTTGGATAGATTTGAAAGCGTGAGCTTTTACACATCTGAGTAAAACTTTCTCATAAAAGAACTTACACCCTCAAGGTGTGAAACTCCAGGAGGGATACAAAAATCTATTCAGCCTGTAACCTTCAGGAATATAAGTAAATATTATATAAGTAATTCAATTCAAAATGTTATGGAACTTTTTGTTGTTTAATAGATATAGAGCTTCAGTTTTGCGAGATGAAAAAAGTTCTGGGCTGGGAGTGGTGGCTCATGCCTGTAATCTCAGCACTTTGGGAGGCCGAGGCAGGAGGATTGCTTGACTTCAGGAGTTTAAGACTAGCCTGGGCAACATAGTTGTTAGCAGTGGCAAGTATTCAAGTCACAGGTCTGCAAAATATGTTACCAGCAGAACATATCAGTATCCGTACAGGTCTACAGCAACCTCAATTCTTGCCTCCTCAGAAGAAAAACTTTGACTGAGGAGCATAAGGCAGAAGGAGAGATCGAGGCAAGTTTTAGAGCATGAGTGAAAGTTTATGAAAAAGCTTTAGAGCAGGAAGGAAAGAAAGTATACTTGAAAGAGGGCCAAGCAGACGGCTTGAAAGTCAAGTGTACAATTTGACCTTTTAACTTGGGATTTTATGCATTGGCATACTTGCAGGCTCTTGCATCCCTTCTCCCAACTCCTAAGATCTTATTGGGAAGCAGCTGATCACCAGTTTCAGGTGTTTTCTATCTATTAGAAGACAGCCTTTCCCTGGTGCCAGCTGTGACCAATTATTACTTTAGCGAGACAGTTAACAACCGCCTGACCATCATCTGATGGTCACCCAATGCTCCTGGTGTGTGTGAGGTGGGGGGGCCCTCTCCCACCCTGCTCATACCACACTAGCTACCCACTGTAACACAGTGAGACCCTGTCTCTAACACACACACATACACACATATGTGCGCGCACATGCGCGCACACACACACACACACACAAAGCCTGGCACGGTGGTGTGTGCCTATAGTCCCAGCTACTTGGGAGGCTGAAGCAGGAGGATCACTTGAGCCCAGGAGATTGAGGCAGTGAGCTATGATTGTGCCACTGCACTCCAGCCTAGATGACAGAGTGAGAACCTGTCTCAAAAAAAAAAAAGTTCTGGATATTGGTTGCGCTTAACACTACTTGAACAGTACACTTAAAAATGGTTAAGATGGGCCAGGCACGGTGGCTCACGCCTGTAATCCCAGCACTTTGGGAGGCCAAGGTGGGTGATCACTTGAGGTCAGGAGTTCGAGATCAGCCTGGCCAACATGGTGAAATCCCGTCTCTACTAAAAATACAAAAATTAGCCAGGTGTGGTGGCACCCACCTGTAATCCCAGCTACTCAGGAGGCTGAGGCAAGAGAATTGCTTAAACCTGAGAGGCAGAGGCTGCAGTGAACCAAGATCGTGCCATTGCACTCCAGTCTGGGCGACAGAGTGAGACTCCATCTCAAAAAAAAAAAAAAAAAAAAAAAAAAAAGGCTAAGATGGTAATTTTGTGCTATGTGTACTTTATCATAATGAAAAATAAAAATTAAATTAAAAATATCTTGGGACTCCAAAGGAGGCTAATTTATCCAACAGTCAGAGGAAGTGGTCTCTGAGTTAAGGTTAAGCCCAGAAGCATGGGTGGGATGGTGACAATAGCAGCTAACGCTCTGTCCTGAGCTTTTCATGTACGTGAACTTGATTAAACCTCTCTATACCCCACCAGATGGATGCTATAATTCTCTCCAGTCTGACTCTGGAATCCAAGAGAAAGGCAGAATTATTTGATTTATCTTCTGGTTTATCTCTTTAAAAATATCAGATGCCAGAATATTCCCACAGAATGTCCAAATCAAGAGAAGAGAAAGAAGTAAATGTAGGTTTCTGTAGTCAATTGTATTCACGTGGAGATATGTTGTTTACAGCTTTAAATAGTGTTCAGAAAACTCCAACAAAGGAATGGGCATTATACAAATGTTTGTAAGTATGTAATTATGATACTCATCTTTTGAATCTATAAAAATTAGAAATGTCCCCAGAAAGTTTTGCTACGTGACAATGGAACTAAAAATATAACAGCTACAGCTATCATCTACTCAATTCTTGGTTTCATTTGACAAAAAAAAAGTATTCTTAAAATTTTTTTTTAAATAAAAGAGCTTCTGAAGTGGTGACTTCTGCATGCCTGAGCCCGGCAACACTCCACAGCACCCCTCCTTCCTCTTCTCCGCACGAGCCAGCCTTGGTTGCGTGACTACCGTCCCCGTCCAATCAGACGCAGAATAAAAATGAAAAGGTCGATGATGTCCAAGTAGATGTTCAGGATAGCAAAAACATACCCTTCAGGGTCCAGGGAATAATGGCGGTGCCCTCCCAGCATGAGCTGCACATCGATCACCAAGTACTTGAAGAAAAGGAAGAATTAGCTACTTAAATTGTACATTTCTATGAAATAAGTGTCCCAAATGATCTGGAAAAAAAATACTTTAGCATCAGGAGAAACATAGTCGAAAGTCTGTTTTGGGCTGAATATGTTATTCTTACAGCCCCAGTCGGTCACTGGGTTCCCAAGTTTGTAGTCTATAAAAGCAGGTGCCTCACCTGAGCTGCAAATCCCTTCTCCCCCCTTTCTCCCTGTGTCTCATTTCAGCACCCTTGGAAGGAAAGAAAGCTAAGGTGGCAAATTATTCCAATTTGCCCAAGACTCTGATATTCTGGGGAAGTCCTCAGTCCCAGACAAACTGGGATAAATTCATCATCTTTATAAAAAAGGGGGAAAAAAAGCCCCAATGGCAGAGCATGCAGCTTTGCTCTCAGCCTTCATCTATCACCCTGGAGTCCCAGCTCCTATGCAGAAGTGGTTTTCTTTCCCTTCCCTTCCCAAATCTCTGGCTTTAATTTATTGCTTCTTGTAAGAGGGGGTATAATGACTCTCAATCATTTCACAGACATGCACGGGATGGTTAGGACTGTAGCTTCTCGGGAGAGTTTATGTGCTTGAGGGCAGACAGGAACATGGGAGAGTGAGATGAGCTCAATCCAGCGGTGCCCCGCCCATCCAGGAGGAACAGGGGTCAGGATACCACCCAAGACACAACCAACCCACAGGGAAGCCCCAGCCAGGATTCAGACTCCTGTGAGCATTTGGGAGTGAGGCACCCTGCCTCACCCGCATGCCCCCCAACTCTGATAGTTAAGCTTCCCCCAAAATTCAATTTCCTTTTCCAGCAATTTGTTTGGCATTGCGTAGACCTGTTTGAGTCTACAATCGTTTTTACTCTGCCTGCAAATGGGAAACAGAAACATCAACATACTTTTGCATGGAAACGTTGTTTGCAAGCATCAGTACAGCAAGCATCAACACAAAAGGTCTGAGAGTGTAGGAATAAAGGAAAATGAATGCAAATAATTTCCCTTTATAATAGGAAAAGAAATGAGAAAACTGAAATGTATATGCTTAACCTTGTCTACACCCATACCACCCTAAACACACCCGATCTCGTTTGAAATGTATATGCTTAACCTTAACCTCCTGGTGTGAATTTTTCTAACATTTGAAAGATATAACACAATCCCAACAACAATAAAAAGGAAGCAAAATGTGGGTAGTTTTTATGCCTAATGATAATATATGGGGTTCATTACACCATTCTCAATACTTCTGGATATGTTTGGAAATTTTGAAAATAAATAATATTAAAAAATAAAATCTTGGCTGGGCACAGTGGCTCATGCCTATAATTTGGGCACTTTTGGAGGTGCCAAGGCAGATAGGATTGCTTGAGCTCAGGAGTTTGAAATTAGCCTGGGCAACAAAGCAGGACCTTGTCTTTACTAAAAATAAAAATGAAGTCAGCCAGATGTGGTGGCATGTGCCTATAGTCCCAGCTACTGGGGAGGCTGAGCTAGGAGGATCGCTTGAGCCCAGGAGATAGGGCTGCAGTGAGCCATGATCATGCCACAGCACACCAGCCTGGGTGACAGAGCAAGACCCTGTCTCAAACAAACAACAAAACCCTGAAAGATGTGATATGATAAAAGCATGAAATGGAATTCCATGCAGCCCTTGAAAAAGATTAGTTGGACCCAGGTCTGCTAATATGCAGAAGCCATTATTTTTAAGTGAAAAAGCAAAGGCAGGATGTTATACATAGTATAGCTACGTTTGTGTAAGAAGAAATGGTGCCTATGTGTAAAGAAGTTCTAAAAGGACTCCAAGAAACTGTTAACAGTTCCTTCTAGGGACAGGGGATAAGAGAGAGATTTTAATTTTCATTTTATACTCTTCTATGTTGTTTGAATTTTAAAATGTGTGCATGTATTACTTTTTAAATAAAACATTCCTTAAAATAGTTTTAAAGATACAACAGCAAGAGATGGGACTAAATGGAAGGAAAGACGTTCCCAGATACATTAGCAGTGACCTCCACCGGTTCTCTAGGAGAAGTTTCTATTGTGAAAGAATAGAAACTGGTCTGGAGGGAGAAACAAAAAAGAAACCACACCCCTGCTACAGTAAGTTTCAAAGTTTATAAATAATTCTTCATTCTTTTCTGAAATATTCACTCTTTCAACAAAAGTGATGTTTTCGTGGATCCGGAAGACCATCTGGCTCTCCTAAGGGTAATGGTTTTAAATATGATCCTTTAAAAGGGAGCTGAAGAGTTTCCAGTGAATTCCTAACCCCATGTGACTCCAGGCCTAGCACAAGGGCTTGTCAATGCACATACCACACTCTTACCAAAGAGATGGAGCAATGGACTTACGAGTGAGAAGAGCACAGTTCCGAGTCCAGCATATAATAGATGCAGCCACTGCAAAGAGAAAAGATACGGCTGCATATGAAGAAAAATATTTGGAATAATGAAAGGGGCCACTTAGATCACTGCTGCCAGATAAGGAACCAATATTAAGAAAGCTGAATCTATGGGGGAATTCATCTTTTCTTTTTTTTTAAATTAAATTTTATTTTCTTTCAATAGCTTTTGGGTAACAGGTGCTTTTTGGTTACATGGATAAGTTCCTCAGTGGTGATTACTGAGATTTTGGTGCATTTGTCACCTTAGCAGTATATACTATATCCAATATGTAGCCTTTTTACCCTCACGCCCCTCCTACCCTTCCCTGCTAAGTCCCCAAAGTCCATGATAGCATTCTTAGTCAACAGCACCCACTCAATTCCAATAAGCAAGCAAATAAAAACTAAGCTTGCACATGCTAAATAATATTCACCAAGTAAATGCTAAACGTCTCATGCATGGTAGGGCAAGTAGAATGTATTAGATGTATTTCACTTCGTGCCCCATCCACATAGCCCTTCTAGAGAATCTTCCCTCTCCTCTCAGTTCATGGAACAGGAAGCCTTGGGGTCATAGTGACCTTTACACATCCTAGCTAGAGCTGATTGACAAGCAGTGGAAGACCCCAGCTCCAAAAACAGTGAGTCTGATGATTGATCAGGGACTTCTGATATGTGAGTGGGCTTAGACAGATGCACCAGGCCAGCTGGAAATCAATTCTCAGGATAGAGGGAACCAAGTAGCAGAGGCTGTTGTACCTTTAGCACGTGCTGGCACTATTACTGCTATAAGCAGAGGTGGCTAGTCAACTCAGCCACAGAGAGGAAGGCAGGGTTTTTGTTCCTGGGAAACCCAGTTCTTCTTCCCACCTAGGAGGTCTATGAGTTTCTCTGGCTCTTTGCCTCAAGCTAGTCTGAGTGGTATCTGTTCCTTGCAACATAAACAGCCCTGGTCAGAATATGGAACTAGTCTAAATGCCAAATGGCTTAGTTCTACTGGGGAAGAGGATTAAAAAATGGAGTACAACATCTGAAAAAAATATGGCATTAACTCTTCAGGATGAGCAAGCTGGTTCTGAAAGGGGTGGGCAAAGCACTGCCAGCTTTCAACAAGGATAGGTTCTTGGTGAAGATGATCAGAAGCCAGTGACACAGTCTGGGAGACACAGTATTTCCAGACTGAGCTAATAGTAAGAAAACACCTGATCATAGGAGTCCAAAGGTTTCAAAATTGCCAACGTCCAACAAGCATGTAGACTTAGGGAATGGCTTCAACAAAGTCTTCCATTTGAACACATGTGCAAGATTGTAGATATTTGTGAAAGAAAATTTAGAATGGGAATTAAGATCTATCTGTCTACTAGGAAACAGTTTTTTAACTTAAGTTATACTGTAAAGACCTATGGAACCCACCTAATATCTGCATTATTACTACCAATATCTCTGCTGCCATTAATTAGTGGAGAGCTGGGGCCTTTTAAGGCCCATCTTTGTGAGGCCTTTGAGTTTATCTCTAAAGTGCAGGTGCCACCTTCCTAGCTCTAAGCCTATGGGGTCATTCATAACACTAAACCAATCCAGGAAGAACTGTTGATTCTGTGTATGTCTGAAGACCGTGTAAATAGTCCACTTGTTGCCAAAGAAACTCCTTGGTTCAGCATTGGGACCAAGTTGGCCTTAAGGTTTTAGCCAAAATGGTCCCAGGCCCCAGACCAGCTCTCAGTGGATCTGGCCTCCAACAGGGCCTCCACATAGGGGCCACTCACAGATTGCCAACACCAATCACACCTCTCGGTCTCTACAGCCTTTCAGAGTCAGTCCATGGACCGTGCAATGATGTGGGAAAAGCATTGGTCACTCGAGTCACCCTGACCTGGCCTCAGTGCCACCCCAGCCACTCACTCCCTGTGGGACATAGATGAATTATTTAATTTCTCTGAGTCTCTTTTCTTATCTATAAAATAGATGAGCTATGTACTTTTCAGGAATGTTGTCAGAATTGAATGTGATGTTTTGTGAAAAACACATAGGCCTATGTCCAATATCTAGTAAGAATTCAATGAATATATTAAAGCAAAAAAAAAAAAAAAAAAAAACTAGAATTGGAAAATAAGGAGCCTCCTCTAGGCTGCTATCAGAAAGGCCCAAACAAGCCTTTCTGTACCACTCCTGGTACTTCAAACAAGCAGCACCCAAATATAGGAGAAGGAATCTGGCCTGCCCTCATGGGTAGGCTCACCTCGAGACCCTCTTAGAGAAGGACAACTGTCTAGGGTTGTAGCTCAATATTCATGCACCACAGCTTCTGTCCATGGTGCCTCCTAACGACCACTGTGGGGGCCACTAGGATTCGTCTCACAGACCTTCATTTACCGGGAGGGGAATGGAACTGACCACAGGCACAGATGCTGTGCTGTGCAACCCATTGCAGTTTGCACTTAGGCCATGCTTCCCACTTCTCAGTCCTTGCTGGGAGCAACAGAGCCCTTCCTGGAAGACACGGGACCACCCTGATGATTGACTTTAGCTCTAGGACTTCCTGATGGCCTTGCTGAGCCGCCCTCAGACCACGCCATATTTAGAATGCTCCCACCCAGCCTCCCCTCCCTCTCCTTCACTTGAGGCCTGATATGCCGTCATGGTCTGACAGCTCCCCCAGCTGTTGGCTCCCTGCCTCTTTTCTCTCATAGGCATTTCTCCTATTAAAATCCTTGCACGCTTATCCCCAACTCCATGTCTGCTTCTCAGAGGACCCAGACTAACATAACCAGCACTTCATCTATATGTTTAACAATTCTCTGAGGTTTCCCAGTAAGATCTGACTTACCTATAATCGCACGAAGATTAAGGTAATTCCATAGATTAAAAGCACGAAGCAGAAAACGAATAGTGCTCCATTTAGCCAGGTAAAATCCCACTGAGGAAACATAAGCAGCATAAACAACTCAGTTATTATCTATAAGAAATTTTAGGATGTTTAAAGATGCATTTTATACCCCATAGAAACTGGCCCATTGCTAATAATTTACCCTGATCAATTCCAAGAACCATGGAAATTCATTAGCTCCAACCACTAAAAAATACTACATAAAAAGTGTTATATTGACTGGGAGGAAAAGGTAGAAGTATGGGTGAAATGCCAGTAGCCATGAGTTGATAATTTTGGAAACTGGGTAATGGGTACTTGGGGTTTCATTACATTATTCTATTTTTGTACTTATATGAAATTTCCCATAATAAAAAAATACATTGAATAAGTAGGATGTATATTTGAAGATACAGGATGATCATAATCATTCATATGTTCAAAAGCATGTATATAGAAAACATTAACGGAGTGAAATATACCAAGATGTTAACTGGCTATCTTTTTCACATTTATATGCATACGTTCTAACAAAAGTATATACTAAGCTTTCAAAAGTTACTGCTAATGATTCTTTTGTAATCTGGAAATGTATAGATGTGATTTTTGTTTTTTTCTTTATAAATCAGTGACCCAAATCAGCCTGAGGAGATTAAGGTTTTCTTAAGAAAGAGGATGTTTATCTTCTGGCCTAAAAAAAAATTAGATTATGCAGACAAACAAGAGCCTTTAATTCAGTATATTTTCTTGCAGGAGTATTTTCCTAATTCTTTTGTTTCCCCCTTTTTCTCCCTACCCTTAATACACCAAGAGAATAATCCAAAACACTGGTTCTCTGAGTGCGGTTCTCAGGCCAGCAGCATCAGCACCACCTAGGAAATTCATATTATTGGGCCCCACCCCAGACCTACTGATGCAGCGACACAGATTGCAGGGCCCTGCAATCTGTGTTTCAACAAGGCCTCGGGGTAATTATGGTGCATGATAAACTTGGTCTAGGGCTGTGCTTTCACTACAGTAGCCACATATGGCTGTTGAGCGCTTGAAATGTGGCTGGTCTGAATTGAGGTGTGCTTTAAGTGTAAAATACACAACTGGATTTCGAATTTCAGCTCAAAAAAAGTAAAATATCTCATTCATATTTGGGTTATGTGGATTACGTGTCAAAATGGTAATGCTGCATATATATATATATATATATATATATATATATGGTTATGAGTTATATGGTTAAATAAAATATACTATCTAAAGAATGTCACCTGTCCCTTTTGACTTTTTACTGTAGTTACTAGAAAATTTAAGATTATACATATGACTTGCATTTGTGGCTCACATTATACTTCTCTTGGACAACCCAGGTCTGGAGAGCAGTAAATCTGGCTTAGGACAATGAAACCCTAAGGCTTGCTCCTTGTTGGCAGAAAGAAGATGTGACATCATTAAGGAAGGATAACTGGGGTGAGGTAAATTCAGGTGGGGAGCCCTGTCAGCTCTGACCAAGCCCAAGAGAGAGCAGGTTCCAAGTCACACCTGTGGTGGGTTGTCAGCTTCAGAGGCCCACAGAGCAGGCAGTCACTCTGGGGTCCAGGTGACAGTCATTCAGGAACAATGGTGGACGGTAGCATCCCCACCCCATCCTCGCCCTGTCCCCTTCTTGGCCAGTGCCAAGAGCCCACACAAACCACAGTCACATCCCATATTCCCAGACCCCACTTTAGAGAGAAAGGCAGGGAGACAGGGAGGCTGAGCAGCTGAGTGTTTTGTATCCACATGACACTATCACCCAGCCCAAAGGAACTGCTTCAACTGTGAGGTCCAATTACAGTTAAACCAAATGGACATTTAGTTAATTTTCTCCCTGCTAAGTGGACAGTTGGGGTTCATGAAAAAACTCAAGACTCATTGTGTTCCTACATTTCCTCTACACTGCTTGGGTTGTGGTTGGACTGAATTTTGCCATCTCCAATACATAATAAGGGAGAAGAATGTGGTTGACCATGGGTTCAGCTGCCTTTCAAAGTCATCAATGTGAATACCATCTTTAAAATATTTTCTGGCCGGGCATAGTGGCTCATGCCTGTAATCCTAGCAGTTTTGGAGGTGAGGAGGGAGAATCACTTGAGCCTAGGAATTCAAGACCAGCCTGGGCAACATAAGGAGAACCCTACTCTACAAAATATTTAAAAATTAGCCAGGTGTGGTGGCAAATGCTTGTAGTCCCAGCTACTTGGGAGGCTGAGATGGGAGGATCACTTGAGCCCTGGAAGCAGAGGCTGCAATGAGCCATGTCTGCACCACTGCACTCCAGCCTGGGTGACAGGGCAAGAGCCTGTCTCAAAAATAAATAAATAAACAAACAATAAAATAAAATGCTTTGCAATGCAATATTCACTCCCCTGAACCCAGGTCATAGGTTACCTGTGACTTAAAATACTAATGGGCTTTTTAAAAAGTATTCTGGCAGTTTAGAGGATTTTTTTTTTTGAGACATAGTCTCATTCTGTCACCAGGCTGGAGTGCAGTGGCACGATCTCGGTTCACTGCAACCTCCGCCTCCGGGGTTCAAGCGATTCTCCTGCCTCAGCCTCCTGAGTAGATGGGACTACAGGCGCACGCCACCACACCCAGCTGATTTTTGTATTTTTAGTAGAGACGGGGTTTTACCATGTTGGCCAGGATGGTCTCGATCTCTTGACCTTGTGATCCGCCCGCCTTGGCTTCCCGAAAGTGCTGGGATTACAGGCATGAGCCACCACACCTGGCCAGCTTAGAGGATTTTAAATGGCTTAAGGAGTCTGTGCATTCAACAGTGGTCCACCTTACTCATTGCAAGGAAGCCTATCTATTTACAAATAGGCTGGTTTCTACAAATGGCCAGCTTTAAGATGGCAAATACTGATCTCATCATGAATTAAAGTTGAATCTCTAACTTTTGATACAGTTTAACTAAATATCTAGTAGATCCTTCTGTCTCTCTGACACTTCTTTTTCCACTAGGAAAATGCTAAAATTCTGCATGTGTGTAAGATCTTCCTTATGATGTGTGCCAAACAGCTTGGGAAATGCACTCCCTTCTGTGTAAGTTATTTACCTAACTAAGGCCAGCCCATGCTTTACAAAAGGAAATTGACCAGGACTGAAAGGAGGGGCCGCAGGAAATGCTGCATCAGATCTCAAGAACACCCTATGGTTGGACAGAGGCTGAGCCATCTCACAATTCAACTGAAATAATCTCAAATTATGAGATGTTCTCTGGGACATCTTGGCATTTTGGAGCCTGGTAAACTGTACAACTTTTAAATTTTTAAATTCCCTGTATCAGTCAGGGCCCCAGCAAGGAACAGATGACACACTCAAATAGGATGATTTGAGGAGGGTTTGTTTGTAAAGGAACTCTCCACAGAAGTGTCTGCAGGCAACCAGAACGGGTAGTGAAGTAAGCTAGTCTGGCAGCCAGCCAAAGAGCTGTTACCAGCCCCAGGCCCAAAGAGGAAAGGAGAGGGGGCAGTTACAGGAGTCCAGAAGGTTGTGTTGAGTTGGCCACCTTGTGACAGGCAGTGAATCTTGCTAAGGCACACCGCTAGCCCAAGAGGAACTTGTCATTGGGAGGAAGCCATAGGAATCAGTACCTCTCTCTTCCTGCCTCCTGTCTCCAGCTGGAACTCCCCATTGGCCAAAGCCCATGGAAAGCCCTAAGGCAAGAGGGCCCTGGAGGTGAGACCTCCAGGACTGAGAGAGCAGGGGAAGGCATAGGAAAATGGGTTGGGGACAAAGGGACATACCTGGCACACTCCCTTCAATAATACCTACTTTTGTTTGTAGAGCAAACAAAGTGAGTGCTAGCATCACCAGAGTGGTTGCAGCTGTTGCCCATGACACTTCCTCGGCCTTGTAGAAACTAAAACCAGAGACTGTGATTATTGTTCACATACATTCCGAGAAAAGCACACACAAATCAAAGGAAATGTGTATCAAAGACTCACACTGATACGGCTCCTAGCTGCAGACCTTGAAGAGCTGTCTAAAAACAAAATTCACAATAAATCAGAAGCCTGCTTCCCGAGGCATGGGGGCGAGGCCCGGAATCCAGAAGAGGTGATTTGAGGGGTGTGCTTCTGAGCAGGGTCTAGGGAGCAAGGCGGAATATGCACAGCCTGGTACACACAGCCACAGGGCAACTATGGGGAATGAATAGAATTCAGTATTTCTGTAACATCCTCCCTATGATGGACAAGAGAAAATTATTTATTAGTAAACATTTCTTTGAACACAATAGTAACTTTAACATACTCAGTGAATTGAACATGTATTAATTATGAATGTAGAAACCAAGGTAAAAAGGTTCATTTGTAGACCATATTGTCATTCATCAAAGGGGGCCATCCACACTGTATCAATGTTTCATCAGGACAGGATATGCGGTATCTAAGCTTCATAACATTCTGGGTACAGATGCTTTCCAAGGCACCTGAGGGACAGCCTTCCAACCTCAGACATGGGATGAGAAACAAGGTCTTCCCAGTGCCGGAGATGGGGCTGGAGGGCAGATACTGGCAGAGCAGAGTGTGGAGCTGCGTCTGCAGGTGCAGTCCTGGGCTTAGGAGGACTGTCATCACCCAAATAGAGCCAGGGGTGCGGGGAAAGGTGGGATAGGGGCAGGGGCTGAGAGCCAGCAGGCAGTCAGGCTGGAGGATGAGACCAAGAAAGGCACTGAGGTTGTGCCCAGGCCCACAGTCAGGCCCACCAAGGCATGAGGACAACAGAGCAGTGGCCGCAGGGCTGAAGGCATGCCCAGCTCCAAGGCTGCTCTGCCAGAGGCAAATCCAGAGACTGGGCTGACCCACTGGTCCACGGGCAGAGCCAGGAAAGACTCCTCCAGTCTCCAGGGGTAAAAATGAAGGCCCATCCTAGTACGAGGCCTGCGAGAGAAGGCTTTGAACTCCCGCTGGCCAAGGATGGCCAGGAGCAGAGGCTGGGAAAGAAGTGGAGTCTCCAAAGTCCTGGGTTGCCCCTCTGGCATCTCCAAACCCAGTGGGTAATTGCCTGATTCTCTACTTTGTACAACTTAATTAAGTTGGCTTTCTCTATTTCCATTATAGGGAAAACAGTGTATCTAGTCTCCATACAAATGATATTTAATAATGTGCTTGCTTCCAGCCTTCCTCTCCAGATGACTTTCTTCCTCTTATACTGGATCGGTTGCTTCCTATTTCTCCAGCTCCAGCAGCACATGAAGGAGGTGTACATGTGTGTGGTGTGGATGGTGTATATGTGAGTTTGAGTGAGGTGTGTGTGGTGTGTGTGCCTGTGTGTCTGTGTAATATGTGTAAGTGTGTGAGTGTGCATGTGTATGTGGTGTATGTGGTATGAGTAGTGTGTGTAAATGTGTGGTGTGTGTATGACTGTGTGTGTATGTGCTATGAGTGGTGTGTGTAAATGTGTGGTGTGTGTGTGACTGTGTGTGTGTATGTGGCGTAAGGGGTGTGTGTGGTGCGAATGGCATGAGGGGGTGTGGAGTGTGTGTGACTGTGTGTTGTGTGTGTAAATGTGTGACTGTATGTGTAATTGGGAGCGACTGGGAGGAGACAGGGAGAGAGAAGAGGAAATGGTTTCAAGCTAGAAAATGGCTTTCGGTTTTTGAAAGAGTGGAAGAGAGAATAGGAAGAGGCCGTGGAAGTCACAACTGTCTGAAGACTTCAAGAGCTCAGAACATGGGCTCAAGAGGCCAAAATTCTATGGGACAAAAGCTGTTGTCAGTGAAATGTGTTTTCCTTTTTTCCCTCAACTCCTTTTCTGAAATGGGCTTTTTCCCATATATCTTTTAACCCTTGGGCATGAGGTTAAGTCTGGAAAACATAACTAATGCTTTGCCCCTGTATAATATCTCTTCTTTTAAGCCGTTACTTGCTTTGAGATAAACAGCAAAACCTCAGAGATGAGAGCTTCCTTGGAGACCAATAACTTTTATCTCTTGTAATAAACGTTAAGGCCATTTAAAATTTTTAAGTAAAAAACTCAAACATTTCTGGGAAACCAGCACGCCCTCCTGTCGCCCTTCCCCCACCGTCTCGGCTCCCAGATTCCCGCCTCTGTCTGGCTTCCAGCCCCGCCCCGTTCTGAGTGTGATCTGTGCTGTCAGTGCAGGAACTGGGACACCCCACTGCTGGCCCGGGCAGTGAACAGGGTACCCACACCAGCTAAGGAAGCCTCCTCCATGCTTTGGCAGGTGAGGCAATGTCCAAACGTGGACAGCAGGCAGCCCGTCTTCTCCAGCCTCAGGAGCTAGCTATTCCTCCCAGCATGTAAATCCCCAGGGTCGCTACACCGTACTGGTGCTGAGTCTCACCGACGGTCACGTGTTCTTGCTCACTTTGACCACCAGGGGGCGCAGAACCAAACCTAGGCTCCAGACGCGTGCATAGGACTTGATGCATTTTGTACACTAATCTAACCATTATCTTTATTTTCTAGCCCATTTTTCCTTTCATCAGATTTCTCCATTAATTGATCTTATCTTCGTATATTATGGATATTTTTATAAGCCACCTCAAGTCTTATTTGGAATCAGATGGGGAATAAATCAATTGGTAAATAAATCTTCCCGTGAAAGAATGATCAACACTGCTTGGGAAGAAATGCCAACCTTCCCCAAAAAAGAATCGTTTGCTGGCCGGGCGCGGTTGCTCACATCTGTAATCCCAGCACTTTGGGAGGCCGAGGCAGGCGGATCACCTGAGGTCAGGATTTCTTAGACCAGCCTGGCCAACATGGTGAAACCCCATCTCTACTAAAAATACAAAAATTAGCCGGGCGTGGTGGTATGCACCTATAATCCCAGGTACTCGGGAGGCTGAGGCAGGAGAATCGCTTGAACCTGGGAGGCGGAGGTTGCAGTGAGCCGAGATCGTGCCATTGCACTCCAGCCTGGGCGACAAGAGCGAGAGACTTCGTCTCCAAAAAAAAAAAGAAAGAATTGTTTGCTGACAATCTCCTGAATCATACTGAGACGGTTCTGGGTTTTCATAAGAGGACCCAAACACTCTCGGAGTTACTATCTGTGAGCTTCAGAGAGACCACACCTCCGGGAGGCAAGAGGTTTGGCTTGACCCGCCTGACTCCTGGAGGATGCCGGGTCCCTGGGGAGGAGCCCTGCGACCTTTGGGGAGCTAAGCCCTGAGTTGGAATGCAGGGAAACTGGTGGAAATTCGAGTTCTATTCAGGTTTAGAAAAATCTAGGAGCTTCAGGTACCTGCTGAGAGCTGGCACGATCCTGGGGTTTCTGTGGGCAGCACAGAAAGGAATTGGCTGCAAGAAAGGGAGCCACCCTGGGTTCTGTGGTCTAGGGTGGCACCAACGACAGAAAATGGGCAGATGTGGCGAAGCCTTGTGAGTGGAAGCCACCACAATGAGGCGCTGGGGAACCCGGAACGCGGGACCAGGAACCAAGCCGCAGTTAAATCAGGAGAGCCCTCTCAGCCCCTGACTCTGCGGTGCTGGGAAAGCCCTCATGAGCTGAGATGCATCTCAAGCTGTGGAAATGAGGGAGAACCTCGCTCAGAGATGGGTTCTGCTTCCAGTGGGACTTCAAGAAGAAATAAAATACATTTTACAAGAATAAAGAAATATAAACTTCTTGCACACGACTTTGTGAACTAGACGTGGAATCCACTCTCCATAACGAAATGTGTTTGCACCTGAGAGGGGTCCCAGCAACAGTCAGGTTAACTGTTCCTGAAGTGCAGCCCAGACTCGGGAGTGCGCTCCCCAAGGTGCCCTCATCAGAGGCAAGTGTGCCAGCAGGAAGTCGCCCAGATGCCCAGATCCCCTAATCTGCTCAAAGGGTGTGATACCATCTCATAAGTTTACTACTTCATTACAAACAAAATTCCGCCAAGAGAATGTTTCACAAGTAATTTCTATCTGTATTGTTCCACAGGAAGAGTTTCCACAATAAAATGAATGAATTTAATAACGCGACAAAAATATATTTCAGAGGTGAACTAGAACAGGTGCTGTCAAGGTTTACTTACAAAGAATCCCAGGAGAATGTAATCTGCAGGCACCTGACGGGGGAGATTCCCACAGCAATCAAGTATAATAAGTATGGCAAAAAATGCTGAGCTGGAGGATAATTTAAAACCACGTGTTATTTGCTTTCACAGACTATATCATAGCGTATATTATACAGAGATAAATAGATGTAGATATAGATCATAGTAATACTTACCATGATCTTACTTATCTCATAGTATTATAAACAAAAATGTTAATTATTATTTTTGCCTTTTCTTAGTTTTGTTTTTTTTTTTTTTTTTGAGACAAAGTCTCGCTCTTGTCGCCCAGACTGGAGTGCAATGGCGCGATCTCGTCTCACTGCAACCTCCACCTCCCGGGTTCAAGCGAGTCTCCTGCCTCAGCCTCCCGAGTAGCTGGGATTACAGGTGCCTGCCACCACGCCCGGCTAATTTTTGTATTTTTAGTAGAGATGGGGTTTCACCATGTTGGCCAGGCTGGTCTACGAACTCCAGACCTCAGGTGATCTGCCCTCCTCGGCCTCCCAAAGTGCTGGGATTACAGGCGTGAGCCACTGCGCCCGGCCTTCTTAGCTTTTAAAATTAACTTTTCTCATTTCCATCCACAGATAGCTTATGGGGCATTAAAATATTTTTATTTTAAAATAATTATAGATTCACAGGAAGTTGCAGAGAGATAAAGAGGTCCCGTGAAATCTTCACTTAGTTTCCCCCAGTGATTACATCTCATGTATTTATAGTACAGTACCAAAACCAGTAATTTGACATTGATACAGTGTATATATCATCTATGTCATCAAATTATGACACAAATCTATGTGCAGATGCCTGTAACCTCCATCACAATCAAGATTCAGAACTGTCTATCCTTCAAGAAAACATGCACAAAGACCTCTCTTATACTGCCCCAGCCCTGTATAGTGTGAAAGTCACCAGTGCCAAGATGGAGTCACTTAGGTCACACCCAGAATGGAGCCAGAGGTCATGAAGGAGGGGATCTCATATATCTGAGATAAGAACTAGCCCAAAGACCTTTTAAAAACACGCAAGAAATTTCTATATGCCCCACATGTCCCTACGTGTCCTGCCCACATGTCTATAATAGGGTATATCACAAAAAATTCCTCAAGATCGCAGCATTCCAGCCAAGCTGCTCTCACAAAAACACTTGCCTGGCAATGGCTGTCTCCACCAATGACTTAGCACCAGCTCCCGTGACAAGCCCCTTTGACCAATGATCTTTGTTTCAAAATAATTTACATAGACTTCTCTTTGCCTTTTAAAGGCTTCCTCTTATCCCAACCTCTCCATCATCCATCATGGCCCGTGTATCCCACCTGGCAATGCCCCTGCCACTTCCGAATACACTCTGCAGGAAGCCTCTCTCTCTATCGTTAATTTAGGTTGACAATAGTAACACCCACACCCACACACTCAACCCTAACTCCTGACAGCCATTGATTTGTTTATTTTTCATCCCTATAATTGTATCATTTCAAGAATGCTGTACCTTGTACCTCATTTTGAATAGTAAAAGAATCTCAGGCAATAGACAGTAGAAAAAACATAACGTATTAAGTCCAATGATACTTACAAGATTGCAGAGATGAACCAGGGATTTTTGAGCACCCAAACTTTTAAAGCCTCCCTGGTTAAAAAAAAATTTAATACAGTTTTACACAATAAATATTTCACTAACTAATATGATATTTAAGTAGAAGTAAAGCAATATCACGAGAAGAAAGGAAGAAACCCTAACTGATGAATAATGATGGATGGGGAATGAAACAGTGAAACATTCTTTTTCTTAAAATAGATATATTCATAATAAGTTATAAGTAAAATTTGGATGAATGCAAATGTCCTAATAAAGGTTTTTATTTTTAAAATGCTGAGATTGATATGTGTGCAAAGCAAAAGAACTCAACTTCTCATCTGTTTGTTTTATAAATATAGTTTTTCTTAGGATATGTTTAAGCAGTGACAGATCATAGTCCCTCAAATAAGTTCTTTTTTTTGTCTTTTAGAGACACGGTCTTGCTCTGTTGCCCAGGCTGGAGTGCAGTGGCATGATCGTGGCTCACTGCAGCCTTGAACTCATGGTCAAGCGTTCCTCTTGTCTCAACCTCCTGAATAGCTGGGACTACAGGCATGTGCCACCACATCTGGCTAATTTTTATTTTTATTTTTGTAGAGATGGGGTTCTCACTATGTGGCCCAGGTTGGTCTCAAACTCCTGGCCTCAAGCAATCCTCCCACCTAGGCCTCCCAAAGCACTGGGATTGCAGGTGTGAATCACTGCACCCAGCCCCCTCAAATAATTTCTGAATTTAACACTGTTCCAGCCTCCAAGGTCTCCATAATCTCACCTTTTTTTTTTTTTTCCTTGAGAGAGCATCTCGCTCTGTTGCCCAGGCTGGAGTGCAGTGGCTCAATCTTAGCTCATTACAACCTCCAACTCCCAAGTTCAAGCTATTCTCCTGACTCAGCCTCCTGAGTAGCTGGGGTTACAGACATCCACCACCACACCTGGCTAATTTTTGTATTTTTAGTAAAGACGGGGTTTTGCCATTTTGGCCAGGCTGGTCTTGAACTTCTGATCTCAAGTGATCCGCCTGCCTCAGACTCCCAAAGTGCTCAGATTACAGATGTGAACCACCACGCCCAGCTCACCTTTTCTTCTCTATCCAGTTTTAACTGTTGAAACAGCTCAGGAGAAAATAAAAAAGAAAGCAGTGTCCAAAATAAGAGTTTTAAAAAAGTTTTTTTGCTTCGGTTAGGAAATGAAAGTAAAATTCTAGAAATCTGCCACCACCTTGGTCTAGGAGTTGCCTCAGGAAAACAAAAACAGACAAACTATTCTTAAATGATCAAAATTAAATTAAGCTGATTCAATAAAAATTAATGTGAACAACCTAACACTTAATTCTACATCAGTCATAAAGACTTACCAGAAAATAAACACACTGGTAATTACCACAGTGAGCAACAACTGAACTGACAGGAGGAAGAACACTTTGATAATGAAAGCTGAGGAGACAGAAACACTATTTTTATGACACAATAGTCAAAAGTAACAACATAAATGTAATGACGTATTTTTGATATTTAATGAAAGGAATTTTTTTTTTTTTGCTCTTTTTTCAGGATGGGAAAGGCAGTGCTAGTTTACAGTCAGCAAATAGAATAACAACAAAAATGCAGCTCTATAGAACTTTTAGAGCACACTCAATCCAGATGGTTGGATAGAGGTGTTTTATTGGGGATCTGATGGTTTATTCATGGGAGCTCCAGAATTTTCTCTTTTTTCTTTTTTTTCTTTCTTTCTTTTTTTTTTTTTTTTTTTTGGAACAGAGTCTCACCGTGTTGCCCAGACTGAGTGGAGTGACGACACAATTTCAGCTCACTGCAACCTCTACCTCCTGGGTTCAAGCGATTCTCATGCCTCAGCCTCCTGAATAGCTAAGATTACCACCACTCCTAGCTAATTTTTTTTTTTTTTAAGTAAAGATGGGGTTTCACCATGTTGCCCAGGCTGGTCTCAAACTCCTGATCTCAGGTGATCCACCTGCCTCAGCCTCCCAAAATGCTGGGATTGTAGGCATGAGCCACCATGCCTGGCCAAAGCCCAGAATTTTCAAGACAAACTCAGGAATTTAATTCCTTGTCATGCACATCCCATCCTCCTTAGGATCAAACATGATTTGAAATCCTCACCATGTCACAGGCCCATCATTAGGGATCCAGCGACACTACCTCCCTGCATCGGAGAGCAGCAGCACCTCAGGACTGTGGGAGACGGGGGGGCGTCTCCCTGGAGATGGACTTGGGCTGCAGAGGGTTTGTAGAGCTTTTCTGCCACTTTTCTCTCCAGCCTACCCGCCTGTAGAAACTCTCTTCTCTTCTGCATTCTGATGCAGAAATAGATAACTTGGCGAACTGTACATGAGACCAAAGAGTTCCAAGAGAATGACAGGCCAACATACAAGGCACAGCACGTGGGCACCTCTTTCTGCTTATGTCCTGGGCCCTCTGAATATGGCACTGGCAATGGCAATTTGCCTTTTGTGTGGCTTTATCCCAATTTCAAAGAAAAAAAAGAAGTAATGCTGCTTAAAATTAACTTACAGGATCGTCGACTGTCCTTTTGCTGGGAAGTTTCTATGCATAGGGAAGTATGACTACAAAGCAGTGGGTCTAAACTGTCTTAATAAAAATACCAGAACATATATTACCAAGTGTATGCTGCCTACATTAAAATATTCATTTAGCTCACATTAATTTGGCATCTGCTATGTAGCAGGGACTGTGGGGGAACAAATATTAAATGTGGCCCAGGCTCACAAGAACAGACACAGAGATCAATGGAATCAAAGTGACAGTCCAGAAACAAACCTTTATATTTACGGTCAATTGATTTTTAACAAATGTGCCAGGAAAATTCAATGAAGAAAGAATAATCGTTTTGACAAATGGTGCTGGGAAGACTGGATATACACCTACAAAAGGATGAATTTGGATCCCCAACTAACACCAACTGCAAGCCATAACATGCAGTCATAATGGCCATAGCAGCCTCAGCTACCATCTCATTGTAAGTGAATGAGAGCTCCCAATTCAAGAGCAGCACAAGAGTTGACCAACTGAGTCAACCCACAGAATTATGAGAGATAATAAAATGGTTGCTGCTTTCTTTAAGTGGGCAAAGGATTTGAATAGACATTCCTCCAAAGAAGACATATGAATGACCAATAAGTATAAGAGAAAATTCGCTAATGAAATGCAAGTCAAAAGTACAATGAGATAACACTTCACGAACACTAGAATGGCTATAACCAAAAAGACAGACAATAACAAGTGTTGACAAGGATGCAGAGAAACAGGAGCCCTCATACATTGCTGCTTGGAATGTAAAATGGTGCAGCCACTTTGGAAAAGTTTGGCAGTTCATCAAAATGTGAAACACAGAGTTACCCTATGGTTCAGCAATTCCTGGGTATCTACCCAAGAGAAATGAAAACATATGTCTACACAAAAACTTCAATATGAATGTTGATTGCAGCATTATTCAAAATAACCTAAAGGTAGAAACAATCTAATTGTCTGTCAACTGATAAATGTATAAACAAATGTTTTCTATTCAGGCAATGGAATTGTATACGGCTCATTCATAAAAGGAATGAAATACTGACACGTGCTACAACATGGGAGAACCTCAAAAACATTAAGTGAAAGAAGGAAATCACAAAAGACCACATGTTGTATGATTCCATTTACATGAAATGTTCAAAATAGATTCATAGAGAGGTCTGAAAGTAGATTAGTAGTTGGCAGGGGTTTGGGGGAGGGATGATGGGAGTAACTGCCAATGGGTATGGGTTTCTTTTCTTTTTTTTTTTTTCCTTTAGTAAAGATGGTGTTTCACCATGCTGCCCAGGTTGGTTTTGAACTCCTGACCTCAAGTGATCTGCCTGCCTCGAACTCCCAAAGTTCTGGGATTACAGGCATGAGCCACTGCGCCTAGTCTGGGTATGGGTTTCTGTTTGAGGTGACGAAAATGTTCGAAAATTGATCATGTTGATGGTTATCAACTCTAAATACACAAAATACCAGTGAATTGTACACTGAAAAGGGATTTTTATGATTTGCAAATTATATCTCCATAATACTGCTTTAAAAAATTACAGCCCCCATAACTCAATCCATTACCCTGCTATACTTTTCCTTTTCTCCACAACACTTTCATATTTTCATATACTATATTTTTTTTAATTGGACAAAGGCCAGCCTCTGCCCTCCAGGAGAGGCAGATATAAACAACTGACTCTTACACTGGCAAGGAGGCTCTACATATTTTTCAATTAGACCTGAAAGACTAATTCGATTAGACTCCTTAAGCCTCATTTTCTCACCTGTAAAATGGCAATACAACTTCTGTATTTGTAGGGTTGTTGTAAGGACGAAACGCAATAGCATTGCCCTTGCACAACACCCTGTGTAGGCCTGATATTGATCTCAGAGACAGCCAGGTGCTTAGTGATATCCAATATCCCTGGCTTCCTCACTATTTGACCCAGATCTTGTTAAGGGTGGCAATGGGCTCAGCTGAACAACTCCAAATAGAGGTGGCCATGTGATACAGGTGGGTCAATGACATGGCATTCAAAACTCTGGGTGTGGTTTCTAGAAATGCCTCTGAAAAGAAGACTGGTTTGGTCAACTCTCAGGATACCTGCAGCCCTCTCTTGGCTCTACTTTGCCTTTGGCTGTTTGCCTTTTCCTTCTCCTACCTCAAAGGCTAGAGCTTCAAAAGGCAGCTTTCCAGCCACAGGAAAGGAGTGGTGAGGGCCACAGGGAGACCAATAGGATTCAAAGCTCACAGTCCACCTGCAAGTTGTTCAGGCCCTCAGAAGGCCTCAGGGTGGCAGAGTGGACACTTTAAAACTTAAGCCAATATTGTGGTATCACCTTGTATACAAGTAAAAACATTTTATGATCCATGATTAATTCATATTTCCTTAAAAAAAAAAGTTATTCACCATACGTTTCTTATGAGTTTCTGAATGCCCTGGACAACTTGGAAGCAGTCAGTTATAGCAGTCCTACATCATATTTTATGAGAAAGCATGACTCAGAAAAACTAAAAAAAAAATTATATCTGACAATCTTCTCTGTGGAAACATTTTAAGAGAACATATGCTCTTCTCTTCTAAAAAGGTAATTTCTTTATTCTCACCTCTGCGGACAGATGCGTCTGAGAAAGGATTGCCTAAAGTTGCATTGTTATCACCTGGGGTGACGTCATCTGAAATTTCTATCACACAGGTATTCAACTGCTCGGTGTCCTTTGGCCGTGGCTTCTTCCGAGTTTCTTGTGGCCCAGCTGAAGATGAAGGTGTGTAGCGCTCACCAGATTGGGACTGGATGCTTTTATCTGCTGCTTCCTGAATCAGATGTTGATGACCTCCAGAACCAAAGTCTATTGGTTCGCTGACCTCCAAGTCCAATTTCCTAGAGGGGAAGAATTGTTTTTCATGTCCTTATGATTACACCTCTACAACCTTAGCATCCTCAGAATCATCAGGCGATTTCTTCTTAATTGTAACTGGCTTGGCTCAGTACTTACCAAGTTGGTGCTTAGTAAATATTTGTTAAATGAATGATAACATTTAAGATGAAACCCATAGAGTAAAATAATTTGATTGTATTATGAAATTAATTTTTTAATAGAATTTATTCAGCAAAAACTTAATGAGTGCCAAGCATGAAGCTGCCCTTGCTGTCTCTGCCCTCAAAGAGCTTATATTTTGGAAGAGAGTATAATCAAGCAATCATATAAAAGGCAACATAGGTCGGGTGCGGTGGCTCTTGCCTGTAATCCCAACACTTTGGGAGGCCGAGGCGGGCGGATCGCCTGAGGTTGGGAATTCAAGACCAGCCGGGCCAACATGGTGAAACTCCGTCTCTACTAAAAATACAAAAATCAGCCAGGCATGGTGGCAGGCTCCTGTAATCCCAGCTACTAGGGAAGCTGAGGCAGGAGAATCACTTGAACCTTGGAGGCAGAGCTTGCAGTGAGCCAAGATCGTGCCACTGCACTCCAGCCTGGGAAACAGAGCGAGACTCCATCTCAAAAAAAAAAAAAAAAAAAAAAGGCAATATAAGCAGACCAGGAACATTGGAGGAAGTCCTGAGACCCCTGAAGGAAATCTGGAGGAACTTGCAGGGAGTAGAAGAGGTTGTCAAAAGCTTCCAGAGAAACTGAAAGTTAGGCCATGGCTGGAAGCGAGTAGGGATTAGTCAAGTGAAGAGGTGGGGAGAGGTTTTCCAGACAAGGAACCAGCCTGGACCAGGACTGGAGAAGGCAGGGAGGGCAAGTTCCAGAAACGTACCTGGAGCAGGGAGTTTGAAGGGGAGAGTGGAATGAGGTTACACAGAGAAGTAGTGGGCATGCCTCTGAGAGGCTGGCAAGCCAAGTTAAGGACTCTGGACTTCATCCTGAAGGCCATGGGTGTGATTGGCAGAATGGCAGTTCCCCAGTGATGTCCACGTCCTAGTTTTTGGAACCTGTGTCTATGTTATCTTGCATGTCAAAAGGAACATTGCAGGTGTAATTAAGTTAAGGACTTTGGGATGGGGAGATTATCCTAGATTATCTGGGTTGGCCCAATCAAATCACAAAGATTATTATGATTATAGGTATAACAAGGTGGCAGGAGGAACAGAGTCAGAGAAGGAGATGTGACAACAGAAGTAGAGGTCAGAGTGATACAATTGTTGTCTTTGAAGATGGAAGAAGGGGGCCATGAGCCAAGGAACGCAGGTGGCCTCTAGAAGTTGGAAAAGGCAAAGAAATGGCTTTTCCTCTACAGCCTCCAGGAAGGAACCAGCCCTGCCAGAACCTGGATTTTAGCCTAGTGAGATTGGTTTTAGGCTTATGACCTCCAGAACTGTAAGATAATAAATGTGTGTTGTTTTAAGTCATTCAGTTTGTGGCAATTTGCAACAGCAGCAACAGGAAACTAATACAATGGGGAATCAAGGAAGGTTTCCCAGCAGGGACCCATGGAGATCTCCTAGAAAGAAAGGTTACTCTAGGTAGTGTGGAGAATGGGCCAGACTAAGCCAAACTGAGGCAGAGACCAGAAATCCAGATATGAGATGGCAGTGGCTTTGCCACAGTGCCTTCCAGTCTGAACACAGTTCTTAAGAAACTACTACTAGGCCGGGCACGGTAGCTTATGCCTGTAATCCCCGCATGGGCAACAAGAGCAAAACTCTGTCTCAAAAAAACACAACTGCTTGGCAGATTTGGGGTACAGGAGCACTTTAGATACCATTACAAATATTAAATGCAAAAAAGATTTTTTTTTTGAGACAGTCTCCCTCTGTCGCCCAGGCTGGAGTGCAGTGGTGCAATCTCGGTTCACTGCAAGCTCCACCTCCCGGGTTCATGCCATTCTCCTGCCTCAGCCTTCCGAGTAGCTGGGACTACAGGCGCCCACCACCACGCCCAGCTAACTTTTTCTTTTGGTATTTTTAGTAGAGACAGGGTTTCACCGTGTTAGCCAAGATAGTCTCGATCTCCTGATCTCGTGATCCTCCCTCCTTGGCCTCCCAAAGTGCAGGGATTACAGATGTGAGCCACCGCACCCGGCCAAAATGCTAAATTTTAAGTGTAATATTTGTGATATTTACTATACTGTAAGAAGAACTTTAACAAAGAAAAGATGGGCAACCCAGTAAGAAGATGAGAAAAGGCAGGCACAATGACTTACAACTGTAATTTCAATGTTTTTGGAGGCCAAGGTGGGAGGATTGATTGCTTGAGTCCAGGAGTTTGAGACCAGCCTGGGCAACATAGTGAGATCCCATTTCTAAAAAAAAAAAAATTAGCCAGGCATGGTGACATGTGCCTGTAGTTCCAGCTACTCAGCTGGCTGAAATGGGAGGATTTCTTTAGCCCAAAAGTTCAAGGCTGCAGTGAGCTATGATTGTGCCACTACACTCCAGCTTGGGCAACAGAGCAAGATCTTGTCTCTAAAACAAAGAGAGAGACAGAAAAGAACATAAATAGGCAATTCATATGGTCAATAAACTTAGGAGACAATACCTCACAAATAACCAAAGAACTGCAAGTAAAAACTAAAAAGACTGGCAAAGATTAAAAAGATAAGTCTCAGAATTGCAAGGCTGTGAAGAGATAGATAATAGAGAATCCAGGGCCACAAAATGACCTCCATGGACCCTATACATGTTTTTGTTCATGGGTCCTTTCCTCCAAAAAAATACTAAAAATTATATGTTACGAGTGAATTGGTGTAAAGATGAATATAATCCTCTCTGGAGTCATTATATATTATATATTCATTATTATATTCACTTTTTTCTCCTGCTTTAAAAAATTAAAATGTGTTTATGGCCCCTAAAACTATCGTGAGTCCTAGGCACTGGTCCTACTCGCCTAGTAAGTATCAGTCCTGGGACACCTTCATGGGGGCATAAACGTTTGGGGGGTGGGTGGCAATTTAGCAGCATCTATCAGAATTCAAAATGTGTCTTACTTTAGACCCAACAGTTACATTTTTTGAAATTTATCCCATAAACCTTTCCATACAAATAGGCAAAGATACATGTATAAGGAAGTTCATTACACCATTCATTGTTTGTAACTACAAAAAATTTTTAAACAGTTTAAATATCCATCAGCAGGGGAATGGTTAAATTAATTTTGGCACAGGAAAAGGCAGATATAAATGGATTGATGTGGAGAGTTCACTGTTACACACTTTTAAATTTAAAAACTAACATTAGAAAATAACATTGAGCAAGATCACATTAATGTTGTACATACACCCACACATACACACACACTTCCCGAGACTGGAAAGTTACACTATAAACTGTTCATATGATCATCTCTAACCCAGCAGAGTTGGGAAACACACTCTGAATAGTATGAATTTTTACAATGAGCATCTATTACTTATATAATAACGGAAAAAGATATTTACATTGTGAAGAGAAAAGGAAATATTTCTCTTTTTGATAAAGTTTGGACTCCTCCGAGGAAAGCAGTCTTCACGCAGAGCTGAGAGGCACTAGAGGATGCTCAGATAACCAAGTTGATTTCCTCTCCAGTGTCTTGCAAATCAGAAGGGGCAGAGGCAGCAAGATTTTCAAAGCACTCAAAAACAAAACAAAACAAAAAACAAAGCCACAGGCAACTGAATTTTCCTCATGCAACTGTATTTGGCTGGTGCCTGAATCACAAAATGAGGCTTTCACTTGGCCCTCAAGTAGCTCTCCCAGCTCCTGAGCCAGTGGTCGGTCATCCAAAGCCTGGGCAGGTGCTGGGACTGAGAGGCAATGTTCTGAGCGACAATTAGGAGAGTGGCAGTTGGAGCATGGGTGGACCTAGGTGGAGGGGCCCTAAGTCAAGCGCTATCTGCCAAGCCTCATTCTGGTCAAAGAGGCATGCCAATGCACTCCTTATTGCCTTAGGCAAGACTGCACCCAAATCTCCAAACCGATTCCATGTCAGGGAACAAGAGGCTCCTGGAGGACGTGGTGTGTCTCAACCATGTCATCACTGTCTCCTAAGCAGGAGGAAGATGTTTATGAAACTCCACCAGAGGAGCCCATCAGAGATCCTGCACAGTTATTATGTTGGCGCAAAGGTAATTGTGGTTTTGGCCATTAAAAGTAATGGCAAGGCCAGGCTCAGTGGTTCATGCCTGTAATCCTAGCACTTTGGGAGGCCGAGGTGGGTGGTTCACCTGAGGTCAGGAGCTGAAGCCCAGCCTGGCCAAGATGGTGAAACCCCATCTCTACTAAAAATACAAAAATTAGCTGGGCGTGGTGGAAGGCGCCTGTAATCCTAGCTACTCGGGAGGCTGAGGCAGAGAATTGCTTGAACCTGGGAGGCAGAGGTTGTAGTGAGCCGAGATTGTGCCACTGCATTCCAGCCTGGGTGACAGAGCGAGACTCCGTCTCAAAAAAAAAAAAAAAAAAAAAAAAAAAAAAAAAATTATGGTGAAAGCTGCAATTACTTTTGCATCAACCTGATATTTCAAATAAGTAAGACTTGTGTGTGATAAAGTGTGCATTGTTTTTTCTGGTGAATGATGATGATGTTGGTACAGGGAGATGGCTACCCGTGGGCTGCAGGACAGTGAGGAGTCGTGGAGGGGCCCGATTCAGGCAGTGTGGCGGGAGAAGTCAGACGACCAGGCAGGGACAGCTGGGATGAGCTCCTCTTCCTGGAATTTCTAGGCAGGGAGGGGAGTGGGAGCAGAAACTTGTCCTGAATAGAGGCTGCTGCTGAGAAAAGGCTAACTGATACATTAACCCATTCATTAAACTGCTAATTAGTGCATGCCTACTGTGCGCAAGGAGCAGAGAAGTGGAAGAAACAAAAGAAGAAAAGGCCATACTTCCTGTCTTCAAGATGTTTATAGTCAGTTGAAGGAGACACAAAAGTGAATGCCTAAGAGAGAAGGAAGAGCAATAGAAAGGAACAGCTACATAATGGATTCTGGGCTTCATACCAAGGTGATGGGTTGATCTGTGCAGCAAACCACCATGGCATACATTTACCTATGTAACAAACCTGCACATCCTGCACATGTACCCTGGAACTTAAAAGTTGAAGAAAAAAAAGGAGAGATAAAGAAATAAACAGCTATGTAAAGTCAGGGAGTTGGGAAAGGAGATGTAACTTCCATCATGGGCCTGAGCCGATTCTTGAGAGATGGTCAGGGCTGGGTATGAAGAGTTGGGAGGAGACACATTCCAGGCACCGAGAACACCCTGAGCCAAGGCATGAGGGTGAGAACTGTGGGGCACACACTCCACATAGAAAGCAGTGCCATTAGGTTATAACATAGAAGGTGTGCCTGCAATGGAAGACACAAATGTCATGTGTACCTCCTGAAACTAAAAAACAAAAGGTTTCTAGGAATATCTGCCCTGGTTCTCCTCCCTCAAACCTTCTAGCAGTTTCACAAGTCTCTCTCATTTTCTCCCTGTCCAGTCCTCAGTATCTCTCTCTAGTTTGCTGATGTAAATAGGGAATTTGAGTTAATTTTTTCCAAAATGTAATTAACATGATTTACATGATTACATGTGAGGGGTATAATTAATGACTTGACCAAGATCCAGTCAAAAGAAATGCTTCCTCCTTCTTTCTTATCAGCCTCATAGTTGACATTAACAAGGCACTTACTAGATGTAAAAGTTGTTGATAACTTCACATGAACTACTTTGTATAATCCTCATATCAACCCTACAGGGTATGTTCTCTTGCTCTCCTCATTTAACAGTTATGTAAACAGAGGCTCAGTGGCAGTGTTCCCCCAACCCGGGAGATATCCAGGAGAAGGGTGCACAGTCAAGGAATTCCACATCTGCCCATACTCGTCAAGACACAAAATGTGGTGGATGTGATCTCTTTGGAAACATAGAAATATAGAAAATATGCATGCATATTTTATGTATCTGCTTTTTTTTTTTACTCTTAAGAGTTTTAATTAATGAACCTTGTAACATTTAAATCATGCAAATTAGACTGCATGCAGGCACTGACAATCCCCTGGGGAATTCGGCATTCCTCTTTTTCCCTTATTGTGAAATTTAAGGCCATAGGAGGTATTTATTTTTGTGTCCACAGCTTACACACACACCACCATCACCACCACCAGAATTTTCTCAGCCATTCCATAGGTACCAAATTGTCTCTATGAGCTCTGGATCCAGGCTGAGTATCTCTCATTGCATCCTATGTTCTGACTGTGTCCCCCCAAATTTTCATGTGTTGAAACTTAATTACCAATATGATAGTATTAAGAGGCAGAGCCTTTGGGAGTGGAACCCCCGTGAATGGGGTTAACAACCTTATAAAAAGGCTAGAGGAACTAGCAATTGTCCCCTTTTGCATTTCTGCCCTTCTACCATGTGAAGACACCTAGATGGCACCATCTATGAAGAATGGGCTCTCTCTAGACACTGGACCTGCTAACATCTTGATCTTGGACTTCCCATCCTCCAGGACTGTAAGAAATAAATTTCTGCCTGGGGACAGTGGCTCACACCTGTAATCCCAACACTTTGACGGGATCACCTGAGGTCAGGAGTTTGAGACCAGCCTGGCCAACATGGTGAAACCCCATCTCTACTAAAAATACAAAAATTAGCCAGGTGTGGTGGCAGATGCCTGTAATCCCAGCTACTCGGGAGGCTGAGGCAGAAGAATCCCTTGCACCCAGGAGGCAGAGGTTGCAGTGAGCCAAGATCATGCCACTGCACTCCAGCGTGGGCAACAAGAGTGAAACTTAGAAAGAAAGAAAAGAAAGGAAAGGGAAGGGAAGGGAAGGGAAGGGGGAAGGGAAAGGGGAAGGAAGGAGGGAAGGAAGGAAGGAAGGAATTTCTGTTCTTTATAAATTACCCATTCTCAGGTATTTTGTTACAGCAACACAAATGGACTAAGATATTGTGTTAGTCTGTGAGCTCTCTCCTGGCCAGGCCTACTGTGGCTCCTGTTCTTCCGGAGATACCAGCTGAGGGGGCAGGGGGTTGAGTTGGAGCCTTCATTACAGTGCCTTCTTAAGTTCTTTTCTCCTACCCATTTCCCTCCCTTCCCCATTTGACCCCCCAGTCATCGTCTTCTCTACTTAGTAGTCTTTATTTGTCCTCACATACACTACTGCTATGCTATGCTCTAATACATAGCATGTATTAGTACCTGTGGAATGACTGAGAAAATTCTGGTGGTGGTGATGGTGGTGTGTGTGTAAGCTGTGGACACAAAAATAAATACCTCCTATGGCCTTAAATTTCACAGTAAGGGAAAAAGAAGAATGCCGAATTCCCCAGGGGATTGTCAGTGCCAGCATGCAGTCTAATTTGCATGATTTAAATGTTACAAGGTTCATTAATTAAAACTCTTAGGAGTAAAAAAAAAAGCAGATACAAGAATTTTGTCGTACTGTAGCTGCTGCTGCTTGGAGAAGCCCCATTAATTGAATCAGGACAATGTGCCAAGCACAGTAACTGATGAAATCTTTACACAGCCCTAAGGTGGACAATATCATTCTCTTTACAGATGAACTGAGCCTCAGAGACAAGGTCCAGTCACCAGCCCTCAAACCAGGTACTGTCCACTATGCACTACTGTCTCTGGCTGGGAGAGAGTTTTAGGGTCAACAAACTGCCCTTATTTTCTTCTTTTCCATTTGATACTTTCTCTTCTTGTTTATATTTTTAAATAAAAGTAATGCATACATATGGTGAAAAAATGTCAAACAACACAAAATCAAAAACTCCCTTATCACCCCTGTTAACATCTATTGTCAATAATTCTTAGCTTTAGTTCTAACAACTTAAAAAATGCAAAACACACACACATAAGTTTCTAATTTACACAAAGTAATCTTATTCTGTACTGTTTTCTAAATTGCTTTCTTTCCTTTTTAATATTTGAGATTTTTTTTCTTATCAGCACTATATAAAAACCTCAAATAGTTTCCTGTCACACTGAAAATAAAATCCAAAGTCCTTACTTTGGCTATCACAATCTGATGCTAAAACTCAAAAAGATACTACAAGAAAGAAAAATTATAAGTCTGTGTCACTTACAAACATAGATGTAAAATTCTTAAACAAAAGAGTAGTAAACCAAACCTAGCAATATGTAAAAGGGATAATACATCACAACCAAGTTGGGTTCATTCCAGGAATTGCAATGTTAATTTAACATTCAGAAATCTGTCTATGTAATCCACACATTAATAAAGGGAAAAAAACATGATCATCTTGTAGAGAAAGCCATTTGATAAAATTAAACACATTCATGATAAAAATAGGAATAGAAAAGAATTTCCCTAACTGATAAAGGGAAACTACAAAATCTATGGTGTTAGAGGTCAGGATAGTGGTTGTTTCTCCATAAAGGGCAAGAGGGGGACTTCTGGTAGTAATGGCTGTTTCTTGATTTGGTTGCCTGAGTGTCATTGCTTTGTGATAATTAAACTATACACATATGAGTTGTACACTTTAGAGTATGTGTATCATACTTAATTTTAAAAGTTTGTAAAAAAAAATGGGGCAGCTGCTGTGGCTGCTTCTGCAAAATCTAAGCACTGGTCTATATGCTGCAGCCATGTCCTACTGCCAGCAGGAAGGGAAGGATGGAATCATATTTGTGACCAAAGATGACCACAAAACTCCAAGCAATGTAGAGCTGGTGGCTGATGACCCCAACAATCCATACACAGCATGGATTGATGCTGCCAAATGAAGACATTAACTGGAACTGCTCGTGCCCTGGGGGAATGGCCAGTGGCCCCTGTGGGGAACAGTTCAAGTTGGCCTTTTTCTGCTTCCACTATAGTGCAGAGGATCTCAAGGGGAAAGACTGTGTAGATGAATTCCGGGTCATGCAGGAATGCATGTAGAAACACCTGGACCTCTATCCCCAAGAGGATGAGGAGGAAGAAGAGGAGAAGTCAGCAGAACATATAGAAGAAACTGCTCCCACTGAGGCCACTGCAACCAAAGAAGAGGTGCGGACAAGTTAATGAAGTCCACAAGGCACCGGGCTCCAGTCCTTCTACTACAGAGTGATACAGGCCTTTTGCACAGTGCCTTTCAGTCACCTCCTATTGGGAGAACCCGCCCCCAATATTTGAAAGTAGGTTCTATTTTCCGTAAGTGTCGGCTGGCTGAGAAATAAACAGAAAGAGTACAAAGACAGGAATTTAACAACTGTGCCGCTGGGGGTGACATCACATATCTGTAGGACCATGATGCCCGTCTGAGCCTCAAACCAGCAAGTTTTTATTAAGGGTTTTAAAAAGGGGAGGGGGTGTAAGAACAGGGAGTATGTTCAAAGATCACATGCTTCAAAGGGCAAAAAGCAGAACTACTAATAAGGGTCTAACAAAGATCACAAGCAAAGGGCAAAAGCAGAACTACTGATAAGGGTCCAACAAAGATCACAAGGCAAAGGGCAAAAGCAGAACTACTGATAAGGGTCCAACAAAGATCACAAGGCAAAGGACAAAAGCAGAACTACTGATAAGGGTCTATGTTCAGCAGTGCATGTATTGTCTTGATAAACATCTTAAATAACAGAAAACAGGGTTCGAGAGCAGAGAACCAGTCTGACCATAAATTTACCAGGGCAGAGTTTTTCCCCACCCTAGTAAGCCTGAGGGTACTGCAGAAGACCAGGGCGTATCTCAGTCCTTAACTCAACCGCATAAGACAGGCACTCCCACAGCGGCCATTTATAGATCTCTCCCCAGGAATGTGTTCCTTTCCCAGGGTATTAATATTAATATTCCTTGCTAGGAAAAGAATTTAGTGATATATCTCCTACTTGCACATCCGTTTATAGGCTCTCTGCAAGAAGAAAAATATGGATCTTTTCCTGACCCCGCAGGCAGTCAGACTTTATGGTTGTCTTCCCTTGTTCCCTAAAAATCGCTGTTATTCTGTTTCTTTTCAAAGTGCACTGATTTCATATTGTTCAAACACACATGCTTTACAATCAATTTGTACAGTTAACACAATTATCACAGTGGTCCTTAGGTGACGCACATCCTCAGTTTACGAAGACAACAGGATTAAGAGATTAAAGACAGGCATGAGAAATTATAAAAGTATTATTTAGGAACTGATAAATGTCCATGAAATCTTCACAATTTATGTTCCTCTGCCACAGCTCCAGCCGGTCCCTCCGTTTGGGGTCCCTGAATTCCCACAACACCCTCCAAGAAAGTGTTATTCCCTCTGTTGTCCTGTGCACTGTAATGCACAAAATAACTTATTTTGATGATCAGGGTCTTGGCCTCTTGACATACACACTGAAAAAAATGGGAGTTGTGTTATGTGCGTCCTACATAAACATGTCAGCAAATGTGGCCACCACTTTTTAATTCTCTTTTCTCAGATTGCCCTGAATTTTGCCACTTTGAAGTAATGTGCTGAATAATCTCAGCAACCAAAAATGATTATCCAGGAATGATTCTTGTGAGCTCATTTACTCTGAGTTATTATATCCCTTTTAGTAGATTTTATACCCCTTTAGAAAATGTAAGAAGAATGAAAACATCTTCTTTTAAAAATGCTGGTGTGGGGCCATGCCTACTAGAAGAGGCCAGATGGTCAGATAGGTATTTCCCCAAACCCATCTTGACCTTGAGTATGTGAGGGGGTACTGTACTTCATTCCTGATACATTTTGGTTTCCATGTTGGCACTGAGCTCTTGGTTTTCTGTTTGGATGGTGGAGATTGGGGCCCTCCTATTCACAGTCCCTTTCTAAGTGAAGGGAAAGGCTGGTTTTTGCTGTTCCTTGTGATTCCAAAAACCCTGATTTGGGGCCCATGTTCAGGCTGGCTTTCACGCTGGCTCTCAGTCTGGTCAGATGCAATGTTCTTGAGAGGAGAGGACCTGACTGTTACCATAGTAGCATCCAAGAGAGGAAACAGTGTGAATTAAGTACTCAAAAGGAAGCACGATTTCCAAAAAAAAAAAAAAAAGGACTTGCAAGGAGAAAAATGTAAATCTTCCTAATGATCTAAGAAGATTAGAGGATACAGCAGCCAGGGACTGGGGAGCTGACAAGGACAGAGGATGAAGATGAGTGGGATGAGGAGGAGTTGAGAAGCCTGCTGTTGGGTGGTTATTCAGTTGGCCCTCCACAGCCATGGGTTCCACATCCACAAACTCAACCAACCACAGACCGAAAATATTCTCAAAAATAGATAAATATATGAACAATATGACAATAATAATAAACCAATACAGTATAGGAACTATTTATATAGCATTTATTTCATATTTGGTATAAGTAATCTAGAGATGATTTAAAGCACACAGGAGGGTGCGCATAGGTTATATGCAAATTCTATGCCATTTTATATAAGGGACTTGAGCATTTATGGATTGTGGATTTTGGTATCATCGGGAGTCCTGGAATCAATCCTCCATGGATACTGAGGGACAACTGTACATGTGGATATTGACCTGATCCATGGCAGTGTCTTGTAGTGGAGAGGAAGCTGGTGAGTTATGGGCCAAAGTTTTCAGTGAATGAGAGGGAGTCACTTGCAGATGAGTTGCAAGGAGAGGTATATGTTCCCAAATGGAGAGACATTCAGGAGCATGGAAATCAAGTGCCTAGATTTCCTCACACTGTAGGTGAGGAGAAACTTCCTCCTCACCTTTTTTTTTTTTTTTTTTGATGGAGTCTCTCGCTCTGTCGCCCAGGCTGCAACCTCTGCCTCCCAGGTTCAAGCAATTCTCCCGCCTCAGCCTCCCGAGTAGCTGGGATTACAGGTGCCTGCCACTACACACAGCTAATTTTTTGTAATTTTAGTAGAGATGGGGTTTCGCTATGTTGGCCAGGCTGGTCTTGAACTCCTGACCTCAGGTGATCCACCTGCCTCAGCCTCCCAAAGTGTTGGGATTACAGGCATGAGCCACTACGCCTGGCCTCTTCTCACCTCTTTGGTTCTGTAGCTGGGCATGGGAATTACACTAACATAAGACAGATTTACTGGAAAAGGCATAAAAGTTTTAATATTTTTGTACATGCACAGGAGGCTTTGTAAGAAAAATAAAGACCCATAGAAGTTACTAGGCCCGAAAGCTTATATGTCCTTTTAAACAAAAAATAATAAATTGCAGGGATGTGACAAGACAAAGGGGCTTGGGCTAAGGCTGGCAAATTGTGGGAAAGTGACGAAGAACCGTATGTAGAAAGTTAATGGAAAATATGGGTTACAAATTTTTGTAAGGTTTTGTTTGTAGATTCTTCTCAGTGGCAACTCTGCCTCTGGCAATAATATTCTCCTCTTCCTGGTACAGAAAGGGCACCTTTCACAAGGGAACTTTTATGTTCCGCTTCAAACAGAAAGAGGGTGGTCAGACAGCCTTCCCTGCATCTGTTTTTGCTCCATTGCCTCTGGCTCAGAAGAATCAGTATGCCAAAGTGGCATATTTTAGGATGGCAGGCTCTAAACACCTTCAGCATTGTTCTAAAGTGAGACAACACTCTTTACCTAGTCTCCTCAGCCACTTTTACAGTTGGCCCTAATCCCCATAACAGTCCTGGAAACTTATTTTTACTGTTAAGGAAACTGAGATTTAGAGGGGAGGTGACTGAGCCACAACCCACACCCCAGAGGGCTGTTCCAAAGCCCTCCTCGAAATTGGTGCCAAGGGCAGCAGCTATAATGACAGCCAGTCCACATAGAAGTGCCTCCGTTGATCACCAATTAACAGTAAAATCTGATAATATCTCATTCCAAGGTTGTTATAAGCACTAAATGTGGTTTTGTGACATAATAGGCGTTTGTTTCTCCCCACTGCTTCCCACCACAATATATTCATCAAGACCTTTCCAAGGATACTAAGTCTAGGAAACCCAGGATCATGAAGAGAGGGCATGTTCTTCCAAGTGAGGCTGAGGAGAGACTTGTCTGGCGAGGCCTGTACTGACTAGTGACATTAAAAGAGGCGATCTGACTTCTCATACTGCTCTTGTCCCAGGCCTGCTGTTTGTCAACTGCTGGGTCCTCAGAGCCAAAACTGTTTTCCAACAGTTTTGAATTGAATAACAGCCAGCTATTCGATTTTCTCCGCATTCTCTAATCGGTATACTCTTCAGAGTCCACAGGATTTGCAACGATATTATCCAACGGCTGAAGAATGTGCGCTTGACATCTTAGGCTGTAAAATGTCTCAATTTCAATTTCTAATACATAGATGTCAGTGGATGGCATTTTCTGAACCCTTTGTCGATGTCCATAAACGGCATGCTCTGAATTCAACTAAACAAAAGTATAGACATGGGGGAGGTGTAGGGCGATGTCCAAAGTATAATTTTTAAGAGTGTAAAGGGTTCCTAAGTAAGATTGCCAGATTTTTTTTTTTTTTTTGAGACGGAGTCTCACTCTATCCCCCAGGCTGGAGTGCAATGGCGCGATCTTGGCTCACTGCAGCCTCCACCTCCCGCGCTCAAGAGATTCTTCTGCCGCAGCCTCCAGGGTAGCTGGGATTACCCCAGAGCCCGCCACTGAGCCCGGCTAATTTTTGTATATTTATTAGAGAAGGGGTTTCACCACGTTGGCCAGGCTGATCTCGAACTCCTGAGCTCAAGTAATCCGCCGGCCTTGGTCTCCCAAAGTGCTGGGATTGCAGGCGTGAGCCACCACGCCAGACCTGGATTGCCAGATTTAGCACATAAAAATACAGGACCCCCAGTTAAACGCCTCTCGGATAAACCATTATTGCATGGGATACACTCACGCTAAAAAAATTGTTCGTCGTTTACCTGAAAGTCACATTTAATTGGGCGTCCTGTATTTTACCCGGCAAATTCTAGGCCTGAGACCAAAAAGTTTGAGAACCCTGCCCCTAGGCGACAGCAAGCGGAACTGCAGCAAGCTCCCAGTAATTCCGGGTGCTGCACTTCCGGTCAGGCGGTCGGGCTGCGGGGCCCTGGGGCCAGCTCACCGCCGGAAGTCTCCGCGTCCCCCCCACCCCGGCCAGATCCCTTTCCCAGTCCTGCTTCCCAGTGCCTCGGGCCAGGGAATCCTGGCCTCCGCCTGCGGAGCCGGCGGAACCCGCTTCCCGCCTCCACGGGGCAGCGCCAGCGGCCTGGTCCTTTCACCGGCAGCTCCGTGCCGACGCTCTCACCGCTCTTCCTATCGCCGGGAGTGGCGGGCCGACCAGGGGGCGGCCGGGCTACCGTCCGCCATTCCCGTGTCTCTGCGCCCGCGGGGGCCGCCCGAGCCGGCCACCATGCCGCTGGGCCTGAAGCCCACCTGCAGCGTATGCAAGACCACGTCGTCCTCCATGTGGAAGAAGGGAGCGCAGGGGGAGATCCTCTGCCATCATTGCACTGGCCGGGGCGGCGCGGGCAGCGGGGGCGCAGGCTCGGGGGCGGCTGGAGGGACTGGGGGCAGCGGCGGCGGCGGCTTCGGCGCGGCGACCTTCGCCAGCACCTCCGCCACCCCTCCGCAGAGCAACGGGGGCGGGGGCGGCAAGCAGGTGAGCTCCTCCGGCCCCTCCCGCCGGCGGAGGCCGACCAGGTGCTAGGCGGGCGGGGACGGGCTGGCTGGGAGCGGGCGGGCGCGGGCTTCCCCGATCGCCGTGCTCCTGCTGGCTGGAACGCCCCTCCCCACCTCCTACTGAGATCTTTCGTTTGGCCCATTCCGAAGCACCTGTTATTGTAAGAAATTCAAAGCAATAAGAACCAAGATGTAAAGCCCTTAAGAAAATCTCAATATACACATGTCTACACAGTCGTATACAGTGTCATGCCACAAATGCAGGCGCTGGACCTCATTCCTTGTTAAAGGTTTTGTCATATCAGGTTATGAAGTAAGATTATTATGTCATTATTGTAAATGGCAGCTTAAGTATTCCGTTGCAGGGGGCGCCATAACCTACTACGTTCTCTGGCCTTAGGGAGTAAAGTTGTTAAGTGTTTTTCTCTATTGTAGACACAACAAATGAATAGTGTTTGTCTTGGTCAAGACTGACTCCTACTCCCGCCTCCTGCCCTATTACAAGCAGCTCACACCTTTTGGAGGCTCTGGAGACGCCTGTCCAGCGAGCTCCGAGATTCCGGGTGCTGAACTTCCGGTTTTACTTAGCCTAGTTGCTGTAATTACTTCTCTTGAAAAGCAAAAGGGCAATCTTAATTGTTAAATGCTCTTATAAAGTACATACTCTGGGATCCTTGTAAGATGATTGTACTGCAACCTTTATGCACTTTTTACTTCTTTCTCTTTTTGTTCTTTAATTTGTTTGTGTAACAGAGTAAGCAGGAAATTCACAGGAGGTCTGCTCGGCTCAGAAACACTAAATACAAATCTGCTCCGGCTGCTGAAAAGAAAGTCTCCACCAAAGGAAAAGGGAGAAGACATATATTTAAATTGAAAAATGTAAGATATTTGTGGACAGTGCCTTTTACTGTAATGACGTTGTGTGTATCCTGCCACTGCCTTCATTTCTCACCATTGAACTTGGACTCTGCCCTTGGTAGCCCTTCCTTAGTATTCTGGGGAATGGTCCAGATTCCCCAAAAGGGAATGAGCTCTGTTGCAGGAGGCTCACTGTTTATAAAGTTAATAATACTCTTTCCTTTTTGTTTTTTAGCTTTTATTTTTTCCCCTGGAAAATATAAAATATGGGTTTAAAAGAAACATCAACCTTGAGCCCATTTTTTGGGGTTCTCTATGGAAAGGAAGAGGAGAGATTATGGTTCTTGATATGGCCAGGTACACTAAGAAAACTTTTTTTTTTCATTCTTTAAAAATCTAAGTAAATATTAACACTAGAACTCATCATTTGCATATTTATTTGTTATTAAAGCCCCAGAAAATGTATCTTACTGACTTATGATGATGATGTATTTGATGAATATGAGTCAAAAATTTTGCTAAGCCTTATCTCCTCTTCTGCTCTAAGAAAAGAGATTGTTGAAAGACCTGTGCTGGAAGTAGTTGAAAGCATATTTTTATTGCAATTAAATTCTCAGTTTTTATAAACAAGGGATAATGTTCAAACACAGTGGACAGTGCATTATGGACTATTTTTTTAAGTCTCAGTATGATATTCTTTTCTTTCAGAACAGGAATGTTTCACTTACCCGTAAAGACGTTTCTGAAGTTGGCCATATTTATTTCTAAAACACAAAGGGACCCTGCAGTAGACTTATGCAGATGGCAGACTATTTTCTTTTTTTTTTTTTAATTTAATTTAATGAATTTTTTTTAATTTTACTTTAAGTTCTGGGATACATGTGCAGAATGTGCAGGTTTGTTACATAGGTATACGTGCCATGGTGGTTTGCTGCACCTATCAACCCATCATCTAGGTTTTAAGCCCCGCATGCATTAGATATTTGTCCTAATGCTCTCCCTCCCCTTGGCCCCCATCTCCGACAGGCCCCAGTGTGTGATGTTCCCTTCCCCAAAGTATTTTCTTATTCAGACTAGTTGCTTCTAATTTATTTAAGATTTTTATAGTTAAGTGAGGCATTTGTTGATTACACAAAACATGTTATTGATATTTGTATCACATATGCACATTTTTTTCCTTTTAAGTATGGTATACCGTGTTCTCAGCAATTATTTCATTATCGTTTCTCTGCAACCTTTCTTCAATGGTACTAAGCAAGACACATCTGGGGAGGCCTACTTTCTATGTTGTGGCATAAAAGTATGTATTGAAGCTTTAGTAGAGATCTCAAAAATGGTTGGATGGTAGCAAATTACTAAGAACTCTCAAAGTTTCTAAAGCCTTAGTTTCAGCTTGCTAGAAAACCTATGTTGAGTATTATGGCTAGTTCCATAGTTGAGTTGGGAAATGTCTTTGAGGAGACACTTTTTCACTTTGTATTCATCTGTACATTTTCTGTTACTTGCATTCTGTCATGCTCAGGCTATTAGAGCAGGTACATTTTTATAACTGGAATGTTTATGTGTAGTGAAGCTCTGAGAGGACTTTGCATTAGATCTCAGCAGCATAATCAGAAGGTTGTCCTTTGTCTCAGCAATTTTTAAGCTAATAGTAGCAGAAATTGCAGTGGAAATAGACTGCTTTGCCACAACATTCAGAAAATCATTTATCTTTTTATTGCAGTTCTTGTCACCAAACAATACATTTTAGTACTTCTCAAATTGCAGAACTCTCATAGGGCTGGGAAAATGCCTGTAGACACATACATACTATGAATGTGCTAATGTTTTTTGTATTTTCATAGCCCATCAAAGCTCCTGAGTCAGTTTCCACTATAATCACTGCAGAATCAATCTTCTACAAGGTAAGCTTTTGTAGAGTTACTGAAGGAAGAGTTGGGCCTAGTGGGTAATGTGCCACTAAAATGTTGGATTAGTCTAAAGGTCTCTGCTACTCTTTATTTGTATAAGGTGTGATTATACTTTTTGTTCCCTTCTTAGCTGTTTTCCCCCATAAGTGGCTGTTATTAAAACATCTCATCTAGAGCTGAAGTGGGAGGAGAAAGTGCCTACTGACACATGATGTGAGGATCTTAAGTATTTTTTTTTAGTGTAGATTGTAGGAATTATTCTTAAAATGCTGATTGTATAGTGTGGAGCCATGGAAGACTGAGCCGTTAGTGCGATGGCATTGAAGAATGAGAAGGACAGAGACAGGATTTGGACTAGTAGAGGTTGTCGACTGTGGTGTCAAATGGGTAGAGTAGGCCCAGAGATTCTAAAATGCCTTTAAGTGGAGTTGAGCTGAGTAAGGGCAGTAGTGAGGATTAACACCTACTAGAAATTCATAGTGAGAGGAATTCCAAGATGTTTTGATAAAAGAATGAGGAGGTCAGGTTTCCCAGGGCCAAAGTCCATGAACATCTGATACCTCAGTGAGAGAAGTGACAGATTGTTGTGTTTAAACCAGAAGTCTTAGGAAAGGAATTAGAACATAGACCCCCAAGGCTCGGCAGGCCTGGCACGGCACAGGCAGCAACCATTGAAGGCTATTTGGTGTTTCGGGATCTGAACTGTCATTTAGGGGACAGTGGTGTGAGTTAGTACTTTATACTTGACCCAGGTGGACTGAGAAACTCAAGTGATGATGCCCTTAAGTATACTTTTTTTTAAGCCCACAATCTATATAGTCGAAGTCTGTTCCTCCCAACAGGGGTACACTGGCATTCCTCAGCAGGGCTGGGAAAAACCAACAACAAAAAAAGTCTGTACACAGGCAAACATCTCTCTTATTTTTCCAACATTTAATACATTGTTAATAAAATATCTAAAGTTTAGCAAACAGTTGCTGTGTATCAGTGGCTGAGCATTTTGCATGCTTTATTTCATTCAGTTCACTCTATGAGGTGGATACTACTATCCCCATTTTCTAGATGAGAACATTGAGGCACAGCGAGGTTAATTAACTTGTCCAAGATCACATAGCCAACAAGTCATGGAGTGAGGCAGTCTCATGCCAGAGCTTAAGCCTAGAGCATAGTTCCTGGCTCTACAGCTTTAGCAAGTGACTGGCTATGTGACGAGGACCAACCTCTCTAATGTCTCATCTGTAAAATAGGAATTGTAAATAGTTACTACCTCAGTGGGTCAAATGAAATCATATGTGTTAAGCACTTAGCAGAGTAAGCACTCAATGAATAGTAGGAGTTATCACATCTTCGTATTTGTGCATTACCTTCACAGTTTACAGATTAAGGCCAGAAGCAACTTGTTGAGCTACGGGTTTAGTGTACTAACAGTTTCCATGTGTGTCTCCATGGAAGGGTGTGTGGGACCTGTTATTGTGACTGTCTGTACTTTCGTATTGTTGTCTGCCACCCATGTTTATTAAATGATAAGGACAATAATGCAACAAAGTAGTCAAGTAATGTTGCAAATGCCCAGTATTGTAGTGGCTATCACAGCAGTGCCACTGGCAGGCAGCACCATGGTGGCAAGTTCAAGAGGTCACTGCCAGCCACTGAGCTAGAGCCCAGATCAGGCATGCAAGAGGAGCCTGAGTGGGAGCCACTGGGGATCACGGCCAAGAGTGTGACCACCCAAGACCCAGAATGGCTGAGTGGCCTCCCTGGAGCATGGCAGTGGCAGAACAACTCCATGAACTCAGATCTGGTGATGCCTAAACTAGTGCTGTTCTCGTGTGGACCCCTTTTCTCTACCAGAAACCTTGAATCCTCTCAGCAAATGAGGAGACTACTCAGATCAGTGACTTAGTCCTGTTTGGTGTTATATATGTGTACACAACACAGCACATATTAATAAATACCTACTATGTGCCAGGCACTGCCTACCACTGGAATCTTTCACTAAGACATTGTTTTTACTTTGCATTTCTGCCTTTACACTATGAAAGTAGATGTTTTGGATTCATATTCATTCAGCATACATTTGAATATGCTGTGTTATGCATAGTAAGCCTATGATAAGCAAGTATTCTCATTTAGAATTTGGGAATATTGATTATACATGTGGACAAACAAACCATAAATGCAAACTATTTATATGATAAATAACTTTGGACTGATGGCTGGGAGGAAGGACCAGCTATTGATGGGTAGGAACTAGCAAGTAGCGGACTGTGGCCTGCATAGACCAGACCCATCCGTAGTGATCCAGATGAAACAGCCACCCTCAGACACTTGGATAAAGGGTCCACCAGGAAAAAACTCCTGGCCTATCAGGTGCTATGTTACAGTTCAGTTACTGGAAGTATTTCCTCAAAAGTGTTTTTATGGTTGAGGTACACATTCCTACAGCTTTACCTGCTGCCAAGTCCCTGTTTCAAGGGAAGCAGCAATGAATTACACTGTTCCCGTAGTCAAGGACAGTATATCTTACCAAGAACTATACCCACTTAAGGAGGTGCTGGATGTCATAAAGATTTGGATCAACCATTATGGGTGTTCAGAGGAGAGATTATTTCCAGCTCAAGACCCAGGGAAGAGGACATAGGATGGATACCAGAGTCATAGGGAGGATTTAACACAGGACATGTACACATTAGTTAGTTGGGTATAAAGTGGAACAGAAATGAATGAGACACAAAGCCTTGAATGCCAGAAATACTAGTAGTCCTGTTGTGGAAGGATATAAAACTCAACTGGGAGTGGAAGAGAAAGGCAGCAGTGAGTCTAGGAGATGTACAGTAGGTTGAGGTAAACATATCCTGAAGACTATAATCCAAAGATTATTTTTGGTTTGAATTTGTTTTGGTTTGAATTCATGGTATCTATTTTCTTTGAGTGGATGGTTGGGGAGGGTGGCATGTAGAATGCATTCTTACCAAATCAGCATGATTTTCAAGACAGTACAGAGAAAAGACTGCTGAGCTGATGTAGGAGCTTTGGCTGCAGTCTCTATGGCTTTCAGCAAGCCGTTTAACCTTACTACTGCTTCATGACTGTGGCTAACAAAGTAGGGATAGTACGGAGCACAGAGGATTTTTAGGGCGGTGAAACTATTAATACTCTCTTTGTATGATACTATAATGGTGGGTACATGTCATTATACATTTGCCCAACCCCACAGAATACACAGCACCAAGAGTGAACCCTAATGTGAACTCTGGTCTTTGATGATGCTATGTCAGTGTACGTTCATCCGTGTAACAAGTGTACCACTCTAGTGGTGGGAGGGGTTATTGATAATAGGGGAGGATGTGCATGTGTGGGGGCAGGAAGTATATGGGAAATCTCTCTACTTCTGCTCAATTTTGCTGTAAACCTAAAACCTCTGTAAAAAATAAAGTCTATTTTTTAAAAAGTGGGGATGGTATTACGGCAATATAAAATCAAAATACTTTATGAACAAATCTTTTCTCCAGATGTAAACTGTCATATATGCACCCTCGTATGTGTATGTATAATTTTCATTCAAACGTGAAACAACTTTAGAATTGGCACCAAACATATAAACACTGATACATTAGACTATCTCGAACACCTTTTACTGACCACTTTGAAAACTTGCTTACCTATTAAGGTTCATTCATAGCTGTGATGTTCTATTTTTATTTTCAATGTGGGATTATCTTCTGTTTCCCCCAGGGAGTATATTACCAAATTGGTGATGTTGTTTCTGTGATTGATGAACAAGATGGAAAGCCCTACTATGCTCAAATCAGAGGTTTTATCCAGGACCAGTATTGCGAGAAGAGTGCAGCACTGACGTGGCTCATTCCTACCCTCTCTAGCCCCAGAGACCAATTTGATCCCGCCTCCTATATCATAGGTAAGTTTGACAAATGGCACAGGTTTTTTTTTAACTTAGTTAACTCTCCAATATTATGTAAAAGAGTGTGTTAGTCAGCTTGGGCTGTCAGGACAAAATATCACAGACTGAGTGGCTTAAACAACAGAAAGTCACTTTCTCACAGTTGTGGAGGCTGAAGTCCAACATCAAGGTGCTGGCAACACGGATTTCTGGGGAGGCTTTTCTTCCTGGCATATAGATGGTCACCTTCTTGCTGTGTCCTCACATGGCCTTTCATGGAGTGAGAGCTCTTTGGTGTATCTTCTTATAAGGACACCATTTCTGTCAGATGAGGGCCCCACCCTTATGGTTTCATTTAACCTTAATTGCCTCCCTAAAGGTCTCATCTCCAAGTACCATCACATTGGGGATTAGGGCTTCAACATATAAATTTGGAGGGTGGCGGGGGGGGATGCAATTCAGTCCATAACAAAAAAAGCATGAGTATTATTAAGTACAAAAAAATTAGAGAGCTTTATAGAAAATATGAGGCATTTTATGTAGCTGGAGTGTGAGTGCTATCAGTTATTTTGAGTTAGAGCAATGTGCATCTACTAAGAAGTGGTATGGATAAGATTTTTTTGGAGTGACCCAGGGTTAAACTGTACTACAAGAATGTATTGCTCAGGAACTAGGTTATTTAGGTTACTTATTTATACAAACCTATTCAAAAATAATTTAGGAAAGAACTATCCCAGTTATCCCATACTTGCAAATTCTCAATATGTGTGCCTCTGCATGCTACACATGTCATCTTAGGCCTTTATAGTATAAAGGCTGATAGTTGAAATGGCAGCTGCTGTGCTTTTGTTAATTTCAAAGCTGCCAAAACAGTTGTGAGATAGACTCACAAGAATTTACTGATTAATACAATTTTTAAAGTTTTCAGATTTTTACAGTTACTTCAGACTTTTTATCTTTCTGCAGTGAGCATGCATCATTACTTTTGCATCCTGAGAACAAGCATAAGTGTGTTTTTGGAGAGAACTCCAGGGACAAATAATATACCACTGTTATTCTCACCTATATGTCAAGTTTGATACATTACCAAACAATTCTAGCCTTCTGCTTATAAGTATATAGAATTTTTATTTACCTTATCTATGGATCAGGATCTCAGCAGAGGCAGTGATGTATCAGAATCACCTTCGGGATTCCTCTACTGCCTCCTCTTTCTAATCCCCAGATTCTGATATGCATCCTTGTCCTACAGCGAGGCAGCATGGCATGAGGTCAGAACACCAGTTCTGGAGCCAGACTGTCTAGGTTCACAGCCTGCCATTTACCGGCCATGTGACTTTGGCAAGTTTCTTAGTCTCTCTTGCCTCACTTTCCTCATATGTAAAATGGGAATAATAATAGTGCCTACCTCAGAAGGTTGATGTGAGGAATGAAGGTATTGATACATGTAAACTTAGAGCAGTGTGGGTACAAAATAAACATGATGCAAGTGTTCAATCACTGTTTTTGGGAGAATGCCATATTCTTTAAGCCGTTAAAGAAGAAAAAATGATTAAGAATAATTTCAAAGTAATGCATGTTTCAAGGGCTAATGCCAGGTTGCTCCCAGAGTGGTCTCTCCCAGTGTCTAGAAATTTTAACATCTTATGAAAATGATATATATGGTCAAAAATGTATTTAACCTTTCCCTTGGCTGCCTTCCAGGGCCAGAGGAAGATCTTCCAAGGAAGATGGAATACTTGGAATTTGTTTGTCATGCACCTTCTGAGTATTTCAAGTCACGGTCATCACCATTTCCCACAGTTCCCACCAGACCAGAGAAGGGCTACATATGGACTCATGTTGGGCCTACTCCTGCAATAACAATTAAGGAATCAGTTGCCAACCATTTGTAGTTCACAAATTAAAACTGGGTTTCCAGGCCTGGTGTGGTGGCTCACGCCTGTAGCCCCAGCTATTGCACCACTGCTCTCCAAGCTGGGCAATGGAGTCAGATTCTCTTTCTTAAAAAACCACAAAAAAACTGGATTTCCAGTTCTCTAATATTCTTAGTACCACAAGATATGTCATAGGTATCTTTAAATGAAATTCTTAGCTGGAAAAGTGACTAAAAAGTTTTTCTCCTGCTACCTAGTAATAAACAAATCATTGTTTATTACTGGTCACTTAGAAAATTAAAAGGGATAGGGCCAGGCACAGTGGCTTATGCCTGTAATTGCAGCACTTTTAGAGGCCGAGGCAGGCGGATCACCTGAGGTCGGGAAGTGGATCGCCTGAGGTCAGGAGTTCGAGACCAGCCTGGCCAACATGGCGAAACCCCGTCGCTACTAAAAATACAAAAATTAGCCAGGTGTGGTGGCATGTGCCTGTAATCCCAGCTATTTGGGAGGCTGAGGCAGGAGAATCGCCTAAACCCAGGAGGTGGAGGTTGTAGTGAGCCAAGATTGCACCGCTGTGCTCCAGCCTGGGCAACAGAGTGAGACTCTTGTCTCGGAAAAAAAAAAAAAAAAAAAAGGCTGGGCACAGTGGCTCACGCCTTTAATCCCAGCACTTTGGGAGGCTGAGGCAGATGGATCGCCTGAGGTTGGGAGTTCGAGACCAGCCTGGCCAGCATGGTGAAACCCTGTCTCTACTAAAAATACAAAAATTAGCCAGGTGTGGTGGCGCACACCTGTAGTCCCAGCTACTCGGGAGGCTGAGGCAGGAGAATTGGTTGAACCCAGGAGGCGGAGGTTGCAGTGAGCAGAGATCGTGCCACTGCACTCCAGCCTGGGTGGACAGAGCAAGACTCCGTCTCAAAGAAACAAACAAAAAATTAAAAGGGATAGAATATAATGAAATATATTTTGAACTTAAATTATATTCTATATGTGTATCTTCCTAGGCAAAAGCTGTAATTTCCAGAGAGACCATTAGGAACAGGTAGTATCTATTTTTCTCCATTATTTATTTCTAGAAACTCATAAAATGGATTGTATTTTTCTATAAGAACAAAATATTAATTAAGGTATAGATGACTGACCAAGGGCTTAATCAAATAAAATGACTAACAGCATCTATCATAAAGCCACACAAGCCTTATGTTCTCATCTCAAAAATGCTGTGACAGCTTTTTGGCTGCTTTAACCATAAGAAAAATGATTGGTGGATGATTTTATTAGCCCAGGCTTTTAAAAACTTTCATCTAGGCCACGTGCGGTGGCTCATGCCTGTAATCCCGGCACTTTGGGAGGCCTGAGTGGATGGATCACTTGAGGTCAGGAGTTCAGGACCAGCCTGGCCAACATGATGAAACCCTGTCTCTACTAAATATACAAAAATTAGTTGGGTGTTATGGTGCATGCCTGTAATCCCAGCTACTCGGGAGGCTGAGGCAGGAGAATTGCTTGAACTCGGGAGGTGGAGATTGCAGTAAGCCGAGATCGTGCCACTGCACTCCAGCCTGGGTGATAGAGCAAGACTGTCTCAAAAAAGAAAAAAAAGAAAAAATTTTAATTTAATCCTTCTGTAGAAACAGGCATTCAGAACCATTCCATTGATCTTAATAAAGCTGCTCTTTACTGTTTCTAGTCAAAAATGAGACTTCGATCAAACCATAAGATTTTATACTGCAGATAGTCAGCTTCACCAAAGCCGCAGAGGAAACATGTCGAGATCAGGCTTCCTGCTTGATAGTCTCTTGACTACCATTAAAACGAATATTGGGAGGTCATGAAAGTCATTGGTAGGCCATTAGCATTGATATCTTTAAAACATCTACCCTAAACCATCTGCTATGGACCCATAATAAGAGGCCTGTTGTATATGAAATTGTCTAGAATTCAGGTGCAGGTCTTTGCCGGTTAAGTAAGGGAGCAACACGTAAAATGGGAGAGGAGTGGGGTGTACTCACTTGCCTCCTCTTTTGTCCTGATTTAACCAGCATTTTTCAACCCTGGGAAAATTTGCAGAATCTAAGTTGATTGTAATGATTTTGAGCTGCAGCAGCTTTAACTCTTACCCTTTTTCCACATAGTTATGGTGTTTGAGTTGGAAAGAAACAACTATAGGTAGCTACACGTACATAATTATCTCTTTATTCACAAAGGGTATAGTAAAATTGATTGTAAATAACTTTCTAAGTGCCAATATTCAAAACTTTTGGATTAAAATGTATTTTTCACCGTGCATTTACTTTGGATGTATTTATTTCATTTAAACAATTTAAATGGGGCTCTTTAACCAAAAATGGTATTTAAAACCAAAACAGTATCGTACTTAGAATTTGGAGTAGAGGCCGGGCACAGTGGCTCACGCCTGTAATCCCAGCACTTTGGAAGGCTGAGGCAGGCGGATCACCTGAGGTCAGGAGTTCGAGACCAGCCTGGTCAACATGAAACCCCGTCTCTACTAAAAATACAAAAATTAGCTGGGCGTGGTGGCGTGCGCCTATAATCCCAGCTAGTCTACTCGGGAGGCTGAGGCAGGAGAATCGCTGGAACTCAGGAGGCAGAGACTGCAGTGAGCCGAGATCGCGCCACTGCACTCCAGTCTGGGTGACGGCATGACTCCATCTCCAAAAAAAAAAAAAAAAGATTTTGGAGTAGATTCATCATTAATAAGTAACAGATTTTAGGAAAATCAAAAAATGGCTAATAAAATGAACACAATGTAAAACATTTATTAAAATGTAGACTTTTAAAAATCTATAAATTGATCATCTGTTTATAAATTGGCAGATGGTTGTGTACCATCTTTTAAAATAAAGATTGAATTTCACCCAGTGTGATGGTTCCCATTGCTTATATTTCTCCTGCTGAGGCCGGACCTGATATGGCCCTGGTCTGTGTTCCCAGCCTTGTTTCCTCATTACCACTAAAATCTTTCCCCTGTATGCCCGCCCAATTTTTCTGGCTCTGAGTCCTTGTTCATACTGTTCTCTCCAATTCTACCTTCCAAAGGCCTTTCTTAACACCTTCGGATTCTTTCTTTGAGAACTTTCCAGATTCCCATGCCTTTTTGGAATCAATCTCTATCCTATTGTCATCACATTTAAGTTTCTACTTCCATCATCCTCACTCCTATCCCTTTGGTCCTGGGATGACAGGGATGCTGTGTTTTATTTACTCATCTTTGTAACTTCCACATAACCTAACCCCGGTTCTTGCTTATGGGAGATGCTGATTGTAGGGTCTGAGTTAGATACTGTTAACTAAAATGCTTGTTGATATTTTAGTTATTAATTCATATTAACTTTGGCTGAAACTTTTAAATTCTATTGTGAATAGTCAAGTAAAATTTAGATTGTTACATTCTGGGTTAGTATTAGATTGTTTTTAAGATTGTTTTAAACAAGATGTTTTTAAGATGAGTTTTAAATAGTTCTCTTAACACAAATAAAGCTTAATATGAGTATTTGAAGGAAATTATCCCAAACCATTCCAGTTCCTGGCTGTGAAAGGCTTTTCCAGGCCTAATAAGTTTTCCACTTCAGCCGTAAGTAGGTGAAATCAAATGAACAATAGAGGGAAATGTATTTATTTGCTTTATACACATGCATGTGTGTTGTGTCTACATATAAACATTGCACACGCTTAGAATGAAGTTTCTGTCATGCCCAGAAAAGGGAGAGGCATTTTTGTGGATTTTGTCTGGCTGCCCTGGGGATGTTTGAAGAACTGTGCTGTTTACTTCATACCAGGTGTGTGAGCCATACCTTTGGTAGGAGGGTATACCTCCTACACCCAAGAAATATAAGCCAGGAGAAGGTCTGTGCCAAGAGAAGGAACCCAAATGACCCACAAGAGGTGGGCCATTAATTATTGGGTCAGATGCATAAATGCACAGTAATTTATTTAAGCACCTCTTAATGGTGACCCACAAGGAAGATTGCTCGTAGTAGCGGAAAGGTTCACAATAAATAAGAGAAAAAAGCAGAATGTAGAACTGTATGATAGCAATTCTGCAAACAAGAAGCATCTTTTATAAAAGATGGAAGGAGCCCAGGCACAGTAGCTCATGCCTGTAATCCCAGCACTTTAAGAGGCTGAGGTGGAGGATCACTTGAGCTGCAGTGACCCATGATTGTGCCACCACTCCAGCCTGGGTGATAGAAGTGAGACCTTCTCTCAAAAAAAAAAAAAAAAAAAAAAAGACGGAAATTCCTCCAGAATTTTAACATGTCAACAGAGGTTTTCTGCAGCTACTTTTTTCAGCTTTATACTTCGCAGTATTTTCCAAATTTTCTCTAACAAGCAGTATTTTCCAAATTTTTTACAATAAGCACACACACACACACACGTTTGTTTGCATAAGTGCCCAACTGGTGGTGAACAACCGCTGGCTTTTAGTCTATACATATCTAGAATATTTTATAAATAGTAGTTCTTAAACCCTTGAAAGGGAGTGAATGACCAGCTGAGAAAATAAAGTCAGTGATTTCATTATTTTCCTATATTCACATCATGATTCTAGGAAAGAACTTGGGAGTGACTTCCTTCAGCTTCAGCCACTCCTGGGCCAGGCGCATGCTTAGCTCTGTGGTAAAGGTCACCAGCTTCTTCTGCAGGGTGCCTGTATCATCTGAATTGGAGGTTTGGCGAGGGTAAGAGACTGATGTAGGTTCAAGTTTTTCTTTCCTGTCCTCCACTTGAAATCTGTCTTCCCTTCCAGACTGCCTGCGCTGCTGACTTAAGGCCCCAACACCAAACACAGAAGCAACAGCCTTACACAGAGTGTTCAGCAAGCTCCAACAATTGTGTAAGGTAAAGTTTCCTTTATAGATTCCTTTTCTATATCGCTCCTAGTGGTTCTGTTTCTCTGATCGAATTCTGGCTGATAACAGTTGCTGAGACTCTGAAAGAGAAGGCAAGGAACTACTGTTTCTCATTATAAACTGTTTAGAATTATTTGGCCATCTTTTTGCTATGAATATGTAGTGCTTTGATACATTTTTTAAATCAAAAAGTAATGAAAGAGATCACATAGGGAAAGATAGATTGGATTATTTTTAAAGTTTATATACTAAATTGAAAAGCAAAGAATAAAATGGGAGAAACAGCTCCCTCATGTGGCTGTTGGCAGGAAGCTTCCATTCCTCTCTGTGGGCCTCCACAGGTTTGCTCACAGCAAATGGTCCGTGACAGAAAGACGCAAGGGCAGTTGCACCCAAGATGGAAGCCACCATCTTTTCTATAACCTAATCTGAAAGAAGGGACATACCAGCACTTCTGCCATATGCTGTTGGGTCACACAGACCAACTCTGGTACAGTGTGAACACAGGACCACACAAGGGCGTGAATTCCAAGGGCAGAGACCACTAGGGACCACCTCAGAGGCACAGAGGGACACCCTATCCAGCTGGTGGCCAATGTAAATTAACATAGCTTTTTAGAATAGCAATATGTATCTATAATCTTAAAAGTATTAAAAGTACTTCTTGATCCAGTAATTTCATTTCTAAGAATCCATGCTAAGAGGATTTAAAATGTGGACCAAAAAATGGGTATAAAAAGAAGTTGTTAACAGTATTTAAAGTTGTGAAAAACCAGAAACAATCTAAAGGTCCAACAATAGGAAAATGAATTTTGATATTTTTCTAATAGAATTTTATGCTGTCATCAGAAATACCATTTACAAATAATTTTTAATAACGCAAAAAAAAGTTTATAAAATGTTTAGTGTAAAACCTGGACACAACTACATAATGATTCTGATTTTGTAAAAAAAAAAAACAAAAACACACACATATACACATGCATACATATGCATATAAAGAAAACTGGAACAAACAAAATAACAAGCATAGTTGGAATTACAGTCATTTTAATATTCTTTATGCTTTTAAAAATTTTGAAGTTTGTATTACTAGCATCCACTACTTACGTAGTCAGGAAAAAAATACAACTTTAAAATAGATATTTAGGTCCAAAGATGGTAATCTAAATGGTGTTACAGGCTGAATGTGTGCCTGATCCCCATGCCCCAAGTTCATATGTTAAAGCCCTGGCCCCCAAGGCAATGGTATTAGGGGAGTAGGGCCTTTGGGAGGTAATCAGATTTCTACGAGGTCATGAGGGTGGAGCCCGCATAGTGGAATTAGTGTCCTTTTAGGAAGAGGAGAACAGACCAAAGCCTTCCTTTCTCTCCTCACTATGTAAGAAGACAGCCAGAAGGTGGCCACAGCCAGGAAGAGAGCTCTCACCAGAACCCAAATCTGCTAGCACCTTGCTCTTGGGTTCTCAGCATCCAGAACTGTGAGAAATGAATGTGTGTTGTTTAAACCACTCAGGCTACGGTATTTTGTTGCAGCAGCCCAAGCTGACAGAGATAGAAACAACACAAGGACCCATCAGCAGACGAATGGATGATCAAAACGTGGTGAGGTCGTGCAGTGGGATATTATTCAGCCGTAGAAGGAATGAAATTCTGATACATGCTATAATGATGAACCTTGAAAACATGTTAATGGAAATAAGCCAAACTTAAAAGGACAAATATTGTATAATTCCACTTATATGAGTTAGTTACCTAGAATAGGCAAATTATGTCATAGATACAGAACATTAGAGGTTACCAGGGTTGTGGGAAGAGGGGTATTGTGGGTACAAATTTTCGGTTTGGAGTGATTTTGAAAAAATTCTGGAAATGGGTAGTGACAGTAGTCAACATGATGAATGTACTTAATGACACTAAATTGTACACTTAAAAATGGTTAATACTGGGCTGGCGCAGTGGCTCATGGCTGTAAATCCCAGAACTTTGGGAGGCCAAGACAGGCGGATCATGAGGTCAGGAGATTGAGACCATTCTGGCTAACATGGTGAAACCCTGTCTCTACTAAAAAATAAAAACAAATAAAAAAAAAATTAGCCGGGCATGGTGGCAGGCACCTGTAGTCCCAGCTACTCGGGAGGCTGAGGCAGGAGAATGGTGTGACCTGGGAGTCGGAGCTTGCAGTGAGCTGAGATCGCGCCACTGCACTCCAGCCTGGGCAACAGAGCCAGATTCCGTCTCAAAAAAAAAAAAAAAAAGGTTGATACCTGGGTGCGGTGGCTCATGCCTGTAATTTCAGCACTTTGGGAGGCCAAGGCAGGCAGATCAGTTGAGGTCAAGAGTTAAGGACCAGCCTGGCCAACGTGGCGAAACCCCATCTCTATTAAAAATACAAAAATTAGTCGAGTGTGGTGGTGGGTGCCTGTAGTCCCAGCTGCTGGGAGGATGAGGCCTAGGAATTGCTTGAACCCAGGAGGCAGAGGTTGCAGTGAGTTGAGATTGCGCCACTGCACTCCAGCCTGGGGGACAGAGCGAGACTTAGTCTCAAAAAAAAGGTTAAAATTGTAAGTTTTGTTATGCATATTTTACCATAATCTTTAAAAAATAGATATATAGGAGATAAAGTCAACAGAATTTAATAACCAGTTGTAAATAGAGACTGAGTGAGGAGGATGAATTAAGGAAGACATTGAGTACAACTTTTTGGTAGGTGAAAAACTCTTAAAAAAATACGTGGGCAAAGATCCTACTTGATTCTTATAATTTAAAAATCTCCCAGTTAGTAAACAAGGCTAGGTGGAGATTTGCATGTGATGTGAGGTGTGTGTTCTGTTTTGTAATGTGAGGACTGTGAGCCATCTCCTGGACTTGAATATCCATTAGATAATTGAAAATACGGATTTGAGAACTCAGGAGACGTGCAATGCAGTAACAAAACTCTGCACCTAGTTGATTTCTGTCTCCTAATTTAATGCTTTTATGGGACAAACTGTTAGGCAGGTGGGCAAGATGGACAGCCATATTTTTGTGGGTTTCTGGCCTGTGGGCCAGCCTCAGTGCTCACTCTGAGGTCATGTCCAAACTTAGAACACATTCAGGCCTACCACAGTCAAGGCTCCCTTTCTCAACTCTAGTCCTCTGCACAAATATCCGAAGCCTAGAAATAATAATCATCTGTCCTTGTGTCTTGCATTATGAAAGCCTAGGAAAGGGCCTTGGGAATTAAGAAGAATGGAAAAACTGGTCTAACTGCTGCATGCTTCAGCTTGCAGGGGAATCACTGAAATGGGGACAGGCCATAAAAGGACAACCAGAAGAGTGGCTTCAGCAAAGGCATCGTTTTTCAGAGCAAGCTAGAGAATCCTGCCAGCGTCCTCAGGCAGGGCCCCTGGGCACAGAGGTTAGGCAAGGGAGTGTCCCAGCATGTTGATGCCCTGAGCATCAGAATAATGCCATAGAGGAGCTTCCAAAGAGTTCATTTCAGGTTTTGTAAGCCGAACATTTCTAGGCAAATAAAATTTGATTTTGTGAATAAAGCTTGTTTCTTCAACTCCAGTGCAGATTCTCATAGATTGATAGTGGCTTGTGATCCAGATAAAGAAAACAATTTTTCAAAGATTCATATTCTTTGTAGATGTACGGATTTAGAGACCATCTAATCTAACTCCCTCATTCTACAGATAGGAAAAATGAGGCCTAAAGAAGTTAAGAAAATACCATGGAAATGTCACTGCTGAACTGCCATACGTAGGATCCGAAAGAAATTGGGTAAATGCTACTGTGAGAAATACAGTACTAGGTCCAAAGAATCTAATACAAATTAAAAATCTAAATGTTATTTCTAAAGCATCCCTGCACATGGCTGAACTTACATAGTTTCATTTTCTTTCTTTTCTGTTGAAGAAGAGGCAATTGGCTGGGTGCAGTGGCTCATGCCTGTAATCCTGGCACTTTGAGAGGCCGAGGCGGGTGGATCACCTGAGGTCAGGAGTTTGAGACCAGCCTGGCCAACATGGTGAAACCCCATCTCTACTAAAAATACAAAAATTAGCTGGCTGTGGTGGCCGCTGCCTGTAATCCCAGCTACTCCAGAGGCTGAGGCAGGAGAATTACTTGAATCTGGGAGGTGGAGGTTGCAGTGAGCCAAGATCACGCCATTGCACTCTAGCCTGGATGACAAGAGGGAAACTCCATCTCAAAAAAAAAAAGAAAAAAAGCAATCACTAACCTGTGTTGTTTATTAAACATGACAGACTGGCATGAAGTAATTACCAAACTGTAAACAAAAAAGCTACAATCTGCCAGGCATGGTGGCTCATGCCTGTAATCCCCCACCTTGGGAGGCCAGGTTGGGGGATCACCTGAGGCCTGGAGTTCAAGACTAGCCTGGTCAACATGGTGAAACCTCGTCTCTACTAAAAATACAAAAATTAGCCCGGCGTGGTGGCACATCCCTGTAATCCCAGTTACTCAGGAGGCTGAGGCAGGAGAATCACTTGAACCTGGGCAGTGGGGAGGTTGCAGTGAGCCAAGATCGCACCGTTGTACTCCAGTCTGGGCCGACAGAGTGAGACTCGGTCTCAAAAAAAAGAAAAAAGAAAAGCTACAACCTTAATCTCAACTTCTCATAACATCATCTCTACTTCTGATTAGAAGAGTGGAAGTGGGGAGGTTTATTACAAAAAGACTGTTATACCTTACACACTTCTCCCCATGAATAGTGAAGGTGTGAGTGAAAAAGACAGCAATTTTATTTTTTTTTTGAAACAGGTTCTTGCACTGTCACCCGGGCTGGAGTGCACTGTTGTGATCACTGCTCACTGCAGCCTCCACCTCCCAGGCTCAAGTGATCCTCCTACCTCAGCCTCCTGAGTAGCTGGGACCACAGTTGTGCACTACCATGCCCAGCTATTTTTTTTTAAGAGATGGGGTCTCACTATATTGCTTAGGCTAGTTCTCAAACTCCTGGCCTCAAGCAGTCCTCCGACCTTGGCCTCCCAAAGGGTTGTGATTACAGGCATAAGCCACCACACCCAGCCAGCAGTTTTAGAATAAAGGGTGAAGGTGCTGTTGGGGAAATATAATTTAAAAAACAAAATCTTCTCTCAACCCAGAAATCCTCTCCATGAAGGCAGTAGAGAAAGATAAGCTTTATTATTGAATAAAAATTAAATGAGAATGTGATGCACATCACAGGCACTTTGCTAAGAGATCACAAAGACAGAAGGAAATTTCACCATTTTGTACAGCCAAGCAGGTACAGCCCATTACATGTATGTTTTCGAGATAAATAGTCCTCAACTAAGAGAACTTGACAGCACCACTGGTCACACAGTTCATTCTAACTTTACCTGATAATTGATGTGACCACTTGTGTTATCTAAGATATCAACTTTTCGGGGGTGGGGGAGTGTGGAAACAGGAGTTACTTTTATAGCTTGGTGCAAGGTACTCATTAAGATTAGGCTGTTACCCTCCCACAGAAACTGGAAGATAGGTATGCTATCTGGTAATGTTTACATTTCCCAGATCCTTGAGAAAGACATTCCTAGGTCATAAAGCTGACAAAAGGCTGATTCAGTTTTTAAATATATATATCTGTATATGTATTTCAGGCTGGGCATGATGGCTCATGCTTTTAATCCCAGCACTTTGGGAGGCCAAGGCAGGTGGATCACCTGAGGTCAGGAGTTCGAAACCAGCCTGGCCAACATGATGAAACCCATTTCTACTAAAAATACAAAAAAATTAGCCAGGCATGGTGACACATGCCTGTAATCCTAGCTACCAGGGAGGTTGAGGCAGGAGAATCACTTGAACCCGGAGGCGGAGGTTGAGCCGAGATTGCACCATTGCACTCCAGCCTGGAAACAAGAACAAAACTCCGTCTCAAAATAAAAAAAAAATTATATACATATATATATTTCAAAGAGACTGAGAAAGCACATACAAGTTTTCTCAAGTAATAACCTGACATGGAGGGGAGGAAAATTTCTTGCCTCATTTTCAACAGGTGGAATTAAACTTATTAAATTCATATTTATCTTTACAGTGCCCATCCTAAATTTGGAAGAGGAAGGATGTGGGCCAACTTTTGGCTTAGGCCCTCATGTCAGGGCTTCTCTTAGTACATATGGTACCTTTCTGAGATTTTCAAACTGGCAGCCACTTTGGACTGATCAAGTCGCAAAGCTGAATTAATTGCTTACTATTGTAAGGGAGAGCTATGCCAGTCAGGCCCAGGCTCCCTTAGGAGAGCAGACTGCTGATCTTCTGTGGGGTTTTGGGGAAGCTGGAAGTTTAAGGACAGGAAGACTTTGAAAAGTATTAATAGGATGATGTCATCTGGGGTGGGGATTGATTTGGGCTGTAATAGAAGCCCTACTTGGAGAAGTGAACAAAGGGTTTAATCTGCTTCAGGCAGAAAAACACCTAGGAATAGGACATCCAGGGCAGGCATTTCAGCTCACTGATGCCTTCGAGGAACCAGGGCCCTTCTGTTTTCTTGCTCTACCATTAGTGGCCCATGCATTTGCACCCTCATGGTTGTGTTACTTGGGGGTCCTTGCTCACAGAGCTCCCAAGATGGTGGCAAGCCTCGTGTTCTCTGACCTGGGGTTCTTGGCCTTATGGATTCAAGGAATGGAACCTTGGGCCATGCGGTGAGTGTTATAGCTCTATTAGAAGCTGTGGGTCACAGAAGAGAACCATGGAACCCAGTGACTAGTGTTCAGCTCAATTAGGATGAACCCAGGCACTTAGCCATGCAGGAACAATGGCAAGCCTTTAGCCCGATTGGGAGCGGCAATGGGTGCCTCGCTGGATCAGGAGCACAGCGGACACCCTGCATGATCCAGAGGGATGGGAGTCAGCGGCGGGTCTGCGGTGGCGGCAAACAGCAGTGGTGGATGGCGAGCGAAAGCTCAGCTCAAGCCGTAAGAAACATGGACCAGAAGAGTGCAGTTGCAAGATTTAATAGAGTGAAATAGCATGAAAACAGAGCTCCCATACAAAGGGAGGGGACCCAAAGGGGGTTGCCGTTGCCGGCTCGAAGACTTGGGTTTATATCCCGATCATTGTCCCTCCTGCTGTGCTCTCAGGCAATAGATGATTGGCTATTTCTTTACCTCCTGTCTTTGCCTAATTAGCATTTTAGTGAGCTCTCTGATTGGTCAGGTGTGAGCTAAGTTGCAAGCCCCGTGTTTAAAGGTGGATGTGGTCACCTTCCCAGCTAGGCTTAGGGATTCTTAGTCAGCCTAGGAAATCCAGCTAGTCCTGTCTCTCAGTCCCCCATCTCAACAGGAAAACCTAAGTGCTGTTGGGGAGGTTGGCCGACGACCGCTCTAACTGCTTCCTGCTGAATTGGGGCGTAGTAGAGGTTGTGCAGCTGAGATTTCCTCAGGAGGGGTGCCTTTGATGTCATTAACATCAGATCGTGGGCTAGCAGGCCGGTCCAGGGGTCTGCGGTAGATCTTAGTCTTGGACTGCATCTTGGGCTCCATTTGTAGTTTTACAGCTTCGATTCTGGAAGAGACAAAGTTAACAAGGAGGTTAAAGATACAGGGTCCAAAGAGGAGTAGCAATATTATAGCTGCTAGAGGTCCTAAGAAGGGGAGAATCCAGGGCATCCATTGGCTGAGGAGGCCCCAGGGTCCAGTGTTTCGAAGCTCCTCTGCTCTACGTTGTATTCGATCTCGAATTTCTTTAACTTTCTCAGTGACGATTCCGGATTGATTAACATAATAACAGCATTCTTCCCCTAAAAATAAACAGGTTCCCCCTCTTTCAGCGGTTAGCAAGTCTAAAGCTCTTCGATTTTGAAGGACTACTGCTGCTAGGGAGTTAAGTTGATCTTGCAAGGTGACCAGGGAGTCGGCGACCCGTTCCATGTCCCCATTTAGTTCTTGAGATAGTTTGTAGTAGAACTGAGTAGAGGTTGTGATACCGCCAATGCCAGTACCTAGTGCACCTAGCACTCCTGCTCCTATAACAAAAGGAAGAATGGGTACTCTTTTGTTGCGGGGCTTAGATATGACATAACTGTATAAATCTTGTTCAGTGTAGATGGTCATAGGGGGCACTAAGAATGAGAGGAAGCACATAGATTCTGAAGAGCCATTCAAACAACGATAGGCTGAGGTACCACAGACAAAAAATATTCCTGAGGGTAGGCAGACTATTTGTGTGGGAGGAGTTACCCACCTGATGCATTGGGAGTTGGTTGTGTATGTAGTATTGCTAAATTTTACACAGGTGAGGTTTGAGGTATGGGTTATTTCCAGATTGGAAACAAGAGGTCCTACTAAAACGGAAGTGGTGTTTATTTCTGTGCTGAAGTTGTTCCATTGTTCAGGTACAGGGATTGAAACATATGGCCTGAAGTTCAGGGGGAGGCATATCCAACAGTTAGTAGGGTTTTGGGCCGAGACCTCATGGAGCCCAGTGAGGGTGGTATTAAATAGGCTTACCAGGCGAGTATGGGTACGGAGGGTTTCATGTAGTTTTGAGAGATCTAGTCCTTTGTAGGGGCTAGAGGTGCCATGTACCCGGGTGAGTTGGGAGATTACTTCTTTTACATGTTTTTCTCTTGCCTGATCTTGAACTCCACCCCCATCAGACATACCAGTTTGGGTGAAGTAAGTCCAACAGACAGTGACTCCAAGTCCTCCAGGACAACTAGGATTAATCATTTTTCCTGTCCAATAATGAGTATTTGCATGCATGCAAAGAGTGGCAGAGTGATAGCAGTTGCGGGGCATATGGGTGTGGGCAGTGAAGGTGGGGGTTCCCTTAGAAAGACTCCTATACGATGGGGCATCAATATTTCCGGGACGCTGCATTCTCCATAGAAACTCTTGGTAAGGGGAGCTACTGGTCATACAGCGGCATGGAGGGGGTGCAGTGAGAGTGAAAGAGGGTAAAAGAACAGTAAAGAGAAAAATATGATAAGGGAGGGCCATGGGGATTTATGATTTTAGTTACTTTCCTCCTGGTTGTTGTTTGAAGAGCAGGCGCAAATCCTCTAGAGGTTCACAGGAATAGCTAGCGTTGTCTCCTGGATTTTCAGGTTCCTTTGGCAGTATCCAGGATTTGACTCAAGTGTGATGTATCCAAGACTCCACTCCAGCCACTTTAACCGCAGTTGGGGTAGATAAAATGACTGGGTAGGGTCCTTCCCAGGATGTATCTAGGGATGGGGAATTAGAGGGAAGGGACTTGACTAATACCATGTCACAAGGGTGGAATAGTTCTTTTCCCTCTTCTCAGGGATAGGTTCCTTGTAATGTTTTAAGAACTTGTTGATATTTGGCTAAGGAGGTGATGTCTGCAACTAAGTTGGCTGTCTTGGGTCAAGCACAAGGTCATTGGTTATGAAGGGCCTTCCATACAGCATTTCGTATGGGCTAAGTCCTGCTTTTTGGGGAAAGTTGCAGATTCTTTTTAAGGCTATAGGCAACAGAGCAGGCCATGTGAGGTGGGTTTCCTGGGTTTGCTTTTTTAGATGTCCTTTGAGTGTTTCATTCATTTTCTCGACCTTCCCTGAGGACTGTGGCCTTCAGGCGCAGTGTAAGTGATATCGTATACCTAACGCCTGGGATACTCCCTGGGTTACTGTGGCCTGGAAAGCAGGGCTATTGTCACTCTGTAAGCCTCGGGGAAGTCCGAATCTGGGAATTATTTCATGAACTAGTGCCTTTATTACCTCTTGGGCCTTTTCTGTCCTACAGGGGAAGGCCTCTGCCCAACCCGTGAAAGTATCTACCCAGACTAGTAGATACTGAAATCCCTGAGGTTTGGGCTTGTGGGTAAAATCAGTTGCCAGTCTTCTCCAGGGTAATGGCCTGTTCTTTGTTCTCCTGAAGGAGCTTGGCGATAAGGCAGGGGATTATTTCTCTGGCACACTTCACAGGCCCTGACTATCTGCTTGATAGTTTTGAAAAGGCCTGGTCCAGTAAATAATGATTTGGCCATCTGATGGGTGCTATCGATGCCTAAGTGAAAGGTTTGATGAAGGGTTTTAAGTAATTTCCATTGGATAGTTGCAGGCAAAAGTATTTTCCCTTCTTCAGTGGCTAGCCGTCCCGAGGGGAGAAAACTGTCCTCGTGAGGTTCCCCATTCTGTTTCTCCTGCTGAGTACTGGGGCTTGGTTTCCCGGAGGGGATTACCCTATACTAGGGGTTGTTTTATAAGCATTTCTAATGGAGGGTCCTGCCTTGCAGCTCTTTTGGCTTCAATATCTGCTTGGCAGTTCTCTTCTATTTCCCTTTCCTTTCCTTTCTGATGACCCCGGCAGTGTAAGACTGCCACCTCTTTAGGTTTCTGTACAGCCAATAATAATTTCCTAATGGCTTCCTGATGTTTGATAGGTGTTCTCTCAGAAGTTAGGAATTCCCTTTCTTTCCATATTGCTGCATGGGCATGGAGGACTAGGTAAGCATATTTAGAGTCTGTATATATATTTGCCCTTTTTTCTTCTCCTAATTCTAGTGCCCAAGTGAGGGCTATTAGTTCTGCTAGCTGAGCACTAGTTCCTGGAGTGAGGGGATTACTTTCAAGTATTCCATTATCACTGACCACTGCATACCCCACTTTTCGAAGTCCTTTTTCTACAAAGGAACTTCCATCAGTATACAAGTTGAGGTCGGGATCAGTCAAAGGAACCTCTAAAAGGTCCCCTCGAGTGGCATAGGTTTGAGAAATTACTTGTTGACAGTTATGTTTTATCTTTTCTTCATTGTCTGGAAGAAATGTGGCTGGGTTAAGAGTTGCACAAGTGCACAGTCGCAGCACTGGCCCTTCAAGTAATAGAGCCTGACATTTAAGTAAACAGTTGTCTGACAGCCACAAGTCTCCTTTAGCAGTGAGTATGCCATTCACATCATGAGATGTCCACACAGTAAGATCTCTTCCCTGTATTATTTTAACTGCTTCAGATACTAAGACTGCTACTGCCACCACTACCCGTAAACAATGAGGTCAACCCTTTGCCACTACATCAATTTCCTTAGTCAGGTATGCCACAGGTTGCAAGCTCATCCCTCGGATCTGTGTAAGGACTCCTAGAGCTATTCCTGTTTTTTCTGTGACATATGAAGAAAAGTCTTGCCCTGTTGGCAAACTTAACACTGGGGCTTGGGTTAGGGCCTGGAAAGCCACTTCTACTTCAGTTGTCCATCTTACTAAATGGGTATTGGCTTTCTGAGTTTCCTTAATTAGTGTATTTAATGACCTGGCTATTTCGCCATACCTGGGAATCCATTTTCGGCAGAAACCTATTACGCCAAGGAATCCCCTTAGTTGCTTTAGGGTTTTGGGATGAGGATAAGCCAGTATAGGCTGGATGTGTTCCTCACTGAGGGCCCTGGTGCCTTTGGATAATTTTAGCCCTAAGTAACCTGCTGTGAGCAGAGTTGAGCCTTTGGTTTGGAAACCATGTAGCCACAGGTAGCGAGGAAATTGAAGAGCGCTTGGGTGGCTTGATGGCACAAGGTTTCTGAATGGGCGGCCAAAAGTAAATCATCCACCTACCGAAGGACAAGTGTCCAGGTATGAGGATTGGCTCAAGTCTTGGGCTAATGCCTGGCCAAATAGATGGGGACTATCCCTGAACCCTTGGGGTAAAATAGTCCAGGTGAGTTGAGATGTTGGGTTTGAAGTATCTTCAAAGGCAAACAAGAATTGAGAGTCAGGATGTACAGGGATGCAGAAGAAGGCATCCTGAAGGTCCAGGACTGTAAACCACTCTGCTTCCTCTGGTATTTGGGAAAGCAGAGTATAAGGGCTAGGTACAGCTGGCTATAGAGGAACAACAGCCTCATTGATAATCCTGAGATCTTGCACTAACCTCCACTGTCTGTTGGGTTTCTGTACTCCTAAAATTGGAGTACTGCAGGGGTTACTGCATGGTTTTACTAGGCCTTGGGCTTTTAGGTCCTTAACAATCTTTTGGAGTCCTTGTTGGGCCTTGGGTCTGAGGGGGTACTGCCTTTGGTAGGGAAAGGAGGTGGAATCCTTTAGTTTAACTTGAACAGGACGGGCATTCTTTGCTCGTCCATATTGTCCTTCTGTTGCCCAGACTTCAGGATTAATTCCTTCCTCAAGCAGGGGACAACAAACGGGTGTTCCTTCTCCTATGTTCAGGTGTATAATGGCCCCTGCTTTTGCTAGAATGTCTCTCCCTAACAAGGTAGTGGGGCTTTCAAGCATAATTAGAAAAGCATGTGAAAAGAATAAAGCTCCCCAGTCATAACTTAGTGGCTGGGAGAAGTATCTAGTGACTGCCCGTCTTAGGACCCCCTCAGATAGTGACAGATCTGGAGGACAGTTGTCCGGGACAGAAGAGTAAGACTAAGAAGACCGCACCAGTGTCCAGGAGACAACCTCCTGGCCCTCAATGGTCAAGCATACCCAGGGCTCTGTGAGGGTGATGGCATGGGATGGCGCTTGCCCCAGGCACCCTCAGTCCTGCTGCTGGATCATCTGGTTAGTGGCTTCTGACTCAGAGGACCTTTGTCCCCTGGGGCAGTGGGCCTTCCAGTGATTCCCTTGAAATAAGGGGCATGGACGAGGGGGCGGCTTACTTCTACTTGGACAATCTTTTTTAAAGTGTCCTTGTAGACCGCACTGGAAGCAAGCCCTATTAGGCATTCAATTTGCCCAGCTTTTCCCTTTTCCAGAGCCTCCAAAGTCCACTTGCCTGAGGGTCATGACTAAAGCGGTGGCCTTTTTTTTAATCCCGTTTGTCCTGTTCCGCCTGCTCCTCCTGATCTCTATTATAAAAAACCGAGGTTGCCAAGTTCAATAGGGTTTCTAAGTTTTGCTCCGGGCCTACGGCAGACTTTTGAAGTTTTTTTCTAATGTCTGCAGCTGACTGAGTGATAAACTTACGCTTTAAGATTAGTTGGCCTTCAGAAGAGTCAGGTGACAGAGAGGCACGCTTCCTCAATGCCTCCCTTAGTCTCTCCAGAAAGGCAGTAGGATTTTCTTCCCTTCCCTGTGTTATGGTGGACATCATTGAGTAATTCATAGACTTCTTCCTAGTTTTCCTTAGTCCTTCTAGCACACAAGTTAGCAAATGTCTGCAGCACCAATCTCCATGTTCTGATTCTGTGTCCCAATGAGGGTCTAGACTGGGAACTGCCTGCTGGCCTGTGGGGAATCATTCTCTTTCCTCTGTTGTCATCCTATCATTGACCTGACTGAGATACCAGAGATCGCCAAACTCTCAGGCTGCAGTTATGGTGGCACTTCTCTCATTTGGGGTTAGTGTCTGATTTAGCAGTGACATTATATCTCTCCATGTCAGATCAAAGAATTGTCCTAACCCTTGTAAAACATCAATATAGCCATCAGGGTTATCTGAGAATTTACCTAAGTCTGTTTTTATTTGCTTTAAGTCTGGGAGAGAAAAAGGCACATGCACTCTGGCTGGGCCGAATTCTCTTCCTCCCACTGCTTGGAGGGGTCATAATTGGGGAATATTGGCACTCTTTGGTTCACTGTTTACCCTTTTGTCTATCTCCTTTTGGACCATTTGGGTTGAAGGGGGGTCCTTATTAGTTGGGGAAGGAGTCGGGGATGCTGGGATAGGGAGGTAGACTCTGAAGGCTTCCTGTAGGGCATAAATCACACTTTTTACATAATTGTGAGTTGTCTCTTAATGAAAAGAAAGTTTGTACTTATGGCACTTCACTCCATTTGCCTTTTCTACAAAAGAGGTCTAGCTGTAAGATGGTGTTATAATTTATACTTCCCTCAGGAGTGCCAGGCGGCACTGCAGAAGAATATAAGTCGTTTCTTTCTTAGTGTCTGAGGGTCAAATTGGTCCCAATTCTCCAGAATACGTCTTAGGGGCGTTTTTGTCTTGCGGGGAACGTTTCCCATCTGAAAAAAGAACATAGGGATGCCAGCAACCCTAGTCATTTTCCGATGAGCTTTAGTCCTGGAGTGTCCTCTATGGTCCTAATGCTTATTCTTTCCAGGGTGCATCACCACCCATGGACCTCTGCTTATCGAATTAGTTATGCTCACTGATGTTGCAGTCCTGCACCTGTTTTCCTGCCTCTCTTGACCACAAAGAAAGGGGTCCAGGCTGCTGGATTCTAGTGGTCCTTTACCAGCGTGCCCAACATTGCCTTTGTGCTCAGGGGTGAGTTCCTTTCCAGGGTGCGTAACCACCCATGGACCTCTGTTTATCGGATTAGTTATGCTTACCGATGTAGCAGTCCTGCACCCCTTTTCCCGCCTTTCTTGACCACAAAGAAAGGGGTCTGGGCTGCTGGATTCTAGTGGTCCTTTACCAGCATGCCCAACATTGCCTTTGCGCTCAGGGGTGAGTCCTAGAGCTGGGCTGGGTTCCTATTTTATAACAACCCAGCTGCCCCATCAAGATGCATTCCCATAAACAAGTTCTTATGCAAATGCATTACAGAGAGGGTGTAGCTAACCTTTTGAATCAGGATTGAGATAGTCTTTTGATTCTGTAAGTACTTTAAGGCTTGGCTGAGTGCAAACAGCTCACACGTTTGAGGAGACCAGTTATTAGGCAATTTTTCTAACTCTGCTTCCACAAGAGTCCCCGTATCAATTACTGAATACCCATTGTGGTTTTTTTCCTCAATCACCTGGGAGGAACCATCTATCGTCCTGTCCTGAAGGGAGTTCCGCCTAGGTCTGGTCGGACCTTTGTATGGTAATTAAGATTTAAATCCCGTTAGGAAATCTGCTGGGTTAAGGGAATTATCAGTGGTTGGAGTTACATTACCTTTTTCTAACAGAATAGCCCCATACTTTAAGATTTTTGAGTTAGTAAGCTACCTTTTTGCTTTTTTTATTAGAATAATTCTGAACAGGTGAGGTGTGCTCACAATGAGGTTTCCTCTAAAAGTTACTTTTCTACTTTTAGCAAAGCAGTTGCGCTACCGACTGAATGCATTTGGTCCATCTGCGGGTTACTGGGTTAAGGATTTTTGATAGGGAAGCTACGGGTTGTCAATGGCCTCAGTGCTTTCGGCCTATGCTCTTATTTACACTGACCACAAAGTGGATTGGAGTGCTATAGGGTCACAGAGAAGACCTTCAATTATCAAGTACAGGTTTTAAATTTACCCTGGCTTTTAAAGGAATAGGGCACACTGTTTTTTACTATTTCTTTCTCTTTCTTTCTCTCTTTGACTCTCTCTCTCTCCTCTTTGTCTCTCTCTCTCTTCTGTCTCTCTCACTGTCTCTCTCTCCTCTCTGTCTCTCTCTCTTTCTCCTCCATTTCTCTCTCTCTCCTCTGTCTCTCTTTTCCCTCAGCCATTTACAAACTTGGGGCCCTGGCAAGGGTGGTGGGGAGTGGGTCCTACATAACTGCCCATGTCAAGAGCTGTATGCCTAAATTGGGAGGGACACCAGGGATAAGACTCCCTGGGTTATAGCCTAGGTGCCTAAGGACGCAGCGCAGAGCTTCCTTAGATCCCTTTGGAGATACAACTTGCTAGAGGAAATGGAAGTCTGAACCAATAGTACCTAGGAGGCAGGGATCAGAGGAAGTATATTCAGAGGTAAGGAGAATTTTGGGGCTACACTTTGAAGAAAGTTGTGGTTGGGACCCAGGAGGTATGGGTCAGAAGGAAAGATAGGGGTGCATGCATGGGCGACTGTTGAGACTTCTGGCTACACCATGATCTCAACCGGCTACTGCCGGGAGTTCAGGACGACAGCTTTCTGCCTCTAGTCGGCCCTCGGCTTCCCCAAGAAAACTGAAAGTGGAAGCTGGCTTGAGGCAAACCAAGTCCCCAACCCAGAAGGGTTGGGGGTTGTTAGAAAGCCCTTCCCCAGATAGCCTCACACCTGAGTCTTAAGTCCGGTGGCCACACTAATCGTTTTTAACTGGCCGACAAGTGCCCGGTATTTTCCTCCAATTCTAAGGAAGGATAGGACAGAATAGCAAGTGAAAGTGGTCCAATATTACTCACCACTTTGGATGTCCGTTCGTGGTTGCCAAAATGTTACCGGGGGGTCCTTGCTCACAGAGCTCCCAAGATGGTGGTGAACCACTTCCAAGATGGTAGCAGGCCGCTTCCAAGATGGTGGCAAGCCTCGTATTCTCTGACCTGGAGTTCTTGGCCTCACGGATTCCAAGGAATGGAATCTTGGGCCATGTGGTAAGTGTTATAGTTCTATTAGAAGCCGTGGGTCACAGAAGAGAACCATGGAACCCAGTGACTAGTGTTCAGCTCAATTAGAACAAACCCAGGCACTTAGCCGTGCAGGAACAATGGCAAGCCTTTAGCCCAATTGGGAGCGGCAATGGGCGCCTCGCTGGATCAGGAGCACAGCGGACACCCTGCAGGATCCAGAGGGATGGGAGTCAGCGGCAGGTCTGCGGTGGTGGCAAACAGCAGTGGTGGACGGTGAGCAAAAGCTCAGCTCGAGCCGTAAGAAACATGGACCAGAAGAGTGCAGTTGCAAGATTTAATAGAGTGAAATAGCATGAAAACAGCTCCCATACAAAGGGAAGGGACCCAAAGGGGGGCTGCTGTTGCCAGCTCGAATGCCTGGGTTTATATCCCGATTGTTGTCCCTCCTGCTGTGCTCTCAGGCAATAGATGATTGGCTATTTCTTTACCTCCTGTCTTTGCCTAATTAGCATTTTAGTGAGCTCTCTGATTGGTCAGGTGTGAGCTAAGTTGCAAGCCCCGTGTTTAAAGGTGGACGTGGTCACCTTCCCAGCTAGGCTTAGGGATTCTTAGTCGGCCTAGGAAATCCAGCTAGTCCTGTCTCTCAGTTGCAAGATAATTGCTGTATCTCCAGGCGTTTTGCCCTCATCCCAGAAAGGAAGCCCGCCCCAGGGACTTCTGTCTATGTTCACTGTCCAGAACTATGTCACATAGCCACAAATGACTGCAGTGAAGATCATGTGACTCAGTAATTCACTCTCCAGAGAGTATAGGAAGGCAAGAGAGGTGGTGTTGGAATGGATGTTGAATGAATTCATCTATAGGATATACCACAACGTCGGGAATAAGTGGCAGATGTTACAATCGAAATGGGCTGATTATAAGTGGGGATAAGTGGCTCGTGGGGTGGCAGAGGTCAGGCAGTTGCAATATGAGAGGCTAGGTGGATGCAGCTACCATAATCAGCAGTAAAGCCAGCATGTTAATTGCAGTGGTCTGACCTGCAGGGATCTTTGGTGCTGCCTAATTATGGTAATACATAAGTTATTAAGAAATAGTTTTTTGGCAGCTAGAAAGAGTAAAGGTTTTTGGAAATTTTCTTGTAATAAGAAGCAACCCTCACCCATTCCAAACCATTCCTTTTCTAACAGAAAAGACAGCTTAAAGAGCCAGGCCAGCAAACTTTGATATGCAAATGCAGGCTATTAAAAACTAGGTCCACCCAACATGGCCACCATGGCGATTCCCACCCTCTTCTTGTCAGCACATGTACCAAGTGTCATGGCCCCCTCCAGATAATTCATGTGTTTTCAGAACATCATGGCAACCCACATTTGCATATTAAAGGGCTGAGGTGGGAGGGCCAGGTTTTTTGCGGGGTACATGAATGATACACCTGGTCAACCCAATCCCCTGGGCCCTGTGCAAATCAGACACCGCCTCCTCCAGCCTCCCAGTATAATCAACCACTTTTCCACTGCACATGGGGTTTCCTTCTCTCGGCTTGGAGCCCCCTCCCTCTGTGTCTGTACAGGGGAGCCTCTTCCTTCTTTTTTGCGTATTAAACTCTCTGCTCCTTAAAACCACTCCATGTGTGTCCGTGTTGTTGTCACCCCCGTCCCTGTGAAGAGAGTCCACCAAACAGGCTTTGTGTGAGCAACAAGGCTGTTTATTTCACCTGGGTGCAGGCGGGCTGAGTCCAAAAAAGGAGTCAGCTAAGGGAGATGGGGTGGGGCCATTTTATAGGATTTGGGTGGGTAGTGGAGGGGCAGGGGTCACAAGGTGCTCAGTGGGGGAGGTTTTGAGCCAGGAGAAGGAATTTCCCAAGGTTAATTGCTCAGTTAAGGTGGGGCAGGAACAAATCACAGTGGTGGAATGTCATCGGTTAAGGCAGGAACAGGCCATTTTCACTTCTTTTGTGATTCTTCAGTTACTTCAGGCCATCTGGATGTATATGTGCAGGTCACAGGGGATATGATGGCTTGGGCTCAGAGGCCTGACATTGCTGTCTTCTTATATTAATAAGAAAAATAATGTAAAATAGTGTTGAAGTGTTGGGGCAGCAAAAATTTTGGGGGTGGTATGGAGAGATAATGGGCTATGTTTCTCAGGGCTGCTTCGAGAGGGATTATGGGCGGCATGGGAACCTAGAGTGGGAGAGATTAAGCTGAAGGAAGATTTTGTGGTAAGGGGCGATATTGTGGGGTTGTTAGAAGGAGCATTTATTGTATAGAACGATTGGTGATGGCCTGGATGCGGTTTTGTATGAATTGAAAAACTAAACGGAAGACACAAGGTCCGAATAAGAGAAGGAGAAAAACAGATATTAAAGGACTAAGATTTGGGAGGACCTAAGACATCCAATTAGAGAGTGCCCAAGGGGGTTCAGCATAATTACTAGCTTGGTTGCGAGTTTTTGGGCTCTATCCTCCTTTTTAAGTTGGAGGCTGAGTTTGGTGGGGTGTGTTTTTAAAAGACCATTAGTCCATTCTACCTTTCCTGAAGATTGAGGACAGTAAGGGGTACGAAGGTTCCACTGAATACCAAGAGCCTGAAAAACTGCTCAGGTGATTTGACTAATAAAGGCTGCTCCGTTATTGGACTGTATAGAGGTGGGAAGGCCAACCCAAGGAATTATGTCTGACAGAAGGGAAGAAATGACTGCAGTGGCCTTCTCAGACCCTGTGGGAAAGGCCTCTACCCATCCAGTGACAGTGTCTACCCAGACCAAGAGGTATTTTAGTTTCCTGACTCAGGGCATGTGAGTAAAGTCAATTTGCCAGTCCTGGGCAGGGGCAAATCCCCGAGCTTGATGTGTAGGGAGGGGAGGGGGCCTGAACAATCCCTGAGGGGTAGTAGAATAGCAGATGGAACACTGAGAAGTGATTTCCTTGAGGATATGTTTCCACGATGGAAGGAAATGAGAGGTTCTAAGAGGTGGACTAGTGGCTTGTAACCTACATGGAAGAGGTTATGAAATGATGACAGAATAGAATGGGCCTGTGAGGCTGGAAGGAGATATTTTCCTTGGTCTAAGAACCATTTGCCTTGTGTGAGAAGAGATTGATAGGCGGAAGTTTCAATGGGGGAGTAGGTGGGAATGACTGATGGGAAGGAGAAAAACTGGCCATGAGGGACAGAAGTTGGAACGCTAGGTGCTTCTTTAGCTACCTTATCAGCATAAGCATTTCCTAGAGTAATGGGATCTGACGCCTTTTGGTGGCCCTTGCAGTGTGTGACTCCAGCTTCCTTTGGAAGTAAAGCAGCCTTGAGAAGAGTTTTTATTAAAGAGGCATTAATGATGGAGGACCCTTGCGTAGTGAGGAAACCTCTTTCAGCCCATATAACAGCATGGTGGTGCAAGATATGGAAGGCATATTTAGAGTCAGTATAAATATTGACGTGTAGTCCCTTTGCAAGAGTGAAGGCCCGAGTTAAGGCAATCAGTTCGGCTTGCTGAGAGGTAGTGGAGGGGGGCAGAGCAGTAGCCTCAATGATGGATGTGGAAGATTCTATAGCATAGCCTGCCTTTGCTGGTGAGTGGCGATCAGGCCTGGTGGAACTGCCGTCAGTAAACCAAATGTGATCAACATGAGGAACAGAAAAGAAGGAAATATGGGGAAATGGGGTGAATGTCAGGTAGATCAGAGACATACAATCATCAGGGTCAGGTGTGGTATCCAGAATAATGTGGGAGGCCAGATTGAAGTCTGGGCCAGGAAGAATGGTAATTGTGGGAGACTCAACAAAGAGTGAATACAGCTGAAGGAGCCGGGGAGCAGAAAGTATATGCGTCAGGTGTGAGAAAGAAAATAGATTTTGGAAGTTGTGAGAGCTGTAGAGAGTGAGTTGAGCATAGTTTGTGATTTTGAGGGCCTCTAAAAGTATTAGGGCAGCGGAAGCTACCGCATGGAGACATGATGGCGAGCCTAAAACAGTAAGGTCAAGTTGTTTGGACAAAAAGGCTACAGGGCATGGTCCCGGTCCTTGTGTAAGAATTCCGACTGCACAGCCCTGCACTTCGGCTGTGTGTAATGAAAAGGGTTGGGATGAGACAGGGAGAGCTAGTGTGGGAGCAGTCTCTAAAGCTGTCTTCAAGGAATGGAAAGAGGAGTGGGGAAAGGATTTAGAATCTATGGGGTCAGCTAGGTTTCCTTTTGTGAGTTTATATAATGATTTTGTTAGGATGGCAAAACCAGGTATCCAAAGGCAAAAGTATCCAACCATGCCTAGGAGGGAAAGGAGTTGTTGTTTTGTAGAAGAGGTTGGGATTTGAGAGATCAGTTGGAGACGCAATTGGCAGGGAGAGCACATGTGTTTTCATGAAGAATTATGCCGAGGTATGTAACAGATGGAGAAGAAATTTGAGCTTTGGAGGGGGATACCCGATATCCTTTGGAGAACAAATGTTGAAGGAGCAGGAGGGTGTCTTGTTGAGAAGATTTAAAGGAGGGGCTACAAAGTAGAAGGTCATCAATATATTGAATAAGGTGAGAAGCAGAGAGGTGGAAAGAAAGTAAATCATGAGAAAGAGCTTGGCTGAAGTAATGAGGGCTGTCCCTGAAGCCTTGCGGCAGTACAGCCCAGGTAAGCTGCTGGGACTGATGGGTGTCAGGGTCAGTCCAGGTAAAAGCAAAGAGAGGCTGGGATGAGGGGTGCAGGGGAATAGTGAAAAAAGCATCTTTAAGATCAAGAACGGAATAGTGAGTTGTGGGGGAAGGCATTGAGGACAAAAGAGTGTACGAGTTGGGTGCTACAGGGTGGATAGGCAAAACAATTTGGTTGATAAGGTGCAGATTCTGAACTAACCTGTAAGACTTATCTGGTTTTTAGACAGGTAAAATGGGGGAATTGTATGGAGAGTTTATAGGTTTTAGAAGCCCGTGCTGTAGCAGGCAAGTGATAACAGGCTTCAATCCCTTTAAAGCCTGTTGTGGTATGGGATACTGGCATTGAGCAGGGTAAGGGTGATTAGGTTTTAATGGGATAGTAATGGGCGTGTGATCGGTTGCCAGGGAGGGAGTAGAGGTGTCCCATACTTGTGGGTTAAGGTGGGGGGATATGAGAGGAAGATATGAAGGAGGCTTTGGGTTGGGAAGAAGGGCGGCAAGGAGATGTGGCTGTAGCCCAGGAATAGTCGGGGAAGCAGATAATTTGGTTAAAATGTCTCGGCCTAATAAGGGAACTGGGCAGGTGAGGATAACTGAAAAAGAGTGCATAAAAGAATGTTGTCCAAGTTGGCACCAGAGTGGGGGAGTTTTAAGGGGTTTTGAAGCTTGGCCGTCAATACCCACAACAGTTATGGGGGAAAGGGAAACAGGCCCTTGAAAAGAAGGTGATGTGGAGTGGGTAGCCCCTGTATCGATTAAACAGGGGATGGACTTAGCCTCCACTGTGAGAGTTACCTGAAGCTCAGTATCCGTGATGGTCCAGGGGACTTCTGAAGTGATCGGGCAGTGTCAGTCTTCAGCTGCTAAGCCGAGAAGATCTGGGAAGGAGTCAGTCAGAGAGCCTTGGGCCAGAGTTCCAGGGGCTCTGGGATTGGCTGCCGGGTGAGTTGGACAGTCCGATTTCCAGTGGGGTCCTGCACAAATGGGACGTGGCTTAGGAGGAATCCTGGGCTGCAGGCATTCCTTGGCCCAATGGTCAGATTTCCGGCACTTGAAGCAAGATCCTGGGGGAGGTGGTCCTGGAGGAACGCCTGGCTGCTGCAGTTCAGGTGTTTTGAAGTTCTTGTTTGCTGGAGATGTGGCTGGGGTTTCTCTCAGAGTTGAGGCAAGGAATTGCAACTCAAATACGTTGCTACTTGGCTGCCTCTACTCTATTCTTGTACACCTTGAAGTGAGGTTAATTAAGTCCTGTTGTGGGGTTTGAGGGCCAGAATTTAATTTTTGGAGCTTTATTTAATGTTGGGAGCGGATTGGGTAATAAAATGCATATTGAGAATAAGACGGCCTTCTGACCCTTCAGGGTCTAGGGCTGTAAAGCCTGTAAGGGTTGTTGCCAGATGGGCCATGAACTGGCTGGGTTTTTATATTTGATGAAAAAGAGCGTAAACGCTAACTGATTTGGGAGAGGTCAGATAAAGAAAAAGGAGCATTAACCTTGACTATGCCTTTAGCTCCAGCCACCTCTTTAAGAGGAAATTGTTGGGCAGATGGGGGAGGGCTAGTCACAGAACGAAACTGTAAGCCGGACTGAGTGTGAGGAGAGGAGGTGATAAAAGGATTATAGGGTGGGGGAGCAGAGGCTGAGGAAGAATTGGGACCTGGCTCGGCCTGGTGAGGAGCAGCCTGGGGAGGAGGGGAGAGTTCAGATGGGTCTGTAGCAAAGGAGGATTCAAAGGACTCAGAGCTTGGGGTGGAGACTGAAGGAACAGACAGGAGAGAAAGAAGAAAGATTTGGGATGAGTCGCATTGGGAGCAGAGACTAGGGAGGGACCAATGTGTAAAAGAATGCCTGGACGTCAGGCATCTCAGACCATTTTTCCATTTTTCCACAAAAATTATCTAGATCTTGTAGGATGGAGAAATTGAAAGTGCCATATTCTGGCCATTTAAAGCTATTATCAAGTTTGTACTGCAGCCACGCAGTGTTGCAGAAGAAAATAAGGCATTTAGGTTTTAGGTCAGGTGTGAGTTGAAGAGGTTTTAGGTTTTTAAGAACACAGGCTAAGGGAGAAGAAGGGGGAATGGAGGGCAGAAGTTTGCCCATAGTGAAGGAGGTAAGTTTAAAGAGAAAGGTAGAGACACAGAGAAGGGGGTGGGTGAGCAGCCAAAGCAGGCGTCCCCTGCTTTTGCAGTTGACGTACCACCAAGGGAATGTGGGTGAGTGACCAAGGCAGGTGTCCCCACCGTGATCAGACACCAATGGAGTGTGGGTGAATAATCAGGCAGGCGTCCCCGCAGTGATTAAACACCAAGGGAAGACTGTCTTCCCAAGTCCGTGACTGGTGCTGGAGTTTTGGGTCCATGGATAAAATGTGTCTCCTTTGTCTCTACTAGAGATGAAAAAGAACTGGAATTGGAAGGACAGGGAGATTGAAGGGTAGTGAGAGAGGGAGTTTGAAGGGTAGCAAGAGAGGCTGGAGAAGAGAGTGAAAAGACTGCTTACCTGATTTGAAATTGGTGAGCTGTTCCTTGGGCTGGTTGGTCTGAGGACCCAAGGTTGTAGGTGGATGTCCTCACAGAGTGAGGGCAAGGACAGGGGACTGGTCTCCTGAAGGAGTCCTCCTATCCCAGGTTTTGGCACCAAATGTCATGAGCGTCCGTGTGAAGAGAGTCCACCAAACAGGCTTTGTGTGAGCAACAAGGCTGTTTATTTCACCTGGGTGCAGGCGGGCTGAGTCCGAAAAAGGAGTCAGCGAAGGGAGATAGGGGTGGGGCCATTTTATAGGATTTGGGTGGGTAGTGGAAAATTATAATCAAAGGGGGTTTTCTCTTAGGGGCAGGGGCGGGGGTCACAAGGTGCTCAGTGGGGGAGGTTTTGAGCCAGGAGAAGGAATTTCACAAGGTTAATCGCTCAGTTAAGATGGGGCAGGAACAAATCACAATGGTGGAATGTCATCAGTTAAGGCAGGAACAGGCCATTTTCACTGCTTTTGTGATTCTTTGGTTACTTCAGGCCATCTGGATGTATACGTGCAGGTCACAGGGGAGGATGGCTTAGCTTGGGCTCAGAGGCCTGACAGTCGTTTTATCTAAATCAGCGTGAGACCAAGGACCCTGGTGTTCCTCCAGTCATTGGAGCCATATCATTTGTGTTCTTAAGACCAAAATACATGGGCAAAGATCCTACTTGATTCTTACAATGTAAAAATCTCCCAGTTAGTAAACAAAGGCCTGGTTTGAGTCACCACAATATAGTCATGGCCCCTGACCTAATTCTCACACCTAGGTCAGACTAAGAATGAAGAGCCAGAGAAAAGGCCCTGTCATCACATCACAAGTTCTTGCCATGAATCTTCTTTTCTCCAAGCCTTCTTCACAGGATCCAAGGGCACCAGACACTCTGGGGATTATCAGACACTGTGTATGCACTAACACTAATTCTTGGAGACCCAGAATTCCACTGTGACTTCCCATCAGAGTGAAAGCATTACTGCTACATTGAGGGAGTAGCCCTTACAAACAGTGGAGACAGGAAATCTTCCAAGGGAACAGAATTGTTAAGTAACATATCTCCTCCATTCTGTCAGGAGGTAGAGATGTCTGATATAAAAATCTATGCTGATTCACAGATAGTGGCTAATAACATAACCAGATGACCAGAAATTTGGAAAGAACACAACTGGGTATGAGGTCTGGAGGAAAAGTATGCCCAGAGTTCTTGGAATGGGCCCAAAGAATCAGAATATTTGTGTCCTATGTGAATGCTCAGTTAAAAGCCTTCAGTGCTTATACTAATCAAGTGGTCAAGATGACCTCTGTATGGATGTCAATCGGCTGTCTTTTCCAGCCACCCCAGTGCTTAAGATTCATGGTCAAATTGGCCAAGAGTGCAGGGATGTGGCCTCCACAATGTGGACTTCCCCCTCACCACAGCTGACATGACAACCCAGCTATATTGACAGCCTACTTGTCAGCAGCAGTGACCAACCAGGCAAGTCCACACCCAGGAGAGAACAGCCCAAGTCTGACGGCAGGTTGATTACATCTGATCCTCTTCTATCACAGAGCAGGCAGCAATTTGTCCTTCCTGGAGGGGACACACCTTGGAATTGTATTTGTTTTGTATGTTCTCCAAATTTTTACCACCACCACCCTTCATGAACTTACTAAATGGTTTTTACATTGTTTGTTAGGCTATCCCATAGACATTGCTTCTGATCATGAAACTCACTTTATGGTGAAAAGAGGGCAGGTATGTCAGCTCAGTGATTTCATCAAAGAACTGAGAAACAAAGTGCAATGCAGGGTGACGTGTCTCAGTTTAATACTAGTGATCCACTAAGTCTTTGTTTCTATCCCCTGGGATTCTGAGCTTTGCTGGTTTAGAACCTTGAACCTCCTGGGAGCAAGTGATCCTCCTACCTCAGCCTCCCAAGTAGCTGGGACTAGAGGCATACCATCATGCATGGCTAATTTTTTTTTTAAGAGATGGGGTCTCACTATGTTGCCCAGGCTTACTTGTATATTTTAATTAATGTTCTCCTTTTTGCTGTTCCCTTACCCCATTACTATATAGTTAAGATATTAGATACGCAGATTGTATTGATGGTGGCTAACTTTATAATTTAGTTCATATATGAGAGAATATCAAGATAAAATCATAACTGGAACTAGGAGAGGAATGGATGTCATTTAAATATCTTGGGCTTGGAGCTGGATGTAGTATAGTAGAGGGATGTGATTTCATTTCTGGTTGAGCGGATAATTAAATGTATTTGAATTATGTGTAAATTTCACATTTTTTGATATACAAAGAACAGATAATTGTATCAGTAGGTAATAGGATATTTTATTTCAAAACAGTGAAGAAGCTGCTAAGCATAAAATTTGTCAAATGCTACAAAGGTGATGAATATACAACTGGGAATTCCAAGAAATTTAAATTTAATTACATTCTTTATTATCTTTTCCTCAAAAGAAATAAATTAGTTCCACCATTTGGCTAATATTATTTCATTAAAGACTGAATTTAGATTTTAGGAAATAAAATATGGAATCTGTTATAATGTCCCAATTTATACTACAGTATTAATCTCAATCCTGATCATTACATAATTATAGCATTTACCAATCTGTGATTTTATAAATTAACCAAATTTGTTAAATTAAGAAGAAATTCATAGACACCATTTTTTTCCTGTTACAACATATGGAAAAGCCATCAAAAAACTTAACAGAACCAAATCAAAAAGAAGTATATTTTATGCTAAAGTTACTTTCTGTCCAGGTCGAAACATTGTTCCACTTTGATTTTTTCTCCTCTTTGGATTTTGAAAGCTTTCATATCTGAAAAAAGAAAGAGATAATTTAATATGTATAAATACTACCATTACAAAACAAAAGATAATGGATTGTTGGCAAACACAATTATATTTTAAGAAATGAACGGGAAATAACAAACTAGAAAAAAAAATTCCAGTCACAGAAATTAAAAAGAATTCTTACAAATAAAGTTGCACTCCAATAGAAAACGGAGCAAAGGGGATGAAGAGACAAGTTAGAAAAGATAAAATACAAATGACAATGAATAATATGAAAAATTATAACTTCTACACTTTAATCAAAGAAATGTAAATTATTGATATCATTTTTCTAAAATCAAAAGGGCCAAGTTTAGAAAAATACTGCAACACACAATGTTAGTGATGGTGCAGTATATCTGGCAGGCAATTTGGCAATACATTTCAAAAGCCTTAAAAAATGTGAGCTCCCTGTTATACAATTCCACCTCTATCCTAGTGAAACAATTAGATATGTGCATATATTCAGCTGCAAGAATGTTCATTACCACATTGCCTGGGAGCAATTTAAATGTCTAAAAATTGGATATTGTGGCATAGCTACACTATAAAATGACATTTAAAAACAATAAAGTAGTTAACATTTAAAATGTAAAACAATTTTCAGGATGTATGTGGATAAAGGGGGACTGCTATATAGCAATATGTACAGACTGTTCTTACCATAATAGGAAAACATATATAAGCATATAAACAAATATGCTTTGGGAGGTGGTGGGCTTAACAGAAATTTGTTTCCTTATTTTTCCTTACCTCTGTTTTCTGATTCTTCTTTAATAAATACATAGCACTAACGTATGTACACATACATACATACTTCAAAGTACTGCAAAATTAGATAACAAAAGGTAGCAGCTTCTAAAGACCAGGAATAAACATCTCTTAAATTGAATCACACTGAATCATTGACCTAGAATGGTTCCCAGTCCATGGGTCTCAGATGCATAGGTGGCCATAAACTCAATTGCAAGGATCCTTTAAATCCAATGTATAACAAATGTGGTCCACAAATGAATAAATCTGAATGTATTTAAATGTTCTTGAGGTCAATAAAATATTAATATAAATTATTTTGAAGGCAAAACAGGTATTTTTATAACAAAATTTTATAAACTATACATTAGAATCACTTTCAACTTTTAATTTTCCTTCTTATTTCTTCGAAGTTACTAAATTTTTTTTTTTTTTTTTTGAGACACAGTCTCGCTCTGTGGCCCAGGCTGGATGGAGTGCAGTGGTGCAATCTCGGCTCACTGCAACCTCCACCTCCTGGGTTCAAGCAATTCTCCTGTCTCAGCCTCCCAAGTAGCTGGGACTACAGGCACATGCCACCACACCTGGCTAATTTTTGTATTTTTAGTAGAGATGGGGTTTCCCCGTGTTGGTTAGGCTTGCCTCGAACTCCTGACCTCAGGTGATCCACCTGCCTTGGCCTCCCAAAGAGCTGGGATTACAGGCATGAGCCACAGCACCCAGCCCAAAGTTACTAAAATTAAATGAGTCCATTATGAATAATTCAAATATAATCAAATGAACTGGTTAATGAAAACTCAATTTTGACTTCTGTACTTCTGACATTTTGGGGTTTTTTAATGCATAGCTACGACACATATTTTTTGAATTAGCTTTTAAATATTCAAAATATTTTTATTTTAAACACGAACTTTAAAGGTTTAAGTGTAATACTATGTCACTTGTAATAGTAGCTGTACTTCCAAAACAGAATCTGTTACTTACAGCTCAGCAAAATTCTTCCAGTCATCTTCACTAATGGATGGTCTTGTGTGACCAAGTGCAGTCATTAAATGTGACTGACTAATAGCCAGTCTGGTTTTGATTGGTCCTGGTTGGTTCATGGATTCGTCCTCCTTAAGTAAAAAAAGAAATTGACGAAGAGTTAAATTAAGGATGTAAAAAAAAATGTGGTAGTCCAGTTGTTACTTCTTATTGTCAGTTTTTTCAAGAGACCATACGTTCTCTTCCTTATAAGATAATGAAACATTGAAAGCAAGGAAGCACATAACCATGACTGAGTTAATGTGTTCTGGTCCCTTGTTTATAAATATAGCTCGTTTATAAGTCAAAGAAATATATATCAAAAGGGTGAAACAATTTTTAAGAAGTTTTAACAATTATAATGAGGGGGAAAAAGCCATACTCCACTTTGGCTCCGGTATCTGCCTTTGATAATACTGATATCTGCCCTCAGTTGATCTCTTTGTTCTTGTGTAAGTTCTTGGCAACCCTCTTGTGAAGCTGTCCTTAACACTGGAGGCTGTGAAAACAACTGGTCTTTCCCAGGAACTCCAGGCAAATCCTGAGTCATGGAGCTTGGTGCAGAGAGACATTGTGAGCTCTGCATGGTAAATTGTAGTAATGAAAGATGGAAGGAAGAGGGGGAGAGAAAAAACTATGTGTTTACCAAATATAAAAATTAAACATTTTAAGCAATAAAACATTAACATAGATAAGTATACATGTTAATTAACTGAAATTAAGCAAGCTGAAAAGTTGTTCATCTTTTATAAAGGTTCACTGATACCTGTGTTATAGAACCACCATCAAGTGAAAATTGCCATAACACAGGGTAGGTTTTTTTAACTTTGTTGCTTAAATCCAACACACTAATGCCCAAGGACAGGTTTCTTCATTTTCAGAAAGTAAAGTTATACTAAGTTTCTGGGACATTTCTAAATAGAATAAATTAAAAACAGAATTAAAGACTAAAATTAAACCACCACCTTACTGTTCTTGGGAATAAAAATGAATTGCTTTTATATTTTTAAAGTCTGAGTTAGGCTAGGCATAGTGGCTCACACCTGTAATCCTAGCACTTTGGGAGGTCAAGGCACGCAGATAGCTTGAGCCCAGGAGTTTGAGACCAGCCTGGGCAATATGGTGAAACCTCGTCTCTACAAAACATACAAAAATTAGCTGGGCATGGTGGCATGTGCCTGTAGTCCCAGCTACTCAGGAGGCTGAGGTGGAAGAATCACCTAAGCCCAGGAGGTCAAGGCTGCAGTGAGCCATAATTGTGCCACTGCACTCTAGTCTGGATGATAGAGTGAGACTGTCTCAAAAAAAAAAAAAAAAAAAAGCCTAAATTAATAAAGCAAATGTACAAAAAACCAGGAAACATATAGATAACCAAACACATGTACAGATGTTACATGTACCAATAAAATTACAGTGAACCACTATTAATTTTTAGAAGAGATGTTGAATGCTAGTAGAACAGTGATACTGCCCACATTTAATCAAAACACTTTCCTGTTGAAACATTATCAGTACACTTCATTGTGCTTACTATGCAGCAAAAGTATCACAGATAACACTTTGTTTTCAGGAATTTCTTACATTATTGTATCAAATTATTCATTATCCTCAACTGTTCATGATAACAGAATTTAAGTTTACTATAAAATGGAACTGCTCCTAAAGATGTTTTAAAGCCACTAGGTAAGAGAAACCTCAAAGAAACCAAAGGTAATCACAACCACGCGCTACTTTGGTTCCTTGCTCCCAGCCCTGTCTTGAAAATCTTAACAAGGAATGCAAATTACCAATTAGTGTAAGCAAGAAACAAGACTATTTTACTGAAGAACCAACCAACCAGGAAGAATATGTGGGGCTGGTTAGGAGAGAAATCACTGCAACTTTACACCAACATATAGCTTTATATTTCAGAACTGTATAATGATGACTGCACAAGATACCAAATCAGAAGAGGTTCCATTTCCAAGTTCTGATTCATAAGAGCTTCCAAAGTAGAGCCGGTACATATTGAATTTTGATTCATCTGGAAGGATCTCGGACATCTCTAAAGAAACAAGGGACTGATCTAAGCCACATTCTCCATCTCCAGCTGAATCGTCAGAGCCACTGCTATGGTTAAGAAAGACCATTGAAGACAGACTTAGGTCACTATCAGAGCTGGAACTTCCATCCTAAAATACACAAAAGGACAACCAGTTTAAAGATGTAAACAATTTTAGTCTCAGAAATAAATAATAACATAGATAGCATTCTATTAGAGCAATACAAGAAACTTAGAAGCATTTTTCAAAGAGCTCATTAATTCTCTAACGGTTTTGAGGCACATGGTAAAAATTTAACTATTAAAATTATAAAGACAAGATAGAATGTGTAGATAATTTACCAACCATCCCCCAAGAAAGTCTGTAATGAAGCTAAGACTCAGACCTCTGGGCTTTATTTTTATGTCTCTGACTTTCCATTCATACTTTTCTACTCCAAAATGATGAATCAACCATGTTATAGAGTGCTTTCTCATTATAGAGAGCTCTACAAATACACACCTTTCTGGTAGTAAAGGGAGAGGGAAGAACTTCAATGGCTTGCCAAAATAGCAAAAACCTAGGGAGTTTCTGATTTAGAAACTGTAGGTTCTGTAGACATTCCAAACAAATGTGGTAAAGAAGAGTAATAGAATAATCCTTCCTAGAAAATATATGGTAAAGTCTATAATGTAACAGTTCAAATATCTACTGTAAATATTAAAATCATAATACTGTCTTTAGAGAAAAGGCTGATGCTAGGGCTGGGATACAGAAAGTACAAGATAAACCAAGAATATTTTTCTTTTTTGGGGGCAGGGTCTCATTCTGTCATCCATGCTGGAGTGCAGTGGCACAAGCATGGCTCACTGCATCCTGGATTTACTCAAGCGATCCTCCTGCCACAGCCTCTCCCAAGAAGCTAGGACTACAGGTATGTGCCACCATGCCCAGCTAATTTTTAAATTTTTCACAGAGACAAGATCCCACTCTGTTGTCCATAGTGGGTACAGTTTGTGCAACCATGATTTGGTCTCAAACTAGGCCCAAATGATCCTCCTGCCTTGGCCTGCCAAAGTGCTGGGATTACAGGCGTGAACCACTGCACCTGGCCAAGAATAACTTACTGTATCTGGAAGTGAGGAAGTGATTCAAGAATGATGAGGACATGTCATAAAGATACAGGAGCCATACAAAAGGGGCTCCTATTGGCCAGATTGGAACAATGTGAGCTTCAAAACAACAACTTTAACTGATTATTTTTTAAAAGTTAAAGTACAAACAAACAAAAAACTCTAATTATTTTTGTTTGTAGTATTTAATTCATGGTATCCCAATTTAAATAATATCCTTGCAAACACCAACATGTTTTTGCCAATATTAAGGTAATGTTAAAGAAACAGACATCAAACTTCATAATTATAAATTCTCTGCAAAACCCATATTCCAACTATGGAACATTCAACTAAAGGTAAATTTATGTTTCTATACAGTTTTACCAAAGTTGTTTAAAAAATAGCATTTTTTAAGGTGGAAATTTTGACATTGTACTTCTTTTATCACTCATAAAATGTCATAACAACTTCCTCATATAACTTGCCTGGAGTCCACTCGAGAGCAGCATTCCATGTAAGGCCTCCAATTGGGCATTGTAAAGTAAAGCTTTCAGATCAGCTCCAGTAAAGGAGTCAGTTACTGATGCTACATGCTGAAGGTCAACATCATCTGCCAGAGGTAGAGAGTCACTGAGGACATTTAAAATTTCAAGACGTGACACCTGAAAGGAGAAAAATTTATTTAACAAATAAAAAATAAAATTAAAAATATTATCTTAAATTGTGTATCTTATGATTTTCTTCATAAATTAACCTTATATATCTAAAAAGCTTTATAAGTAAGTTGAGAAATGTACCAACAGCCTACTATTTATCTTCCTTGGAATTTTTTCCCCAACAGAAATAATATATATAGGAAAATGAATGAAAATCAAACACTCTTAAGGCTGGGCATGGTGGCTCACGCCTGTAATCCCAACACTTTGGGAGGTTGAGGTGGGAGGATCACTTGAGCCCTGGAGTTCAAGAAAGCCTGGGCAACACAGGGAGACCCCATCTCTATACAAAAATTAATAATAAAATTATCTGGGCATGGTAGCGTGTGCCTGTGGTCCCAGCTACTCGGGAGGCTGAGGTGGGGAGATTGCTTGAGCCTGGGCCATAGAGGCTGCAGTGAGTTGTGATCGTACCAGTGTACTCCAGCCTGGGTGACAAAGTGAGACCTTGTCTGAAAAACAAAAACCCAAAAACCTACAAAATATTCAGTGTAAATAATTTCTTATTCACACAGTGCTTATTTTCTAGATTTAGGCAAGTGTGCCAAGAAGGTATTTCAAAAGGAAAATCTAAATAATTTAAATAATAGCTACATGTAACATATATACAGATACTTTATACCTTTGACTATTCATTTGTCTATCTGTTCTTTCATTCATTTATTTGTTTGCTTCTAAATTGGAGAATAAGAGTTGGAACAACACAGGACAAGGAAGAGTTGAAAAATTATCTCTATGAAACCTGCTTACATGCTTACGATTCACATGCTTGATTCTGTATCAGAGTTTTTTTTTTGACAGGATAATGGAAGTATGTAATCTTTGAACAGAAGATAATGTGAAAATATAATACATTAGGTTTCTTGCATTTTTTTTTCCCCAATCAGCCAACACAGAAGGATTACAAAGTTTTCAGACTTGCACTGGGCCAAAAAAAGGCTTTGCATCTAATTCAGAATCTTTTTATGCTTTGAGCAAACAGTGGCTAAAGCTTTTCCCTAAGAAAGCTGGTCTTCTAAGGACAATTGCCATTACCTGGCAGAAGTAAAGCTCACAAGGAAAGAGTGTAGCATTTGTTGGGTTTTGGACTCTAAATATGAAATTGTCACCTGATCAGGAGGAGGACAGTATACACATTTATCTAGTCGACCAGGCCTAAGCAGGGCAGGGTCAATCAAGTCAGGGCGACTAGTAGCAGCCAATACATAAACACCTAGAGGAAAAAAGAACATTTTTTTACCAAAATCTGATGACATGATGACATTTTGTTATAACATTCTATTTCTGTATTTATAATTATTACCCTGTAAGCCTTCTACTCCATCCAACTGAGTCAGCAACTGGTTAACTACTCGGTCTGTAACTCCTGTATTATCATGACCCCGCCGAGGAGCAATGGATTCAAATTCATCAAAGAAAAGAATGCAGGGCTTTGCAGCCTGTGCTCTGGGAAAAACAAACAACATTTCATATTTGAATCAGGCTTCATAGTTGGCAAAGTGATTTCATATACATATATGAATGTATTTATTTTATGTATTTATATATATTTATATACTTCTTTTAATTTTTACAACAAACCCTTAAAGAAGGCAAGTTGTATGTAATTACATATAAATACATATAAATGTATTTATATATATTTATGTATTTATTTTAATCTTTACAACAAACCCTTAAAGAAGGCAAGGCATATGAAATTACCCTTGTATTCAGTAAACTGTTGAGGTCAAGGTGTTTATTAAGACCCATGCCTTCTGGATAGACTAACAGGGATCAAAACAAAAACTGACTCTTAGTCAATAAGTCAAACACTTTTGATTCCTATTACAAGTAACCATTTTTATATTAATATATACTTATTGGCCACCCTTCCTTCTTTTGTGAAATGCCTATTCATTTATTTTGCCCATTCAAAATTTGGAAAGCTCATTATGTTGGTACTGTTTTGTAAGGGCTCTCTATAAAATATATTTTATTTCTTTTACTTTTTTAATAATTTGAACTTTGACTTTGTTTTATTAATTTATTAACAAATTTTAATTCAAAATAAGTGAATATTAATTCCATATCTGGCAACAGGTGGACTAGATGTCTGGCGAATAACACCTAATATAAAACACCTGTCACGGTGATTGAAAAAAATCAACAGCTATCTCATTAAATGCATGGCAAGTAAAATATATCTTCTGGGGCCAAAAATAGACCAGAATTATCTGCTACTTGAATGTTTGGCAAAACTCTCCTAGAAAACTGAGTCTGATGTTTGATTTGTGTAAAGACTTCTTTAACTTTTCTAACTCAATTTTTACTAAGTTACAGGACTACTCAGATTTTGTTTCTTTTTTGCTCAATTTTGGTCAATTTTGTTTTTGTCTATGTCACCTAAGTTTTCAAATGTATTGGCATGAATATTTTCATAATATTCCCTTATTATCTTTTACATTTCTGGGATATCTTTAGCGATGTTTCCCTTTTTATCCCTAAAATTGTTTATTCATGCTTTCTTTTTTCTTAATCAAACTTGTTAGAGATTTGTCAATTGTACTCGGTGTTCAAAAAATAAATCTTGGCTTTGTGAGCTTCTCTGTTTTGTGTTTCATTAAACTTCATTCTTATCTTTATTATTTCCCTTTTAACATATTTTTTAGTTTATATCTATAATTTTCCTAATTTCATGAGATAGATACATAAGTGGTTAACTTCTAACCTTTTTTCTTTTCTAAACATTTAACACTATAAATTTTCCTTGAAATCAGTTTTGCAACATCTAACAATTTTAATGGATAGTATTTTCATTATCGTTTGCTCCCAAATATTTTCCACTATAACTTCTCTTTAACCCAGGAATTACGTGGAAGAGGTTTATTTTGTTTATGCTTTTTCCTGGTAAACTCGGTGGTGAATACATGAAGTATTCATTTTATTATTCTTCCTTAAGCTGCATATGTATTTTATGTATATTCTCTTAACTGTATACTTTATAATAAAATTTTTGGAAGAATAAAACAGTAACTTTTATTTTAAAACTCCCCATAATGCTATCACATTTGAATAATTATTTTCATCCTTAAATACCATCTTCTGTATTCATATACAGTTTTTTAATATATGCAAAATAGTTACACTCACTGAAATTAAATTGGCCAGATGGACTCTTGACTTATAAGAGATAAATTAGAAACTGGGGGAAAAAAGAATTTAGAACTTACAAAATTTAGAGATAAATTAGGGGCAATTATTTGCTTCATATAAGAATCTACTCTGAGATTTCTTTGAATAACCACTTCGATTCCACTTTGAGGAGTATTTCTATTGTAAAACAAAACCAAATAATTTCCAAAATTTAATATCTAAAATGTTTTGTATTATTTGATGAAATAGAGAATCCACGTCCTCTAGCTTATTAATAATTCACATAAACCACAGGTTTCAAATATCAGTTCTTCAAAAAACAAGACCAAAAAAAGCACTGATTGATAAATAATAACAGAGTCAGTTACTTTAAAAACATTCATAGGCTACCAACCTAATAAAAATATCCCGAACAGCTTGTTCACTTGCTCCAATGTATTTGCTGAGTAACTCTGGCCCCTATTGGGTAAAATAAGAGTTGAGATAAAATTATTTAAAAAGAAAATATAAATTTGGTTTCTGACTAAGTCTAAATGAATCATGGAAATCTTTAATATGATTAAATGGATGTCTTTTATACATTTTTAAAATTAATGTGTGCTAGAATAAATATCATACCACAAGTTCTATGCTTGATGCTTCTGCCCAGAACATTTTCCCCCGGATATTCTCATGGCTTGTTGCTTCATTTTATTTAGATCTCTGCCCAAATACCACCTCTTCAGAAACCCTTTCCTGACAAGTCCATCTATGACTCACTCCAGTTACTCCAAGCCTCCTTACCCTGCTTTTCTTCCTACATAGGACTTACCACCACCATCTGACAGTGAATTATATACTGAATGTGTCTATCTGCTTGTTGTCGCTTTCCACTAGTAGAATGTAAACTCCAAAAAGGCAGTTTTGTTCACTGCTGAATCCCTTGTGCCAGAAACAGTGTCTGCCACATAAGTATTGGATAATAGTTTTTCCAAGTGAATAAGTGAATGGTGTAAGAAGGGACAAAGTCCCATCTATCTCAAATTTTAAAAAATGTGTAGAGATATGACTTTAATCAGCATCTTCAATTACTGAAACAATGTATTTTCATAGGAGTTAAAGAATATATCATTTTTAGAACATGTGGGAAAAGGCCAAAAAAAAAAAAAGAGAATATATAATCTTCCCTAAAAGCCAACTGAAAAACCTTTCGAAATAAATTTCCCTGCATATAGCAAAATCAATAATGAGAATAGTCTTTCCTTAAATTGGGATCTTAAAAAAAACCTGAATAGGTCCTAAAGTCATCTCTAGTGAAAAATCACTATCTCCAGAAGACCAACTACTGATCAGGATATGTGACCAAAATAAGGAATTTCTAATATTCAACCACATAAATATCTATTAACATAATAATATTTAATTACATTTCCTCAATACAGTCAGAGAACTATAGGACTAGAGGAGGGAACAAGAAATAACTAAGGCAAGACCGGGCACGGTGGTTCTCGCCTGTAATCCCAGCACTTTGGGAGGCCGAAGCTGGTGGATCATGAGGTCAGGAGGTCGAGGCCAGCCTGGCCAACATGGTAAAATCCCGTCTCTACTAAAAATACAAAAATTCACCGGGTGCGGTGGCAGGCGCCTGTAATCCCAGCTACTCGGGAGGCTGAGGCAGGAATCACTTGAACCCAGGAGGCAGAGGTTGCAGTGAGCCGAGATCATGCCACTCCACTCTAGCCTGGTAACACAACAAGACTCAGTCTCAGAGAAAAAAAAAAAAAAAAAAAAAACTAAGGCAAAATAACAGGAACAAGGCAACAGCCTGGCACTTTTAGTTTCTCCGTCATTGCCAGTTCTCAAAAAAACACGACAAAAGAGTAATTTACAACTGGGTAAAACCCAGTTATACATTACTAAACTGAGCTGGGCACGGTAGCTCACGTCTGTAATCCCAGAACTTTGGGAGGCCAAGGCGGGCAGATCACTCGAGGTCAGGAGTTCAAGACCAGCCTGGCCAACATGGTGAAACCCCATCTCTACTAAAAATACAAAAATTAGCCTGTAATCCCAGCTACTCGGGAGGCTGAGGCAGGAGAATAGCTTGAACCCAGGAGGCAGAGGTTGCAGTAAGCCAAGATTGCATCACTACACTCCAGCCTGGCCAATAGAGTGAGACTCCATCTCAAAGAAATAAAAATAAATACAGAAACAAATAAATAAATTACTAAACTGATTTATAAATCAAGTTTGAATAAGGCTAGAATAATACACGATTCCTTTGTCTTGGAATCTAATTGCCCTTTGTTAAACTAATATTGCTGATGTCTGAAATTACACAGCTAAGATACTGGATCTGCGACCACAATGACACACCAGTGGTGGACTGTGAAGCATTACCCAAAATGATCTGCTAGCATGCCCCTTAATTACCACACTCACCTTATACCTGAAAAAAACTTAGACCTAGTCTCACTTTGACAAAAGCAATGGTGAGATATAGTCAAAAGTAACAGAACCATAAAAACCCCAGCTTCCTGCCTCAGTATGGTCTCCTGCCTCTAGTTGTCTACTCCCTTTAAGAATGGTTTGCCCTTTTATCTGAGCATTTATGTATAATTCTGTTCACAATGCATGAAGATTGCCTTAAGCAAGAACATAATAAGCCCTACAAGAGAGAGGTGGCTCATTACTCAATTTCATACAACTTTTAATAGATGGATCGCTGCTCCCACTAGCTTTCCAAATGTGAGACTAGCCCACAATTGAGAAACATAATGGTGTTGGTAAAGATGTGGAGAATCAGGAACCCCCCACACTGCTAGTGGGAATGGTGCAGTTGGTGTGAAAGACAGTTTGGTGGTTCTTTGAAAAGTTAGAGAATTACCCTAAGACCCAAGAATTCTACTCCTCAGTTTATACCCAAGAGAAATGAAAACATATCCGTGGAGAAATTTGTGCATGAATATTTACAGCAACATTATTCATAATAGTCAAAAGGTAGAAACAATTCAAATGTTCACCACTGATAAGTGGATAAACAAAGTATGGTAACATTATTCAGTCATGCAAAGGAATGAAGTACTGATACATGCTACTACCTGGATGAACCATGAAAACATTACATAAGTGAAAGAAGCCAGACAAAAAAGGTCACATATTGCATGATTTGTTTTATATGAAATATACAGAAAAGGCAAATCCATAGAGACAAAAAGCAGATGAATGGTTGCCAGGGGATAAGCAAGAGGAGGAGTGGAATGAAAAAGTTTTGAAATTAGAGAGAGGTGGTGGTTGCATAGCATTGTGAATGCACTAAATGCCAGTGAATTTACACTTTGAAATGGCTAACTGCATTTATGTTAATTTTACCTAAATAAAAAAAGAAGATAAGTAGACAACATACCTTGACACTTATAAAATTCATTCTACTCTCTCGTGCAATTACCCCAGCTAGTAAGGTTTTTCCTGTTCCAGGCGGACCATACAACAGTATTCCTGTTCTTTGTCGTATGGGCAAGTTTGCAAATAATTCTGGATACTGAGAAACAAAAAAAAAAAATATGAAAAAGAGCTCAAGTCTAAACAGAAATGACTAAGTAGCAGCTAAAGATCAATGTATAGAAAAAAAATTCAGATGGTAATCACGACCATCTTTCTTTAGTAACAGCAAGTACAACAGTAGAAAATACAATTCCTACTAAAAACTGTAAATGAACTCAAAGGAACTACGACAAATTTTTTCCAATTAAGAACACATTCTATATAAAATGCATATAACTGCATCAGAACTTCTATTTTTCCTGTTTTATTAAAAGTACTACATTTAAAAAGTACAAACCAATCTTTTAACAAGTATAGTGCCTTTCATGGATATGCTTCATGGGGCAAGTTATGAGAGCTGTGTACATTTAAATCTATTCAATCAAAGATAGTAAAATATCCCAAGAGTCTCCAGGCTGAACAAATAATCGACTGCTTCTCAAGTTACCTTTTAAGGCACCACTGCTCAAGAACAAGAGAACTTTTTGAACAGGTGAGCCAAACATGAGGCTACTGTCTGCAATATCCTGGTCTCCTTTATTAGGTATGCCTATTTAGTTCCCTCTATTGAGAATATTCCCACTCACCTCTACCTCTGCTCCAATCTGAAAGAAGCCCAAAGTCAGCAGTTACGCATATAGTCTCCATGTACTGCATCTGGATGTACTGAATCTCCATGTACTAATGCTTGATGCCCCATCCCAGCATCGGGGTCATGATCCTGCTAGCTAGTACTTCCATACCCATGTTCTCTCACACTGGTTTTAACAGTCCTGGGCTGCAATCAACATGTCCCAGGCCCCAGTGGCCACTGTTCCCAGGAGTTGCCATGCAGCAGGCTCCTTAACCCAGTTTTTTTTCTCACTCCTTTGCATGGGTCCCTGATCTCATGCAATGATCTTTGCCTCTCAGATCTCTGATTAAAACACACTACCTCCTAGACTCTACCATCTGATCTTCTGAAGAACAATCTACATTTGTCTCCTTTATCCTGCTATCTGCCTCGTCTATGCCTGCCAAGTCTGCTTTTCAAGGACTGACATCCCGGGTCTGGAAATCTAGCTTCACCCATCAGTCCTGTGAACCTTGATAACTCTTCTACCTCCTAGTTTATTCCTATCCATTTCTGCTCAAATCCCAGCAGACAGTTCATCTTGCTTTACTACAATTTGAATGATTAAAGCAAACAGAATTATACATCAAAATGTATTTACTGTAACTATCACCTCAGCTTTCCATTATAAGTTTCTTATCATCAAAGACTGCATCATACACATTAAAATCTGTCTGCCTGGGCAACATAGCAAGACTCCGTCTCTAAGAAAATTAAAGAGTTGGCCGGGCATGGTGGTTCATGCCTGTAGTTCTAGCTACTGGGGAGGCTGAGGCAGGAGGATTGCTTGAGCCCAGGAGTTTGAGGTTGCAGTGAGCTGTGAGTGTACTCCAGCCTAGATGACAGAGTGAGGTCTCAATTCTAATAAAAAATTAATTAATAAAATTAAAATTTGTTAAAGTACCTAAAATAGTGTTAAGACATTTATTTGGTAACTCAGTAAACACTTGTTGACTCACACGGAGATTGGGCAAGCTGACACATAAAGCCAAAGCCAATAATACAGTGGTTCTTCTGGGAGTAAGTATTCACTTTTTCTTTTTTTAAACATACCTTGGCAGGTAACTGGATAGTATCCATGAGTATCTGCCTAACTTCATGTAACCCACCAATCTTGTCCCAACCCAGGTCTCTAGGTTTATGCAGGTTGACACTTCGCAAAGACGCAGGAAGAAATCCGCGGAGAGCCTTTTGGAAGTCCAATGTTGTTAAAACTAATTCTGTTTAAAAATAAACAAAACTTCTTTTACTAGTTATATTCACTATATGAATTTTCAAAATATGCCATCATCTTAGCTGGAAACACTAATTTTCTACTCAAATAACTGCTTATTCAAATACTACAATGGAATATATTTAATTCTTGTCTTACTACAATTACATTTCTCCACAATAGAAAGAAGATTCCAAGTTCAGGTTTTAATAGTAAAACATACTTTCTCTGGTGGATATACTCTGACGAGAGAGTCGAGAATGTATGGCTCGATCCACAAGTACTGTAAAATCTCTAGCCACAAACCCGCCAGTTTCTTTAGCTACATGCTGCAGGTCAAGATCGGTGAACTTGTTTATATCACAGTCCAATTTATTTTTTATTACATTACACAGAATTTCACATCTTTGTTCCTAAAGAAAAAAACACAAAATTCGAATTTCCAATTGTATTCAACTGTATATTTTTGAATGTATATTTGGAGAAAATCAGGTTGACAAATCTATAGTGACAGAAAGCAAATTGGTAGTTGTCTGGGGATGGAGCAGGGGAGGAATGGGTAGTAAAAGGGCTAGGAGACTTCTGGAGTGATGAAAATGTTTGTTTCCTTAATTGTGGTGATGGTTTCATGGCATCTACATATGTTAAAACTGATCAAATTGTACACTTTATGTGAGTTTGTTGTACTTAAATTATATCTTAATAAAGTTGTGAAAAAATCACATTAATAAATGATTGTCATTTCTTTCTCCAATAAGAAGCATTTTTAGTAATATATGGTTCCTTTAAGAATTTTTTTTTGGTTCCTATAAAACTTATTTCTCAAAACATATTCATATTCAATGACCAATATCTCAAATACCATTCTATTATCCTTAATAATAGATATAATACCTTTGTTCTTCAATAGCAGTTAACTAGCACAGGGTCTGAATATTTAGGGTAGATGCTAGGTGAAAATTTTAAAGAATTTAGAATATGTTTGCCAGTCCTGGAACATATTTCTTTCAGCTCACTACCACTAAAACCCTCATGAGTTCCCAAAGGGGACTAAGTGCCATTATGTGATGGTGGAAAAAAAAAGTTTAATTAATGAAGTGTTTAAAAGCCATCTATCTATTTCTCTCTGTTCTTTCTCATTCAAAGAAATACCATTTTCAAAAAAGTCATTTTCTTGGAAAGCGCATACTAACATTTCAGGTGGCTATAAATTATAATTTATGCCTCTAGCACAATATGCACCAAATGTTGACTTACATATCCTTAAAATCATTAAGAGAAGCATAAATTTAAAGCCACGAATTACTAATAAAATTGAAAAATAATTTCTATAAAAGGGACATAATTCAATAATCCTTACAAGTAGTGTATTACCTGATTAGGAGGCTGAATGTGTTGGACGCACTGAAATATGTGAACTCCTTGAGCAGAAACAAGTAAAGGATGTAGAGATTGCTGAGACTGACTTGTGGCAATCAGTGCAACCAAACTTCCCATGGAGATAAACTCTTTTATCATATCATTCAAAGCTGGAATTAAGCAATATAGTGCAAAAGCTTAGGAAAAGTAAACATGAAATTTAAAAATTATACATTCATTAAAAATAATGATACTCTAAGGTTGACCTTTAAGGTGCAGTATGTATGGTATCGCTCTTTCATGTCTTTAAAAAATGAATCCATCTAGTTATTCCCTGATTTATCTATTGAGGACCTAATAAATCTAATGGAGACACAAGAGGTACTGCAAACTCAGACCATATACTCAGAGCAATGTCTAGTGAGGTTCCCTACTCGTGGATCTTATGAAATAAATGAACGAATGATAAAAATTTGTCTCTGAAATAAATATTCTGGAAGGGTGATAAATTTCCATACTGTATTGTTTGTTAAACAAAATACAGTTCATATTCCTATGACTTCCAGAACAATCTCTTCCTACCCCAGGTCTTATAAGGTTTCATATGAGAAGGTCAGAACTGAAATAGGCATTAATAATGTACATCTGAGTCCTGTCCTGACCTAGAAATCTGCACCACTCCCTTAAACACTGGACTAATAGATCTAGTATAAGAACAGTAACAGATCGAGTGTAAGATTAGTAACACCAGTCCTATAGATGCTATAGATTTCAAAATTTGAGATTAACACACTAGGTAATAATAATCCAAGCCACTCTTAGTTGCATTTTATATCTATTTCAGCTCTTAAGAACCTTGAAGCAAGTCAATGCTGCCAAACCCTCCAACCTCACCTCCCTAGCACTCCTCTCCTTGCACTCTAAGCTCCAGTCAACAGGGTATTCCCCAACATATCATTACTTCCTGTACCTCTGTGCTTTTGCCTGTAGACCACGCTTCCTTTGCTTCTTTATTAGCATGAAATTGGTTCATGCTAATTTCTACTCTTCCATCAAAACTCGGCTCAGTTGTCAACTCCTCCAAAAAGCCTTCCCTGATAACTCCTTATCCCACCTCACCCCCAGTTTAGGTTATATGCTCCTACACTACTCTGTGTATACTTCTCGCATAGTGTATGCTGTCATCTCCTTGTTGGTCACCCTGGTCAAATTAATCTCTCTGAATTTCCATTTATTGACCTGTAAAGCCCAGGGAATATCTTCATGTAGAATACAAAGCAATCCAAGAAAGCCAAGAAAGGGCTGGCTACTCATACACAGTAGCCATCATTATTAGTATCGTTCTGCGCTAATACTGTTCACCCTTCTTTTTCTCCTAGAATTTGAGAATACAGACTGTGCACAAGCATTTGACAAATATTTGTCAAATGAACAAAAGAGTAAATCTGTAAATTAAACAATAAGTAAGGGAGAATGAAAAACCCTAAAGGACTAACCATGAAGTTGCAGAATTTTCACACTGTTTTTACTCTACCAATTTTGCTATTACAGTCTATAGGACAACTGTAGAATGCCATCAGGGGCCTCAAACACAACACTTAACATAACACATATATTATTCTCTGAAGAGAGTAGATTTATTGTTAAGACTAAAAATGCTGACTGACAAAAGAACAAGACCTTAAGCCAGTGGTGGATGCATTTACCATGAGCAAGCCGCTGGCTCTGCACCGCATCAGGACTGTGCTCATGTTCCGGGACAGCAGGCAGTCCAGCAATGAGGTCAAGGTCATCCAGCAGGACAACAGATGGCTGCATCCACACTGCCTCTGAGAAAGCCACCTCTAGGGTTTTTTGTATGTTTTCAAGCCTTTTTCCTTAATACAGAAGATATGAAATGGTTTCAGTATCATTTCAGTGCTGGGAAAATTCAGGTTGTCCTTTTGAAAGCACTAGAAAAGCTCGATATTGATTTAACTATAAAAATTTGATCTATATTTTATTAATATACCCATCACAAAAACTTGTTCATCAACATGGTTCAATTAATACAGTCTCAAAGCGTGCAGTAAAGTATCAAATTTTATAAAACTCAGAAAAGGAGGCCAGGTGCAGTGGCTTATGCTAGTAATCCCAGCACTTTGGGAAACCAAGGCAGGCAGATCACTTTGAGGTCAGGAGTTTGAGATCAGCCTGGCCAACATGGTGAAACCCCATCTCTACTAAAAAATACAAAAATTAGCCAGGTGTGGTGGCATGCACCTGTAGTCCCAATTACTCGGGAGGTTGAGGCACGAGAATTGCTTGAACCTGGGAGGTGGAGGCTATAGTGAGCCGAGATCGCACCACTGCACTCCAGCCTGGGCTACAGAGCAAGACTCTGTCTCAAAAAAAAAAAAAAAGAAAAAAGAAAAGGAATATGCTACTATAATTCCTGTATGCATGTATTCATTTATACCCAGTTTCATCCCATTGAGAATTTTAGATGGCTTACAACAAAATAAAAAAAGTAGGATGTGGGAAAACATAAGTGAGAGTAAGGGATCAAGATTCATTTAAAATCAAATGCAAATGCATCTGCCTAGAGATCCTGGAGTTGCTATATTTGAAACACAAATTTGGCTTCAAACTTCCTGGTGAGTTACAAAGTTTAAATTTACAAAGAACAGGAAATACACAAGTTCATGATTAGTTGGAACTATATGACAGCGGTACCCATGGGGGAAAAATTAACTGTTCAAAGTAAAATCTTCCCAATATTTTTTAATTGAATAGATAATAATGTAAATGTTAAGGACTTTAAAAGTACAAAAGTGTTATATGGTGAACTGTAATTCTCCTCATTGCTGTCCACAGCCTCCTACTTTCTCTCCCCTGAAGCAACCATTCTCCCAGTTTTCCATAGCAATTCAGAGATCATTTATACCAATTAGAGTATATTCTAAGTACTAATTTTTCAGAGTGGTGTCAGTGAGCACTTCCAGAAATGTAGTCTACAAAAAGTTCTGGCTAGAAAAAAAAATAGGCCTCCATTAAATATGGAGAGTTTTAGAAATTTTATCAAAAACATTAGAAAGCCAAAGAAATTTTAATGACTAAATGATAAACAGAAAAGTTAAAGACTAGATGATATGTGTATTTATTAGATTGACAGCATTATGTATAACATTCCTGTCTTTCTAATGAAAAAGGGATTTATATAGAGTGTTACCATACTCATACCTCGTAAAGCTTTACAGTCAACTCTCTCCACATGGGCATCCAGTTTGTCAAATGCTTCTTTACAGATTGCTTTGGCTAAAGTTGATTTTCCACTTCCCTAGAAAATAATTGCTTTATAGGAATTCCCAATATATTCAGTCACAGAAATAGTTCCTGTCATTGTGGCAACCACCAAGATTCAGCCTCAATTTTATACAACCTCTTCCAAAAAAACAAAAGAAGAGGAGAGAATACTTCCCATCTCATTTTATGAGGCCAGATTTACACGGATAGCAAAACCAGACAAAGACAACACAAAAACAGAAAACTGCAAACTAATCACTTTCAAACTTAAATGGACAAAAGCTCAACAGAACATTAGCAGATAAAACTCAGCAATGTAGAAAGAATGATACACCACAACTACGTGGTATTTATCACAGGTATGCAAGGCTGGTTCAACATTTGTAAGTTACTCAACCCTATCAACACCTAATAGCCTAAAAAAGAAAAACCATATAATTGTATCAACTGACACAGAAAAAGGGCATGG